>NC_000010.11:89082489-89385519 GCF_000001405.40 Homo sapiens | reverse complement strand
TTTGGGAGACTGAGGATGAAAACTGCTCATTCCAAAGGCAAAATTTTAAGGAAAATGATTCTTATTGTCCCAGCAGATGTAGGTGCCTAAAACAGCATTAATAAGCCTTGGTCAATGAATGCAGGGATGTGTTGTGGAAGAATAGATGCTCCTGCCGCAGACACATGGATTGAAGAGGAAAAAATGAGGGGGGTGGCCAGGCAATAGAGTATGTGTTATACCGAAGTATTTTGTATTTCATCAGACTATACATTTTTGAAGGCAGCAATTGGGAAAGACTGTTGTCTCAATCTCAAATAATGGAATTCAGAAACTATGATTAAGTATAGAGTTTATTTGAGCACAAAGCTTGAGGGTAACCACTCAGGAAATACAGACACCTAATGACTGGAGTCAGCATTCCAAAATGGGGAAGTTAAGATTTCACTTACATAGGCAGTAAACAGGGTTGCAGCATTTTCCACATAAGGTCAGTACACACGTTATAGCAATTTGATCGGTTACTACTTGCTATGTTCCAAGAAAGATTGCTTTACCATTCCATCAGGAGGGATGATACTTTCAGGGGGTCTTATGTCTGGTGCCACAAGGCCTTTCCTGATCATTTACAGGAAAAAGCAGAAGTTGCAGTTGCATGCTACATAACTCAGGCCACACAGCCACATTCCTCTCAAGGCTCAAAATAAGGTAAATTTCCAACAGCTTTAAGTTTGCATTATTTAATTTCATAGTCATTCTATTTAGTTATAAGACCATTAAATGGATAATGGTGACCTCTATGTTAAAATATAGGGTTCAGGTCAGCAGCCAGCCTCAGAGCCCTCTCATAGCACAGCAAAGCATCACTTACTTCTCCTTTCAATTTGTGGATAAGCCCAAGGAGGCTGACACTTTCCACAACCCGTACATTCTGGTGAATACATCTTTTAGCCAATTTCTCTAAAGCATTGAGAAGTTTTTCCCTGGAATGGGACATTTTTTCTATTTTCAAACCTTTTAAATAATGGGTAATTGCTTTATCTTGAGATTTCCCATGATGTTCTTGGAAACGGCCGTAGTGGTAATGAATCTCTTGCTTTAGCTGATCTTCAAAGATCTTCATGCGTAACCCTTTCTGAAAATGTTCCTCAGCCTTTCTGTGGTGGCCTATTTCTGCATACGTTTCAGCCAGGTCAACATAGGCCATCTCAAATGTTCGCTTTAACATTATAGTCTTTTCAAATTTGCATATAGCCAATTGAACCAATCTGTCCACAGTTTCCCTATCTTGCCCTCTAGGCTGCCAGTTTGTAGCTTCCTTGATTTGGATCATTTGTGCCCTGTAGCAAAGCCCCATTTGGTGATGCAGGAAGGCAGAAGTGGGTGTTGTCTCCAAGGCCATTTTTAAGAGCTCAAGAGCTTTATCCACAGACCCTTTTCTTCGATAAAACTTGGCTGCATATTGAAAGACATAGGCCTGTGAAGATATACTGGTCAGAGCTTCTTCAATGTACTTTTCTCCTTCAGCTTCCTGTCCTTCATCCTGAAGCTTCAGGGCAAGGAGAACCCTAATATATACATCATCTGGATTTAGCCTGACAGCTCGTTTTAGGACGTGCAGAGAAAATGCCTTATTCCTCCCTGATGCTGTGTTAAATTTATCCAGGCGATAGACGGTGATTGCGTACCCAGTATTGAATTCAGGGTTTTCAGGGTTCCCTTCCAGAGCCTTTTCAAAGCAGGTCTTGGCCCGTTCATAATTCTTTCCACCACACTTCGCCAAGGCCCATCCTTCCTCACAGTCCACCTCTGGACACTCCATTCTATAGCGGGAAGGATTTGCAAACTTCTTGCAAGTGTTCTCCACCTTGTCCAGGTAAGTCTGGGCTTCTGCCAATCTGCCCATGTGGTAATACACCCAGGCAAAGTTGCCCCAGGTCACCAGACTTCTAATATCTGCTTGGTTGGCATGTTCTTTCTGAATTAAGTCTTCAGCCTTTTTCAAGCTGACCAGGGCTTCCTCATTCTGGCCTTTCAGGTGTTTCACATAGGCTAGTAGGTTGTGTATTCCCACATTGTATTTGGTGTCCAGGAACTGAATCTCTTCCCAGATCCTGTTTTCTAAATCAGGAATTTCAGGGGCTTCAATTAACAACTTCCATGTAAAGTGACATCTCAGCTGAATCAGGCTGTCTTCAATAAGCTTTCCATCAGATTCTTCACTGTAAAAATAGGCAGCAATTAATTACATTTTGAGAAAGTATTCAGTCCACTGAAAATGAAGCCAGCACTTCAAATAGTCAAATATGCTCTATCCTAATTTCCCTGCCTCCATTATCTGGTGCCCCTCTGGGTTCTACAGTCATGTCATTAGGAAAGAGAACAGGTTGACATAA
Source organism: Homo sapiens (assembly GCF_000001405.40). NCBI lineage: Eukaryota > Metazoa > Chordata > Mammalia > Primates > Hominidae > Homo > Homo sapiens. The sequence goes on along the minus strand of NC_000010.11, from coordinate 89,383,144 downwards.
AAACCAAGGGGAAATGCTAATCATCTTGTAGTGCCAACAGATAGGTTACATGAAGTCTAAAAGTCAATTCAAAAGAGGTTAATTCTGCTAACATCAAAATAATCTCAGCACCACCCTCAACACTGCAAAACCTGTCTTCTTTCTGCTTCCTCCTGACTTTGCAGTCCATGACTAATGCAGTCAGAAGAAATGTGGAGAGAGGGTTCACAGAAAGGTGGGTTCCTTACTCATCTTTTTCATGTTCTCAACACGTAAACACATTTTGGTTTTCTCTCCTCCCATGAAGGGTTCTGAGTAAAATATGAGAGCCAAATATGGTTTCAAATGCAGGACTTCATGAATGCTCAAGCCAGGTTGGAGAATGTGGTAGGGTTTCTAACTCCTTTGCCTGTGTGCACTTACTCAACCAATCCTAAATGGAGGGGTTCCAAGTGGGTGGAACCACCTCACAAGGGCAGCCTTACTGATGGGGACAGAAGAAGAGGCATGAATGAACATTACATAGGTAAGATGTGTCTCTTTGAAGAAGTGGCAAGTCCCACTTTTGTAAGTCAGTGCTCCTGACATCAAGTAACCCTGAAGCCTAGTGGAGGACAGGCTATAAAATCTCAACAATTGTAGTAATCTCTCAGCCACTCATGAGGAAGAGAGAATAATATGAAGTCAGTGGGACCAGAAGGGTTTTTTTCCCCAATAGTTCACGCTCCTCTGAAGTGGAACTGAAGTCCTAGTCTCCCTATAAGAACATGAAGGAAGAAAAAGAAATTTGTCCTTAATAGTTGAAAAAGTGGTCCTCACATCCTATGTAAGTATATTTACCTCTGTGTTCTAAACTAATTACTTTACAGTCTATACTTGACATGTTTTCTATCCGTTAGGCCCAAGGAATGATTTCAGAGAGGACCATTATGAAATTTTCTCTTACTCTCTATATGGCAATGTATAGCAAAAACAATTTTTATATAAATCCTGACTCAATATAACCATAATATAATATAATATAACCATAATCTAATCACAAAAAATGGATGATGAAACATTCTTTTTTGAAAATAAAGGGAAAGAAAAAGTTCACGGCCAGGTGTGGTGGCTCACACCTGTAATCCTAGCATTTTGGGAGGCCGAGGTAGGCAGATTGCCTGAGCTCAGGAGTTCAAAACTAGCCTGGGCAACATGGTGAAACCCCATCTCTACTAAAAATACAAAAAATTAGCCAGCGTTGTCCCAGCTACTCTGGAGGCTGAGGCACAAGAATCACTTGAGTCTGGAAAGTGGAGGTTGCCATGAACCGAGATCATGCCACTGCACTCCAGGCTGGGCAACAGAGCCAGACTCTGTCTCAAAAAAATTAATAATAAAGAAAATAAAGGAAAGGAAAGAAAGGAAGAAAGGAAAGGATTCACAAGATAATGAATAGCACCACAAAGTTGGGCAGAGGATACTCAGGCTTATGACTGCTGCTTTGAGCACAGCTGGCAGCTCAACACAGCCCTCACTTTTCCCTCAGAGTCTCCATCTAAAAAACTCCCTACTATGCTTAGACCCTCCTTGAGTGCATTCCTGCCCACAATCCCAAGCCATCTTCTCCATCCTTGAGTCTGTGGAATATGAGAGTCCTGGCATATTGCTTTAGGATAGGACTGTATAGTTGACTGCTGAGATGAGGAGTCCCAGAAATCTTCCTTCCAGCTGTGGCCCAGGAAGATTACCCAATGAAACCTGTGTGTGGGGGTGTGTGTGGGACATATGCTGGGTGAGGTGGGGTCAGGAGTAAGTAAAATTAATATTGTGCTGAAGAATGCTCACTGAAAATAGTCACCACCCCTACAGAAGATGGAATCGGGAAGAGTTTTTGACCCAAATCGTCCACTCATGCCCCGTGGAGCTTGTGCTATGATGAGAACAGACACTACCCAGGGAAAATAATCCACACAGACTTCCATTACTCTAGAGCTGCTGGAATATTTGAAGATAAGCCATTCCAAGCTTTCTAAATATGTACCCAATCTCAGCATCTCAGCTGCTAGCCCACCCAGCACATTTGTGAGCAGTAGAAAGAGATCAGTCTTCCTCTGAGTGATCTAATCATGGCCATGCATTGATAGGTGGAAAAAAGTATACTAGATTTTGGCTTTCACTGAGATTGTAGAATTTCAAGTGCACAATTTACACAATCTTACAAGGCTGCCCTGCCAAGTTCCAGAAGAGAATTATTGCTCTTTCTTATAGGTGGTTGTTCATCAACATGTATCTTCTTGACTTGGGCCCTGGGAAGACTAAGGAGTAGAATATCACCCTAGAGGTGTCCTCACTCTCTAAAATGGAAATGCTGAGAGCCTAAAGTCCTCCTTTTATCTGGTGAGCATACAGAAAGTGCTGTTATTAGTAGTATACATATTATCATCAAATTAGGCCCCAGCGTGGTGGCTAATGCCTGTAATCCCAACACTTTGAGAGTCCAAGGCAGGTGAATTGCTTGAGCCCAGGAGTTCACGACCAGCATGGGCAACATAGCGAAACCATGTCTCTCAAAAAATACAAAAATTAGCCGGGCCTGGCGATGCACACCAGTAGTCCCAGCGACTTGGGCTGACGTGGGAGGATCACCTGAGCCCGGGCAGGTGGAGGCTGCAGTGAGCTGTGATCATGCCACTGCACTCCAGACTGGGTGACAGAGGGAGGCCCTGTCTGGAAAAAAAAAAAAAAAAAGATGAGTTTGTGCATGTATGTAGTGACCTAATCCCTGTATGCCTGTGGCAGACAGGGACTCGTCACCATGTTTTGTGAGGCATTTCCCTGGATCTTGTCCACTTAAGCTCCACTTAAGCTGTCTTGATCAATAAGCATGAATGGAAGGAGGAGCTCAATCTGCTCCTCTGTCCCTGAACCAGTGGGATCAGGAGGATTTTGATGTGGGCATTATTCAGTCTGGGATAGTCCAGATTCCCCTTAGGCCACCTCAGGTCAGTGGCTTCTAGAAACATACGCCCAGGCCATTGCAAAACCTCTCACATAGACTAGCTACCAAGGCAGCAGGGAATGAAAGGCTTGCTTTCTGTCAACTCCACAGATGCAGACACAACTAATACCTTTTGTTTTTTTTTTTTTTTGAGACGGAGTCTCACTCTGTTGCCCAGGCTGGAGTGCAGTGGTGCAATCTCGGCTCACTTCAAGCTCCGCCTCCCAGGTTCACGCCATTCTCCTGCCTCAGCCTCCTGAGTAGCTGGGACTACAGGCGCCCGCCACCACTCCCGGCTAATTTTTTGTATTTTTTAGAAGAGGCGGGGTTTCACCTTGTTAGTCAGGATGGTCTTGATCTCCTGACCTCGTGATCTGCCCATCTCGGCCTCCCAAAGTGCTGGGATTACAGGTGTGAGCCACCATGCCCAGCCACAACTAACATCTTATGACCAGGAGCCCGTTATATTAAAAAGAGAGACTTGGGTACTCTTGTGGTGAATTTTTTTGCAATCCTTCATTTATAATTTCTTCTCAAGACAGGTCTACATGTTTGCTAGAAAGGGATCTCAAAAGAGCAGCCCCTTTTTCTGTAAAGTTCTTCCTCTCCCACTGACTGCAACATCAGATGGGAGAACTCTAGCAGGTCAGAATACTTTTGAGTGAAAGCATTTTCTGCAGGTCACCAGTTCTAACTACACCAGGAAAAAAAGAAATATATATTTTGTGGAACAAACATATCACAATGCCTACAAAATTTCTTATTTTCTAACATCTAGTATAATGGTTTTTCAAATTTTAGCAGGCAACATGATCACCTGGAAAACTTATAACACACAGATTGATGGGCCCCACCCTAGAGTTTCTGAGTCAGCAGGTTTAGGGTAGGGCCTGAGAATTTGCATTTCTGCTACCTTCCCAAGTGATGCTGATGTTGCTAGTCAGGGGACCACACTTTGAGAACAGTTAATTCAGTGAAAAGCAAATTTCATAGTAATCACAATTTCATAGTTTCACAGTAATCACAAAATTTGACTTGGTATCAAAAACAAACAAACAACAGAAAAACAGCCATCTCTGAAAGTAGCTTCTTTTTCCCACGTGAATTTAACCAATTTATCAAATAAAAATAGCTGCTTCTTCTCACCTGGATGCCTAAAAGAGTATTTTGTATATTAAAAGGATCTCAATGCTCTTGCCCTGACTGGTCCCCGGGCCAGTCTCCTCTCTAGGCTCAGGCCTCTGTTCCCTGGTGAACAGTCTTTAAGTGTTGCCTGGGTAATTGTCCCTCTATTAGAAAGTGCTACAGAAATGACATCTTTGGAAATAAGATTGCTTTCTCGTTTATTTCCTTAAGAGCATTGCTGCTTTTATTAAGCCAGCTACCCTTACTAAGCGAGCTCTGTAACAGGAGTTAGGAAACTTGCCTCTACATATATTCTCATCTTGCCCCTCTGAATCTACTTTCCTACATTCTTCACCATGCTCTGTGCTTGGAAGCTGACTCTATGGACTTTATTAACTCCAAAACTCTTTTATTTTTTACTTTCTACTGGGGTTGGCCCACTGGGGAGCACCAGCCAGATATTAAATTGCAGGAGGAGGTGAAGGTCATGGAATTAATTCCTAAGCTCCCACTGTGCTCTGCTTGAGGTTGTCAGTGATTTTTTCACCAAAGGCCTCTTGAGAAGCCCCTCCCCTACAGCTATAGCTTAGAGTCTCCTTGGGTCTGGTTCTCTCCTCTTGCTCCTGTAGGCCCAGGGTTATCATGTTACCACTGTTGTAAACCAACACGCCTCTTCCCGCTGCCCTGCAACCAACAAGCACCATTTCCTGTTGATTTCCCTAAACTTTGCCCATATCGTCTTAAATAGCCCCCTTATTAAACTCTTCTTGGTTATCATGTTGAGGGTGCCTATCAGGGTCAGAACCACCAGTGGGACAGCTCCCTTAGGAGAAGGCCTGTCAAAAAATTGGCCCTTAAGGAAAGTTTTAGAATTTCAAAGTGTGCAGAAATAAGGTCAGTGAAGCAGAGAAAGACTTTACCTCATGGTGCTATGAAGATAGCAGGTGATCTGTAGTGCTTTGGTTCAGGCTTGGAGGCTCCTTCAAGGTTCATCCACAGAGTTCTAGGGCTTCTCAGATAAGCATGGTGCTTATATATGGGAGGTATATCCAGGCAGTTTTTTACACCCTTGATGCCTAGTGAATTGGCAGGGTGAAAATGATACAGAGGAATAGGGCTGTCTCTGCTTTGATTACAAATACATGCTGAGTTTTGGCAGCTAAGAGGATGGGTGTGTGAGAAGCAGTTTTGATACGCAAATTCCCTTGCTGGAGTCAATGTGGTGTAGGAGATAGAGGGTAACTGGACTTTATGATGACATTCAGTGTTGTGGAAAAACCAGTGGCAGACAGGAACGTATATTTTTGTGAATCATGTCAGACTCTGTTGTCAAACTTGTTACTATCACATGTATCCCGCCAGGTGGTTCCAGGGACGTCTACAATGGAAGCTCCTTAGACCAGGGTCAGTGGTTTGTGCCTAAAAGAATACTGTAGAAAGTCATTGTCAATTTGTGGAAGAATGAGGTTGCAGATGGTTAGGTCTTCTTCTGTGGGGCTGTGTTAGGCAAAACAACTCCTCAATTTTGAGATATTGGTCTATAAGAAGGGTCCCATACTGGTTACATCCTCCAGCAGCATTTGCATTACTGCCAACCCTGGCTATAGTGGAGCCTATTCAAGCATATTGACTGTTTTGATGATCTTTACTGTTCACCATTAGTGGTTCAAACAACAATGTTTGAGCTGGTCAGTAGAGAAACATATGCAATGTAGTCAGAGAATGTGATGGGGTCATGGGGGTTAAAAATCTAAATCCAAATTCACATAGTTCTTCTGAGTTGTCCTTATGTTTCTTCTGTTTCTACTATTTTGAAGATTATCTGTTACAAAGCAACAACCATCAGAGAGTCAATCAAACAATGTTCACATGTTTAATGAAAAATTTATATGATCCCAAGGCTGATGTAATTGCCCACACAATTAGCAGAGAAAAAGGAAAATTTGGAAAGCTGCTATTCTGAATTCCTCTTGTGAATTGTTACAATGTCATCCTGTACGTTTCTGGATCTTGGTTTTGTAGGGGTAGTGCACCAAGATAAGCAAAAGGGCAAAGACTGAGAGCGATTTCCCTCTGAGTGAGCATTTCAAGGTAGGGTTATTAACTTCATTACAGTCTTCTCATAATTACCAAATGAAACTGTAGCCTCGCTGTGCTATTTCTTCTTTGTCCTGGGCCTGTAACTAGACTATATTTCCCAGGCTCCCATGTGGTAAGGTGTGGTCATGGGCATGGGATGGGAGGCTGTCAGGAAGCAGAAATGATTCTATAATTGGGTATCTTAAATTGTGTCTGGAAAAAGAGAAGACTAGACCAAGGTGACAGGTGTAATTTGAAAGGAAGCAGCAGTCATTCATATTGGCCAGTTTAAGGGGCTGCTTGATTATTTTCGAATCCAGTTGGAAAATATTCGTATTTTTGTCTGCACTCAGACCTGATTACAGAGTGGCCTTGTATTTTGTCTTGACCCATCATGGTCACAGGTGTTAATGATGCTCTCAGATGTCTGGGGCAGCTCTTCTCTTTCTTTTCAGGGAACTTCTGAGTTACTGCTCCAGTTACTGCTCCTGACCTTTCTAAAGCCAAAAATTATATAGACAAGAAGGACTACCCAGAAAAGGAACGTCACATAAGATCTTATGCATTCACAGTTGAAATGAGAGCAGACATCTTAGGAAAAGAATATGCTTAAGAAAGAGTATAGTATATAATCTCTCTCTCTATGTGAATTAAAAACCCATCTCCACGTCTATTCAAGGAAGGATTTAGGCAACTTGAGATAGACCACATCTCCCCATTCGCATGAGACAAGTTCCTAGAAGAATGTGCTGGACCTCTTGACTTCTTCTTCTTTTTTTTTTTTTTTTTTTTTTAAGATAGAGTCTCGCTGTATCACCTAGGCTGGAGTACAGTGGCACTATCTCTGCTCACTGCAACCTCTGCCTCCCAGGTTCAAGTGATTCTCATGCCTCAGCCTCCAGAGTAGCTGGCACTACAGGTGTGCACCACCATACCCAGCTATTTTTTTGTATTTTTAGTAGAGATGGGGTTTCACCATGTTGGCCATCCTGGTTTCGAACTCCTGACCTCAGGTGATGCACCTGTGTTGGCCTCCTAAAGTGTGGGATTACAGGTGTGAGCCACTGCACCTGGCCCGTCTTGACATCTTACAAGCACAGGATATCATTTAGATCCATGTATTCTTCCATAAACCCACCAAATCTCAACATTACTTAAGTAATGAGAATCCCCATTTTATTCCTTGAGTATACTCTAATAATAAAAGTAGGCAGAAAAATTCTCTAAGCATAATGACAGCACAGAAATGGAGGTTAGAACCATTCAGGGGAATGAGGGAAAGGAAACTAGGCCCACGTAGCCCTGCTGTGGAAGACCAAGTTTGCTGAAAGGGAAGAATGATTGTTAGTCAAACATTGTTCCATCTGGGGTTGAGCAAACCAAGGCCATTAGAAAAAACCTTCTACACCTGTCAGGTGACAGAATCACCTGATGGAGGGGGTTCTGCACAGATATTTGCCATCTTGTTTATTTTGGGGTTGTGTACTCTGAGTATAAGACAATAGCACCCCATCATAGAACAACCATTATTCTATATTTGGGGCCAATGGGATGTTTTCTTCTGAGGTTTCCTTTCTTGCTCTGCAGCTTGGGCATAATGAGAACTATTAAAACCCTTTACCTTTACTTGTCTTTGTGCGCACAAGATGATGTTGCTCAGTAGTGAAGGCCACCTGGAATCAGACTACCTGGGGTCATTAATGGACTTTGCTGCTTACTGGACATGTGATCTTGGGATAGTTGGTTCACATTTCTAAGCCACATTTACTTACCCATGGAATCGGAATAGCACTAGGACTTTCGTCATGGGGTTATGTTGAGATGAAGTGGGATATTGCATGGAAAGCATGTCTCATTTAACAGCATTCAGTAATTGTGAGTGTTGCTTTCACAGTGTGGGACAAGTCCCCTTATCTGTGCAGTCTGTGCTGACCATTAGCTGGAGCCCTTCCAGACTACAATTTTTCCCAGTGGGCACTGAGAGAGAGGTGTTTCATGTCATATCTGACTGTGCAGCTGCTGAGATAGGGGTGTCCTGTTCTGAGCTTCAGGCCAGGGCAATCTACATATTCCCATCTCAGGCTCAGGTCAGGGAGCCCTGGCCATATCTACACATAGAGCCCAGCAGTACCTCTTGGGCAGCAGGCATTCAACCTCTCCCTAGTGAGGATGGACCTGTGTAGGGGGAGAAGAGATTTTGGAATGGGACTCATTTCCTCTCAGCTCTCTCTCTCCAGTTCTGTATCAGATGGGAAGCTTCTAGGAGGCCAATTGTGTTTTCAGATACAAATATCTTCTGTAAGGCACTAGCCCTGAATCAACTCTAAAAGGGATAGAAACATAAGCAAATACTGAAATGAACATTAGGAGAGCTGCTTACACTGAGAGTAGTATGACTTTGGAATTTTCATGCATAAAATTATTGCTAGTAACAGCGTGTCAGAGAAACAGAGTGAGTGTTTGTCATGTGGTCACTGAATTTGGCAGCAGTCCTGGTTCTGTGAGGCTCTGGCTCAACTGATTAGGTATTCAGGATCTGGCCCAGTGTGTCCTTGGATAAATACAGCCATGAACCACACAGGACAGAGCAACAATAAGGAAACAGCCAACACATTGTGTAAGAGAGAGAGAGAGAGAGTGTGTGTGTGTCTGTGTCTACAAATAGGAAAAAAACAATGGAAACTAGAGAGGGAAACTCATTTCTAATGGGCAGGATGCCTACTTGTAGAAATGAAACTTAAGCATTGGAGAAATAAAACTTAACCACTATCAACATTCCAGAACCAGCTCTGTGTTCGACGAACTAGCAGAGTGAACTTGATTTCACTTAAACACTGAGTTTCCTCATCAGGTATAGAAAAAGGTTGGCCTTGAACAGTGGTTTACAACCTTGGGCTGCAAGGTTGTAAAATTCCTTGGAAGTCTTTTAAAAATGCAGATGCCTGAGCCAATCTCCAGCCCAATCAATCAGAATCTCTGGAAGTGAAGCCCAGGCATGAGTATTATCAGTAAGTTTTCTGAAAAAAGTAATCCCAAAGTGATTTTTTTGTGCATGGTTTAAAACCACTAGACTAGATTTTTGCTACTCAGGATATGGTCTGTTACAGTGGCATCCTCAACTACTAAAAGCCCAGAAATGCAGAATATCAGGCCCCTCTACAGATCTCCTGAATGAGAACTTGCCTTTTAACATGTCCAGATGATTTGTTGGTACATTAAAGTTTCACAGATACTTTTCCAAATGATCCCTGGATCCCTTTCAGGTCCAAATGCTTTGGATCAGAGACTAATTCCTAATAAATACCTATTTTCTATGAGGCTCTGAGTCTAGAACTTTATTTTTCTATGCTTTGGTTTCCCCTTGTGCACCTTAATAATCCATGCAATACCAGAAAGGATGTAGGTCAAAGTGCACTGACCTCTACAGAGAGTGTCTGATGTTTGCTTTTGAGACTACTCATGTTTGCAAACTTGCACCAATCATGTCCACAGAGAAAATACTCAGCTACTAGGAACTTCTCTGCTCTGAAAGTCCTGGTAATCTTCATACCACCTCAGGGGTCTTGATGGCTATCTTTGGGCTACTCTGATTTACTTTTCTGGCTGACTCCCACGTGTTCCAGTTTTTTTTTTTTTTTTTTTTTTTTGAGAGGGAGTCTCGCTCTGTCGCCCAGGCTGGAGTGCAGTGGTGCAATCTTGGCTCACTGTAAGCTCTGCCTCCCGGGTTCACGCCATTCTCCTGCCTCAGCCTCCCGAGTAGCTGGGATTACAGGCACCCACCACCACGCCCGGCAAATGTTTTTTGTATTTTTAGTAGAGACGGGGTTTCACTGTGTTAGCCAGGATGGTCTCGATCTCCTGACCTCATGATCCGCCCGCCTCTGCCTCCCAAAGTGCTGGGATTACAGGCGTGAGCCACCGCGTCCGGCCCCACGTGTTCCAATTCTAACTGAATTTCTGTGCTTTCATTGTTTTACATGTCAAATATTCATTCACCTGGAATTGTCTATATAAATTGTAGGAAGCATTTACATCACTGAACTAGACTCAAGATATTTCATAGATCCTATAATGTCTATTGGAAAAGTCCTCAGGTTCCCGGAAAGCAAGTTGTTTTTAGACTGTCTGAAGTATCTTGGGACTTGAAAAGTCCATGTCTATAAAGGAAATGAGAAGAGGTGAAGATGTTTTCTAGATGCAATTGAAATTTAGGATTATACATTGAGCTGAAAAAAGAAGTTCAATGCCATTCCCATGGTTCTGGGAAACCCACAGAGGTTTAAGGAACCTGCGATCCAAACATATTGTTAGCATGGCCAAGGCAGACTTCATTGCTCTAAGCTCCTTGTCCATTTCTATAATCAGCAAGCTATGAATTATCATTAGGTACAGGCCAGGTACTCTGTTGGGACACATAGGGCATGTTTCCTCTTCTCAAGTGACCTGTCATGTAGCAGGAGACAGATTGATAAGCGCTTAATTTGCTTTTAATAAAAACAGTACACATTGGTTGCTTTGAAATAACAGAGAATTGGATGTTTATCTCTTCCTGAGGTTCATGAAAAACTTCCTCAGTTAACTTTTGGTCTTTAACCTGAAGTGTTTGGCAAAATCATAATCCTGTTGTCTCCCCCACTGGAAGAATACTTCCAAGACTGTCTAGTCTGTGAGCAGGTCTGACCCCAAAGGGTCCCTGTGGCTACTCTTGCAGTGTGCAATGATGCTGGCTGCACACACTAGGGGAAAGGCTTTGGTCTAGGACCATAAACCTGTTCTTGTATCTCAAGTCATGGTAATCCTGCAAAAGCAGATAAGACAGAATGTGCAACGGTGAAACTGCCAGCTGACTACCAAATTAGTACACCGGAGACGGGAAGTTTTCTGTGATAGGGGCCTCTATGAGGGGCTTCCTCCTACTCTCTACCCTCAAGTAGGTCCCATATTTGTGTTGTTCCCTTCTTTGTGTCCACATGTACTCAGTGTTTAGCTCCCACTGGTGAGTGAGAACATGCAGTATCTTGTTTTCTGTTTCCATGTTAGTTGACTTAGGATAATGGCCTCCAGCTCCATCCATGTTGCTGCAAAGGACACGATCTTGTCCTTTGGCTGCATAGTATTCATGCAACCAAAATTTAGAATCTTAAATTAGATGGGCTAAAAAGAACATAGATCAACACCCATGTTATTCCTATAGCTCTGAGAATTCCAAGGATGTTTAAGGTTCCAATGGTAAAAATAACTGGTCAGATGGTAGGCGATCTTTACAAGTAGTACTCACAAGCCTCCAAAGCAGCATTCATTGTCAGGGGCTTCTCATCAGTTCAAACGTTCAGCAAACCAGTAATGCTTACCTGTGTTATGCCTGGCATTCTGAGAACACCAGTTGGTAAAACGATGGAGATGCCTCTTCTTCCCCTCCATCACTAGTGGTTTGCTGTCTCGTGGGAGACAGAGACAGATTAGAACATATTTGATTTTATTGTACTAAAACATGTACAGTTTAGATGCTGTGTAAGCACAGAGAAAAGAAATACTACTTTGTGAGGCTCATAGAAGACATTTTGGATCATGTTATTGATCTCCAGCCCTAAGGCAAATAAAGAGTTATAGTTCTGATGTGAACTAAAATGGAGAGTCATGGAATTATCAAGATTCTCCATCTGTAAGCAGGCCACAAGCTTAGCCTTGTTAACCCATATGTCTTAAGCCATATGCATTAAGATCATGAAGTGGCAGTGGCACATGATGTAGGAGTGGCTGGTCTTTCATTAGATACTCTTACCCACCAACTTATCCAGGCTGTCTGTATGAGTTCTGTGATATCTCCTTTTGGTGGGATCTGGCCAGTGCCTACTTGGGCTGATTACTGCTTTAAATGAACAGTTCTCAAATGGGGGCAATTTTGCCCCTGGGGGCATCTGGCAATACTTGGAGAAAATTTTTTGTTTGTTTGTTTGTTTTTTTGAGACAGAGTCTCACTCTGTCACCCAGGCTGGAGTGCAGTGGTGCGATCTCGGCTCCCTGCAGTCTCTGCCTCCTGGGTTCAAGCAATTCTTCTGTCTCAGCCTCCCGAGTAGCTGGGAGTACAGGTGCCCACCAGCATGCCCAGCTAATTTTTGTACTTTTTCAGTAGAGATAGGGTTTTCCATGTTGGCCAGGCTAGTCTTGAACTCCTGACCTCAGGTGACCTGCCTGCCTCAGCCTCCCAAAGTGCTGGATTACAGGCATGAGCCACCACACTTGGCCCCTGGAGACACTTTGGATGATCACATCTGGAGATGTGGGTGCTACTGACATCCAGAGGTCATTGCTGATGCTAAACATCCTATAATGTACAGAACAACCCCTCACAGCAAAGAGTTATCTGGCCCCAAATGGCAATAGTGCTTAGACTGAAAAACCCTACATTAGTTCCAAAAGGACTTTCTGCAATGTTAAAAATGTTCTAGGGTGGGTTGGGTGGCTCACACCTGTAATCCCAGCACTTTCCAAGGCCAATTGGGAAGATCACTTGAGTCTGGGAGTTTGAGACCAGCCTGGGCAACATGGAGAGACCCTGTCTCTACAAAAAATAAAATTAAAAAAAAAACTTAGCCCGATGTGGTGGTGTGAGCCTGTAGTCCTAGTTAGTTGGAAGGCTGAGGCGGCAGGATTGCTTGAGCCCAGGTGTTTGAGGCTGCAGTAAGCCATGACTGTGTTGCAGCACTCCAGCCTGGGCAACAGAGACAGATCCTGTCTCAGAAAAAAAAAAACAAAACAAACAAAAAAAGAAAACATTCTAAATCTGTGCCACCGCTAGCTATATATTACTATTGAGCACTGCAAGTGTAACTAGTGCATCTGAAGAACTGAGTTTTAGATTTTATTTTAATTAATTTAAATATAAATTGAAATAGCTGCATAGTGGCTTCATATCAGACCACCCAGCTCTACATAAAAGCCTGCAGTGTCAGATGCTGGGGGTTCCCCCACACACCTGATGGAAGCAGCACTTGCCTTCGGTAGCACATAGCAGTTTCTTGAGCTGCAGCTTTTATAGCTTTAATATAGTTCATTAAGAAACTTCCTACATTTTCTGGGCACAGTGACCTTTGGCTGTATGTGGGGAATATAGTATGCATTCCTGCTCCAGAGGAGACTAGGAATGCCATTCTCTCTGCCTTTCCTTCCATCCATATATACTGATGAATCTCCTTTTTAAAAAACTCAAAAGATCTGTGTGCTAGTATCTAAGACTTTATATTCAGGGGATAATTTGCTGAGAAGTAGCAGCTGAAGGCAGTAGAGGGCGCAAATACCTCTATATAGGAAACACTTCTATTTAGGAAAAACTCATTAAAAAGCATTATCTGTTGTCCATAGAATATTCTTTTATGACTCTCTTCATTAATCTTCCTCCTTCAGCTATTTCATGAACTTTTTGAAGTTTCTTGATAAAGATAACTCCAACATACCGGTTTTCAGAACTTAGCTCAATGGCTTGGTTCCCAGGGTGGAGAGAGACCGCTTCTTGGCTGCTCACTGCCATCCCCTCCCCAGCTGCCTGAAATGAAAGGGCACAGAGATGACTTTTAATCAGTGTCCAGTAGAATAGGCACAGTCCAGGAGCCCATCCTGGCAACTGAATCTAGAAGCTTGCAGAGGGAAGACGTGGCCTGTGGTCAGTGGTTTCCTCAGCCCAGTGTCTCATTTACCAAGCACTAGTTGGAAGGGCACTTAAGAGACATTCTGGGGCCCCAGAAAGGCAGGAGACTGAGTTTCTCTTCCCTGAGCTTGGAGTGAATGCTTCTTTTGTATGTACAAGAAGAATGTACAAGTAGAATGCTTCTGTTGTGTGTACAAGTTATTCTAAGGAGTTTTTCCTTTGCCGTAGACTGTGGAGAAGGCCATGGAATCAGCACTGCCCATGGAAAAAGATTGACATTGAGCTTAATGAATATAAATAATCCAATCCCTGTGGTAGACACCTGGCAGCTCCAAAGAGTTCCAGAGCCAGGGAGAGCAGATTCGGATGCCTTCTAACCATTTGTGTGTGTGTGTGTGTGTGTGTGTGTGAGTTTTGTGTTTGTGTTTGTGAGTGTGTGAGTTTGTGTGTGTAAGTTTATATGTTTGTGTGTAGTTAAAGTGATGGTCTGGGGGTATGTCTTTCTCTGTCTACTTTGGACTCCTCCAGATTTTTTTCTCCATCCTTAGTAACTTGAACCTGAGTTATAACTAGCACCAAGCCAGGGCCAGAGCAGGAAAAGTGGACAACTTACCTGATGTGTTAGACCTGGCTATTCCTTTTTTCTCTCACCATCTTAATTTTAATTTGCTTTTTGTCACCATGTTTATATCTTACATACATTGAGAGCTCAATAAGTATATTTTAAAGCAAATATTAAATATGTATATATTTTCTATAACCCACTTAAGACAATGGTCCCAAGAGAGCAGTAAGCCCATGAAATCCATCAGCAGAAGAGAGAGCAGAGTTGGTGGGTGGAGAGGCTGGAGAGGAAGAAGGTGATGAATATCTGCTGAGCATGTTTGTGGAAGTCCTCTTTGGAATGCTTGAGACAGCTGGGGACCCTTTCTGGTATTCTGATCTGTTTGGGCTAAAGCTATCATAATTTAGGCCTAACACACAAATGTGATGTAGCCAAAGGCTTGTGAGGTGTGGTGCATATGGATTATACATAGAAGTGTAGCCAGAGTTTACAATAGGATCACTGGGGAAGATTTCTTAATAGCTCTGTGCTAGTGGAATATGAATTCACAAGTTCACCACACTATTTTCATTCTTCCCTCCTTTCCTCCAGGTCGTGTGCCCCATAGAAAGCACTCATATGCAGCCCAATGTCAAGAGAGTCAATCAATGACATTTCAAAATGAACTTTAATAGTTTCTTCCCAGAGCTTTGACAGGCCAAGGCAGGAGGACTTCTTGAGGCCAGGAGTTTGAGACTAGCCTGGGCATAGTGAGACCTAACTCTACAAAAAATTAAAAAAAGAAAATCAGCCAGGCATAGTGGTGCACACCTGTAGTTCTAGCTAATTGGAAGGCTGGGGTGGAACGATTGCTTGAACCCAAGAGTTCGAGGCTGCATCGAGCTATGATCATGCTACTGCAGTCCAGCTTTGGTGACAGAGTGAGGCCCTGTCTCTGGAAAAAAAAAATAGTTTCTGTTTCTGGCACAAAAGAAGTTCATGCTGTACTGAAAACCTCAGTCAGCAGTAATTACCCAAATACACACACAAACGCTCAAAACTCACAGTCACAGTTCTCTCACACATAATAGGTGCTGGTTACTAGGGAAACCAGCTTTGGTTTCCAGCACCAGGGGAAGGTGTGAAGGAGCACAAAGAGATTCAGACTCTCCTGATCAGATTTATGCAAATGAACTTGCCTGTTAGCCAACCCCTGTAAATAATGCCATCTAACTTCTAGTAAATTTTCTATGTAACTTTTAACCAAGAAGGAACAATATGTCCTTTGGTTTCTATAGGCCTAGATGAGCCAGTAATGGGAAACTATAGCCATCTTGTTTACAAGAATAAGAAGTGGTTTAGAAACAATTGCAGGACAGAGCTAGAAGCCAGAAGCTAAGAGCTGTCTGATTGGAGAAGTGTTGTCTTTACAATCTCTAATCAGCAGATCTCTGTCTTTTTTTTTAATTATTATACTTTAAGTTCTAGGGTACATGTGCACAACGTGCAGGTTTGTTACATATGTATTCATGTGCCACGTTGGTGTGCTGCACCAATTAACTTGTCATTTACATTAGGTATATCTCCTAATGCTATCCCTGCCCCTCCCCCCACCCCACGACAGGCCCCGGTGTGTGATGTTCCCTTTTCTGTGTCCAAGTGTTCTCATTGTTCAATTCCCACCTATGAGTGAGAACAGGCAGTGTTTGGTTTTTTGTCCTTGAGATAGTTTGCTGAAAATGATGGCTTCCAGCTTCATCCATGTCCCTAAGAAGGACATGAGCTCATCCTTTTTTATGGCTGCATAGTATTCCATGGTGTATATGTGCCACATTTTCTTAATCCAGTCTATCATTGATGGACATTTGGATTGGTTCCAAGTCTTTGCTATTGTGAATAGTGCTGCAATAAACATACGTGTGCATGTGTCTTTATAGCAGCATGATTTATAATCCTTTGGGTATATACCCAGTAATGGGATGGCTGGGTCAAATGGTATTTCTAGTTCTAGATCCTTGAGGAATGGCCACACTGACTTCCACAGTGGTTGAACTGGTTTACAGTCCCACCAACAGTGTAAAAGTGTTCCTATTTCTCTACATCCTCTCCAGCACCTGTTGTTTCCTGACTTTTTAATGATGGCCATTCTAACTGGTGTGAGATAGTATCTCACTGTGGTTTTGATTTGCATTTCTCTGATGGCCAGTGATGATGAGCATTTTTTCATGTGTCTGTTGGCTGCATAAATGTCTTCTTTTGAGAAGTGTCTGTTTTTTTCTTGTAAATTTGTGAAAAAATTTTTTCTTATAAATTTGTAAAAAGTTCTGGCCAGGGCAATCAGGCAGGAGAAAGAAATAAAGGATATTCAATTAGGAAAAGAGGAAGTCAAATTGTCCCTGTTTGCAGATGACATGATTGTATATTTAGAAAACCCCATGGTCTCAGCCCAAAAGCTCCTTAAGCTGATAAGCAACTTCAGCAAAGTCTCAGGATACAAAATCAATGTGCAAAAATCACAAGCATTCCTATACACCAATAACAGACAGAGAGCCAAATCATGAGTGAACTCCCATTCACAACTGCTTCAAAGAGAATAAAATACCCAGGAATCCAACTTACAAGGGATGTGAAGGACCTCTTCAAGCAGAACTACAAACCAATGCTCAACGAAATAAAAGAGGACACAAACAAATGGAAAAACATTCCATGCTCATGGGTAGGAAGAATCAATATCGTGAAAATGACCATACTGCCCAAGGTAATTTATAGATTCAATGCCATCCCCATCAAGCTACCAATGACTTTCTTCACAGAATTGGAAGAAACTACTTTAAAGTTCATATGGAACCAAAAAAGAGCCCGCATTGCCAAGACAATCCTAAGCCAAAAGAACAAAGCTGGAGGCTTCATGCTACCTGACTTCAAACTATACTACAAGGCTACAGTAACCAAAACAGCATGGTACTTTTACCAAAACAGAGATGTACACCAATGGAACAGAACAGAGCCCTCAGAAATAATACCACACATCTACAACCATCTGATCTTTGACAAACCTGACAAAAACAAGCAATGGGGAAAGGATTCCCTATTTAATAAATGGTGCTGGGAAAACTGGCTAGCCATATGTAGAAAGCTGAAACTGGATCCCTTCCTTACACCTTATACAAAAATTAATTCAAGATGGATTAAAGATTTAAATGTTAGACCTAAAACCATAAAAACCCTAGAAGAAAACCTAGGCAATACCATTCAGGACATACGCATGGGCAAGGATTTCATGTCTAAAACTCCAGAAACAATGGCAACAAAAGCCAAAATTGACAAATGGGATCTAATTAAACTAAAGAGCTTCTGCACAGCAAAAGAAACTACCATCAGAGTGAACAGGCAACCTACAGAATGGGAGAAAAGTTTTGCAAGTACTCATCTGACAAAGGGCTAATACCCAGAATCTACAAAGAACTCAAACAAATTTACAAGATCTCTGTCTTTAGATTTTATCTTTAGCTGTGTTCCAGAAGGAAAGTCAAATCTGCCCCTACACAGAGGTCTGTAGTGGTATTAGGTAAGGAATTCAAGGAGAGGCCAGGAGAGCTCCTTGGAAACCCCATGCACTGGTAATGTTCTTTTGAATAAAACTAATAAATCTCCTCACCAAAATTAGAAAGGAATTCTACACCCATGTCAGCTACATGAAGGGCTCCATATCCTTTCCCAGCCCTTAAATATCTGTGAAATTTGTCAACACTCTCCAATTCTGTGCAATTCATGGAAGGCTAAATGCTTCCTTGATGTGTGTCTTTTATTTGTAGGTAGATGTTATGGCTTCTTCTGCCTCTTATTTCTGCACAGACAGTTTTAGTTTTCTTGCTTCCCACACAGACATGTAAATTCACAGCTTCTTAGAGGTTGCAACAATTTAAAACTCTACTCACAAATTTGTTATCTTGGTTAATTTTACTATAGATTTTTGGATACAGAGAAAGAGCAAAGAGTATATTACACACTACCTAGCACTACTTGTGCATCTCAAATAGGGGGACTTTTTTCACTTTCTCTTTTTGTGATGCAACTTAACTTCCCTTAGGTCAGAATGACTAATTATATATATACTATATATATACATATATATTATATGTATACATATATATGAATACTTTAGAACTATTTCGCTTTCAAGGACTGAGAACTTTCTTAAACAAAGGATTGGATTTGTTATAAAGCTATAATAATTTATATTATAAGGTATCTCAATAGTCTGAAAGTATAGGAGAGAGATGGGCCTTAAGAAGTGAAAATGGAGCTGAGATACTGTGGTGCACACAAGAATCTTTTCTCTCTTTCTGCCCATGTGCTTTGTTTGTAGATCTTCTTGTGGGTCAACATCTTTGCCCATATGAAAAAGTTGACTTCCTGTACTCCCTGAATATAAATCTCCTTTGAACAGCTGACCTAGTAGACTGAAAATGGAAGTTGTCAATTCCAATTGCAAATTCTCAGAAGTCTGATTGGTCTGGCAGGTGCCAGGTACCTAACACAAGACATATCAAGAGTGACAAAGGGGTGCAGTGATAAAGGAGAAGTGCTGATATTGCTGCCACAACCACGTGGATAGGTGTTCATTAGCCAAAAAGTGGGAGTTGAGCTGATGATGCGATGTGTGCCACCAAACAGTTTTATGTTGCTTCCTGTCATGCCTTTTTGAAAGCAGCGATCAGGGAAGATTTATCTGATATTTAGATTTAGATATGATAACATTTAACATCTCAAAAGACAGGGTTCAGGCCAGTAGCCCGTCTCAGGCTGTCTCATAGGACAGCACAGCTTCACTTTCTTTTCCCCTTTCAATGTGTGAAGGAGCACAATGAGATTCAAACTCTCCTCATCAGATTTAAGCAAATGAACTTGCCTGTTAGCCAATTCAGTAAAGCACTAAAATTTTTTTCCTCTAGCACTTGACTGAATTTCTATATTTAGCCACACCCGCCCCCCCTCGCTTTTTTTTTTTTTTTTTTGATGGAGTCTGGCTCTGTTGCCCAGGCTGGAGTACAGTGGCATGATCTTAGCTCACTGCAAGCTCCGCCTCTCGGGTTCACGCCATTCTCCTGCCTCAGCCTCCCGAGTAGCTGGGACAACAGGTGCCTGCCACCACACCTGGCTAATTTTTTGTATTTTTAGTAGAGACAGGGTTTCACCGTGTTAGCCAGGATGATCTCCATCTCCTCACCTTGTGATCCTCCCATCTTGGCCTCCCAAAGTGCTGGGATTACAGGCGAGAGCCACCGCGCCCAGCCCAGCTCTTTTTAATATTAGTCAATTGTGTTAGCTTCAGACTTCCCATGACATTCCTGAAAGGGGCCATAACGATAATAAATCTCTTGCAACAGCTTTTATTAATATCATGCAGGCTGAGTGCTTTCTGGTAAATGTCCTCAACTTTTTGGTGTTCACCTCCCTCTGCATACCTGTTGGCTAGGTCCACATAAACCATTGCAAATGTGGGCCTTTGCTCTACAGCAAATTCAACATGAGATATAACTAATCTTATTATTTTGTCTACAGTTTCTCTATCCTGCCTTTAGCTTTTTTTGTCTGTTTCCTGCAGCAAAGCCCTATCTGGTGATGCAGGAAGGCAGAAGTGGGTGTTCCCTGCAAGGCCATTTTTAAGAGCAGAAGAGCTTTATCTATATTGCCTCTTCTTTGATAAAACTGGGCTGCATATAGAAAAACATAGGTCTGTGAAGACATACTGATTAGAGCTTTTTCAGTGTGCTTTTCTCCTTCAGCTTCCTGTCCTTCATCCTGAAGCTTCAGGGCAAGGATAACCTTAATGTGTGCATCTTTTGGATTTAGACTGACAGCCCATTTTAGGGGGTGCAGAGAAAATGTCTCATTACTGTCTGTTGTGTTAAAACCGTCCAGGCAATAGGCAGTGATGACATACCCAGTGCTGAATTCAGGATTTTCAGGGCCCACCTCTAGAGCCTTTTCAAAGCAGGCCTTGGCCTGTTCATAATTCTTTCCTCCACACTTCGCCAAGGCCCATCCTTCCTCACAGTTCATCTCAGGACACTCCATTCTATAGCGGGAAGCATTTGCAAACTTCTTGCAAATGTTCTCTACCTTATCCAGGTAAGTCTGGGCTTCTGCCAGTCTGCCTATGTGGTGATACGCCCAGGCAAATTTGCCCCAGCCCAGGCAAAGTTGCCCCAGGTCACCTGCCCATGTGATGATACTGGTCACTCATGTCTGCTTGGTTGGTGTGTTCTCATTCAACTTCTTTCTCTAGTGCTTTCTCATTCTGGCCCTTCCAGTGTTTCACATAAGCTAGTATGTTGTGCATTCCCACACTGTACTTTGTGTCCACGAACTGGATCTCTTCCAAGACCCTGTTTTCTAAATCAGAAATTTCAAGGGCTTCAATTAGCAACCCCCATGTAAAGTGACATCTCAACTGCTCAAGCCTATCTTTGACTCCATGATAATCAGCATTTTTACTGTGAAAATAAACAGGAAGTATTTGCGTGATTTTCTGATGGAAATGGAATGCTATCTAATGAAAAGATAGGTAGAAACATTGTTAAATAGTTGGGCACAGTGGCTCACACCTGCAATCCTAGTACTTTGGGAGGCCAAGGTGGGCAGATAGCTTAAGCTTAGGAGTTCAAGATCTGCCTGGGCAACATGGCAAAACTCTAGCTCTACAAAAAATGCAAAAAAAATTTATCTGGGCATGGTGGCACACACCTGTAGTCCCAGCTACTCAGGGAGGCTGAGGTAGGAGGATTGCTTGAGCCCAGGAGGTTGAGGCTGCAGTGAGCTGTGATCATACCACTGCCCTCCAGCCAGGGTGACACACACAATGAGATCCTGTCTCAAAAAAAAAAAAAAAAAAAAAAAAAAAAAAAAAAAAAGGCAGGTGGAGGGTGGGGGGTGGATTTTTTTTTCCCCATAGCTGTTTTCCAGGAGCATAAGGCTTAGGTAAAGCTTAACATTGTCAACGTCATTCCATATTGCCAAGTGTTTGGTGCTGTCCCTGCAATATCCTAAGGAGGAACCATACTAGGCTGTGAAGCCTTAGTTAAAAATTATCAACATCATGATATCAGCAAATGCATTTTGTCTGCTTGAATACTGGCTGAAAGGGATTAAATCTGCCAGTGACTTAGATTAGTTGGAAAACTAATGCAGTTAGATAGGTTTTGAACTCCTCAATGCTATATGACACTTTCGTTTCTCAGGATGCCATAGCAGATGACATGCATCAAAAAAGCAATAATGCTGTCAGGAGAAATGAACCTGGGGCAAGGAGAAGCTCTTTCTCACCTTTCTCTAGGTTTCCAACTTGGTCCATTAAGATTTGAAAACAACTGCTTCTTTCCCCAAGGCAGAAATAGTGAAATAAACATTTCTAGTTTTATTCTTCCCCCTAAAACAAGACGGTGGGCAAAGTGACTTTTCTGAATAAACTCAGTGTCAGGCATGGTCTTCTCCTTTTTCTTACAAAGAATTATTTCTTAGAGTCATCAACATGCCAAAAGAGAATTGGTTAGGAGCAGCTTTTGAGCCAACTACTCCTTTATGCCCAGTCCTATCTATGACATATTGGAGGGTTGAATTGTGTCCACCAAAAAGATGCTCTGAAGTCCTAGCTCCCAGTACCTGTAAATGTGACCTTATTTAGAAATAGGGTCTTTGCAGATATAATCAAAGATGAGCACATTGGGAGGACGCTAACCCAATGTGACTGATGTCCTCATAAGGAGAGGAAATGAGACAGAGTCAGGCACACACGGAGGGAAGATATAAAAACACAAGGAAGGATGCCATGTGAAGAGAGAGCATGGCACCTAAGAGGAGGCAAGGAAGGATGCTGCGGGGAGTTTCAAAGGGCGCATGGCTCTGCTGATACCTTGATTTTAGGCTCTTGGGCTCCAAAACTGAGAGAGAACAAATTTCTGTGGTTTTAAGCCACCCAATTTGTGGTACTATGTTATGGCAGCCCTAGGAAATTAATACACAGAGAAAACATTGAAGCAGG
Source organism: Homo sapiens (assembly GCF_000001405.40). Taxonomy (NCBI): domain Eukaryota; kingdom Metazoa; phylum Chordata; class Mammalia; order Primates; family Hominidae; genus Homo; species Homo sapiens. Next base: position 89,360,748 of record NC_000010.11, on the reverse strand, counting down.
AAAGATCATTGAGATTGACTGCTGTGATCTTAGGGAATCCCCATGTTTGATGGGGAACGAGCCAGGTGCAGTGGCTCATGCCTGGCTCATGCCTTGGGAGGCCGAGGCGGGTGGATCACCTGAGGTTGGGAGTTCGAGACCAGCCTGACCAACATGGAGAAAACCCATCTCTAGTAAAAATCCAATTCTTTTTAAACCATCACTCTTAGCCTCACATGTACCACTTCTAGTCTCTATGGTGCTTGTGTAAATTAGAAAAGAGTGCCCTTTTCTGTGAGTATATGTGTCCCTTGCCAGGACACTTATCTTGGTGAGCCAAATGTAGACTGGGTTTCATTCTCTTCCCTTACCCCTTTGGCTAATGAATAATCTGAACAATAATGCTTGGCTGCCTTGGCAACAAGCAGGAGAGGTTTTTCTTTTGTGTTGATTATGGGTGTGTCCTCCCCAACATGGGCCATCTTTTCCTCTCTAGATTGTGAGCCACAGGCACATTCTGGGGTGAAATGTTATTAAACAGTAGTTGTTACTCTCTAAATAGATGCTAGGCACTTAAAATCCTCCAGGTTCCTATTTCTTTAAAAACTGAGCAAATAAAGGGCAGTAAGATAGTTCATTCTCATATGTTTTATGATTAGGAAGCAGAGAGTCAGGGAACCTGGTTAACAACCCAATTCTGCCCCACTTAGTACATGTGTGAGTTTAAGTAATTAACTTCAATTTCCAAATTCTTCATTTGCAAAATGACCCAGTAAGAGTTATAATCATTCCTAGTTATAGAACTATAGTGAGAATGCTGAGGTAACGCAATAAGAGATCAAGGCAGAGTGAGCTAATTACCAAGCAGAACATAGAACTTAGGCATTAGCATTAGGGTTGGCATTATCATTGTGTGTGTGTGTGTTTGTGTGTGTGTGTGTGTGTGTGTGTGTGAGAGAGAGAGAGAGAGATAGATAGAGAGGGAGATCCAGGCCTTCAGTGGATGGGTGAGAGGAAGACGCCCATCAACCATTAGGTGACACGTGTTTTCCTATGTGAGCTCCCCTTTTGTCAAATTTTGGCATTTCTGGGAGGAGCACCCCACCTTGCCATGGTCTTGAGCCTCTGCGAATAGGAGCAGCTTGATGAGGGCTTCAGTCCAGCATAATCTAGAGGTTCTCCTTGAGGCCCTTCAGGTCAGAGGGCTCTGGACACACCTGAGCATTTTGCTGAAAAGCCTCTTGGGCAGGCTGGCTGCTAAGGCCCTGGGCAGGTCAACCTGGTTTCCTGGTCAACCCCATGTGTAGCACTAGGATTAACATGATTTCGTGACCAGGAATGCAGTTAACAAAAATAGGAACCTCTTAGTAGTGAATCTCTCTCACCAATATCCTATTCCTCAAATACTGCCCTACAGGGCATTTATTTTTATTTTTAATTAACTAATTCATCAATTTATTTATTTTATTGAGACATAATAGTTATATATATTTTGGGGTGCAACAATATAAAACATATGTGCCCCAAAATGTGTCCTCCCTCTCTAAAATATGCCTTAGGCAGACTTTCCAGATTAAGTTGGACTGAGGCCCACATCAAGCTTCCTCTATTCTCAGAGGCCCAAGATCACGGACGGGTTGGGCTGCTCCTCTCCAGCAGTGCCAAAAATGGACAAAAGGGCAGCTCACCTGAGAAAACCCCTGACACCTGCTGGCTGATGGGCATCCTCCTTTGCTCCATTCACTGAAAGAACTGATATTTTGATACATTTATACAGTGTGTAATCATCAAATCAGGGTAATTGGGATGTCCATCATCTCAATAATTTATTTTTTCTTTGTGTTGAGAGCATTCCAATTCTTCTAGCTATTTTGAAATATGCAATAACTTATAGCCACCCTACTGTACTATCGAACACTAGAAATTATTCCTTCTATTTAATGACATTTTTGTGCCCATTAACAAACCCCTCTTTATCTTCCCTCCCCTCTACCCTTCCCAGCCTTTGGTAACCAACATTCCACTCTCTATGTCCATGAGATCCACTTTGTTCTTAGTTCCCGCATATGATTGAGAATGTGCAATATTTGTCTTTCTGTGCCTAGCTTATTTCACTTAACATAATGACCTCCAGTTCTATCCATGTTGTTGCAAATGACAGGATTTCATTCTTTTTTATAGTTGAATAATATTCCACTGTGTCTATAAGCTACATTTTCTTTATTCATCCACTGATGGACACTTAGTTTGTTTTTATATCTTGGCTATTGTGAATGGTGCTCCAATGAACATGAGAATACAGATATCGCTTTGATAACTTGATGTCAATTTTTAAAAATATATATCCAGCAGTGGATCACATAATAAATCCATTTTCAGTTTTGGGGGGAAACGTCATACTGTTTTCCATAGTGGCTGTACTAATTTACATTCCCACCAACAGTATATAAGGTTCCCCATTCTCTGCATCCTCATCAGCATTCATTATTTTTGTTTTTTTGATAGTAGCCATTCTAACCAGGATGAGATGCTATCTCACTGTGGTTTTGATTCTGCAGGGCATTTAATGGCCTTCCTGGGACTGTGGCTCAGGCGGCCAGATTATCTTCTCACCACATGGAGGAACTAATAGAAAGTGGTCTCTGTCCTTCCTGCAGACCTCTTCGCAGCAGGCAGTTACAGGTATTTAAATGGTGGAAGATGCATCTGAGAATAGGGTCCTCTTTTTTTTTCTCAGTTATCCTTCTCCTGACACTATATCAGATGAAAAGATTCTAGCAAGTCAGTCAGTATAATGTTGAGAAGAAAATACTTTCTGCAACTTACCAGCACAAAACCAAACAGGAAAAGAGGAATGTGTACCTTTTGAATAAGATATACCTTAATTTTGGTTAGGTTTTATATTTCCTAACATCTGTTGAAAAGATAAATCTTATTTTAATGGTTATCATCACAACAAAACCCCAAGCATTGATGCTTTCAAATAAAAATTGAACATAGCTACCTTTAAAATTCTTTTATTTTACTACCTACCTTTGAGTGATCCATCTTAGCCTGAATAGATTAAAACTCACTCCTCCCATCATCCTGTCTCATTCAGCTCCTCTCAAACCTCAGGTCAGTTTTGTCTGGTTTGCAATTCTATGAACATCGCTTGTGATGTTTTCATTCGGTTAGAATTATGACACAAATGCAATGACTTTTACTGTTAACACAACTTTATTTTCTTTCTGGGTCTGTGTCTGTTAACTTAGTAAGAAAGCATAATAGAAGAGTTAGAAAGTTTGCCTTTCTTAGGAGGAGTCTGCAGGGAAATTTGCATTCTAGAAAAATACAGGAATTTAAAAATATGCTAGAAACAAAAGTCCAGGAGCACCAAGAGGTTGACCTCATAGTTTCTTGAGAGACACAGTTGCTACATAGTGCTTGGTTCCAGCTGAGAGGCTCCTCAGGTTTGTCCTGTGTCCTTTGGTGCTTCTTAGGCAAGTGAGGGGTTTAGATTCAGGGAGGATTTCCTGGTGATCTTGTTTCCCATGTAAATAGCACTGCTATGGTATAATACGAAATATCTCCTTAGCCTTTGTCCCTGGTTCCTGTCACAGAGCTTCTAAATTCCTTGGAATTTCCAACAGTGATAGGAAGCATGTTTTCTTATTCATAACAGACCCCTTTCAACCATGCCTGAGTTTATGTTAATGAAGTCACACTACTGGGGGCCCCTAGATAGTTCATTATGTGGGCTGGTTGCCAAAAAGACCAAGGCATGATTAGAGGGTTGGAACTTTCAGCCCCATCCCCCAACCTCTGGGGAGGGAAGAAGAGCTAGAAAGTGAGTTCAGTCACCAGTGGCCAATGATTCAATCAGTCATCAAAATCTTACCTATATATTGTGAACCTCCATAAAAACCCCTCAAGCAGCAATCCCCAACCTTTTTGGCACCAGGGACTGGTTTTGTGGAAGTCAGTTTTTCCACAGACTGGGCAGGGATGGTTTCAGGATGATTCAAGCACATTACATTTATTGTGCACTTTATTTCTATTATTATTACATTGTAATATAAACGAAATAATTATACAACTCACTATAATGTAGAATCAGTGGGAGCCCTGAGCTTGTTTTCCTGCAACTAGACGGTCCCATCTGGGGGTGATGGGAGACAGTGGCAGATCAGCAGGCATTAGATTCTCATAAGGAATGCGCAACCTAGGTTCATCGGATGCAGAGTTCACAATAGGGTTCGTGCTCTTTTGAGAATCTAATGCCTCTGTTGATCTGACAGGAGGCGGAACTCAGACAGTAATGTGAGTGATGGGGAATGGCTGTTAATACAGAGGAAGCTTTGATTGCTCGCCTGCTGCTCACCTCCTGCTGTATAGCCCAGTTCCTAACAGGCCTCGGACTACTACCAGTCTGTAGCCCAGGGATTGGGGACACCTGCTTTAAAGGATGGGGTTCTGAGAGGTTTTGAGTTGGTGAACACATTGAGGTGCTGGAAGAGTAGCATCCCAAGCAAAAACATGGAAGCTCCATGCCCACCCTTCCTCCCCCTACTCACCCCATACCTTGCCCTATGCAACTCTTCCATTTGGTTGTTCCTTAGTTGTGTTACAGGAAAGGGGTCCCAATACAGACTCAAAAAGGGGGTTCTTGGAGCTCACACAAGAAAGAAATCAGGGCAAGTCCACAGAGTAAAGTGAAAGCAAGTTTATTAAGAAAGTAAAGGAATAAAAGAAAGCCTACTCCATAGGCAGAGCAGCAGCATGGGCTTTTCAACTGTGTATACTTAAAGTTATTTCTTGATTATATGCTACACAGGGGATGGATTATTCATGAGTATTCTGGGAAAAAGGCAAGCAATTCACAGAATTGAGGATTCCTCCCACTTTTAGACCATATAGGTTAACTTCTGAATGTTGCCATGGCAAAATGCCATGGCGCTGATGGGAGTGTCTTTTAGCATGCTAATGCTAAATTATAATGCTAAATTTAGCATTATAATTAGCATATAATGAGCAGTGAGGATGACCAGAGGTCATTTTCATCACCATCTTGGTTTTGGCTGGCTTCTTTACCGCATCCTGTTTCATCAGCTGGGCCTTTTTGACCTGTATCTTGTCCTGACCTCCTATGTCATCCTATGACTAAGAATGCCTAAGCTCTTGGGAGTGCAGCCCAGTAGGTCTCAGCCTTATTTCACCCAGCCCCTATTCAAGATGGAGTTTCTCTGGTTCAAATGTCTCTAATAGTTGTATCCTTTATAATTTCAACTGAAGAATAACAAACTTCATAAATTTTGAAAGGAGAGCTTTATTTCTCATAAGGGGATTGCAGCCTTCAGGCTGAAACCATCTTTGCAAAAATTGTATCAGTGAGAAAATTATGACAGGGAATGAGATCTGAGCTAACTCACCAACCCCCATCTTGCCTTTCCCATAATTATTTCTGGGCTATTGGGTTGAGCTAACTTTGGAAGACATTAGATTATAGTTTAAATGGTAATAGGCTGTCCCCCAAACTCAACCACTTTTGTAAAGCTAATGAGAGTCCCTTAGGCTGTGGGGAGGAGCGGAGACTGAATCCTACTAGGGGGCAGACATAAAAGTTTGATAGCCGTTATTCCTGAGGTTAAACAATTCACAACTTCCCCAATTACTCCTGCAAATAACAACACTATTGTAGGACCCTAAAATTGGCCTTTTGACACATCTTTTCAGGTTTTTTGCATGTCTGATACCCATGGCTCCACCTGGACCCACCTGAATCCACCAATCCTCCTCCTGTGGCCCCATCCAGAAGCAATTCAGCATGCAGGAGGACAGCTTCAACTGTCTATGATTTTGTCTTTGCCCAACCAGTCAGCAGCAAGCCTAGCCACCTCCACACTTTGAAAACCTTCTAACATACACCGGGCATGGTGGTGCACACCTGTAATCCCAGCACTTTGGGAGGCCGAGGCAGGTGGATCACAAGGTCAGGAGTTCAAGACCAGCCTGGCCAAGACGGTGAAACCCCATGTCTACTAAAAATACAAAAATTAGCAGGGCGTGGTGGTGGGTGCCTGTAATTCCAGCTACTCGGGAGGCTGAAGCAGTAGAATTGCTTGAACCTGAGAGGCAGAGGTTGCATTGAGCCGAGATTGCACCACTGCACTCCAACTTGGGCGACACAGTCAGCCTCTGTCTCAGAAAAAACAAAAACAAGAACAAAACTTCTAACTTATGAGCTTTGAAGGAGAACGACTTGAATACGAACTCCATCTCCTACATGGCATGACTAGTCTTGTGTCTGTCAATGAAAAGAGTCAAACTCTAAAATATTTGAAGAGATTTATTCTGAGCCAAATATGAGTGACCAATGGCCCATGACATTGCCCTTAGGAGATCCTGAGGACATGTGCCCAAGGTAGGGCACAGCTTGGTTTTATACATTTTAGGAAGACAGGAGACATCAATCAGTACATGTAAGATGTACGTTGATTTGGTTCAGAAAGGTGGCACAACTCAAAGTGGGAGCTTCCAGGTGATAGGCGGATAAGAGACAAAAGGTTGCATTCTTTTGGATCTTTGATCAGCCTTTCACTGAATACACAATTTATATATGGTGGTGGGGTAGAGGAATAGTCATTTGGTTAGCAGCAGCAAATCCATACAGTTCTGCAGCAACCTTAATTCTTGCCTCCTTAGAAGAAAGAAATCGACTGAGGGGAAAAGGCAAAGAGAGAGATTGAGGCAAGTTTCAGAGCAGGAGAGAAAGTTTATTAAAAAGTTTTAGAGCAGGAATAAGGGGAAGTGAAGTACTTGAATGCACTTTATATTCTTTTTTTTTTTTGAGACGGAGTCTCATTCTGTCACCCAGGCTAGAGTGCAGTGGCGTGATCTCGGCTCACTGCAAGCTCTGCCTCCCTGGTTCACAACATTCTCCTGCCTCAGCCTCCCCAGCAGCTGGGACTACAGGTGCACGCTGCCACACCCAGCTAATTTTTTTGTATTTTTAGTAGAGACGGGTTTTCACCATGTTAGCCAGGATGGTCTCGATCTTCTGACCTCGTGATCTGCCAGGCTCGGCCTCCCAGTGTGCTTTATATTCTTGACCTTGAAAGAGGGCCAAGTGGGTAACTTAAGAGATTCAAGTGCATGGTTTAACCTTTGACTTGGGGTTTGCAAGTTGGCATGCTTCTGGGGTCTTTCGTTACTTCCTTCACAATTTGCCCACAAGGAAATTCTGGGGTCTTTTGTTATTTCATTTAACCTTTGACTTGGGGTTTGCAAGTTGGCATGCTTCTGGGGTCTTTCGTTATTTCTCCCCTGTTTCTTCCCTTGGGTTGGGCTGTCTACATGTGCAGGGATCTGCCAGCACTTGGGAGGGGCTGGGGCTGCATGCTCAGTGTGTTTACTGAAATTGTGCACATGCTCACTTGAGGCATTGTTTCCCTACCAGTCAAGTGTTCTAGAAGAAGTTCATATACCAGTTAAACTCTGCCATTTTGCCTCTTAGTGCACATGCTTGAGCCCACTTGTCCAACTCCTGAGATCTTACTTGGAAGGTGCTGATTACCAATTTCAGGTATTTCTATTGGGAGATGGCCCTTCCCTGGCATTGGCTTCAACCAATTATCATTTTAGGGACGGTTTAACAACTGCCTGACCATCACCTGATGGTTGCCTGGTAGGAGAGGAGGCCCTCTCCTGCCCTGTTCATGTCTAACTACCTACTCTAACAATTTATGCCTTAGTCTGTCTCAGTGAATCGGCAGTTTTACATGAACGATAGGGCAGAGGAAGCAACCAGATAGGCATTTGTCTCAGGCGAGTAGAGTTATGACTTTCTGTCCTGTACTGGTGAAGACAAGCTATCAGTTTATGTTGCTAGGGTAAAATTCAACAGAACTGTTTTTAGGGTAAAGATATTGAGGCCCACAAGGAATTTCCTTATGGACAAATTGTGAAGGAAGTATGTAGCTTTTTTTTTTTTTTTTTTTTTATCTTTGTAGTTATCTCATTTAGGAATAAAATGGGAGCAGGTTTGCCTGATGCAGTTCCCAGCTTGACTTTTCCCTTTGGCTTAGTGACTTGGGGGTCCCAAGATTTATTTTCCTTCCATGTGTCTATTAAAATTTTCTGTACCACAATGGCATGGTCTTTGTGCAGTGGGCAGGAAAAAACCCTTGGGCAGTTACAAAGCTAGCCATTCTGACAGGCTGGAAAGCATAGCCTCCAACCAGAAGCCACAGGCACTTTGTGGGAGGGAAGACTAAGACAAAAATTGTTGCTGAATGAGGTGTCCAAATACACATATTCGATAAGCTATAGGAGGAGTCATGAATATTCATGAAAGGGAAAATATGCACATGTGCAATTGAGCCTCGTGCCTTTCCATGAATCATATGTACAAAAAATGGTGGTGTTAGCGTGATCCATGGGTGGAGTTTTTGGCCTTCTTGTGTCAAAAGGTGAGGTAGAGGACATGAAAACCCGCACTGCCCTTCCTCTGTGATTGGGCCAAAACTGGACTGGAGATAGAGGTCAATTTTTAGAAAGGGTTGCCTTGTGAAACTGGCGAGCTGTCACATTGAAACTGCAAAGAGGGAGGGGGAGTCGAGCAGTGGCTTCAGATGATTGGCTAAAGGCAATAAAGGAATGTGTCCTCTATTTCTTGTTTTCCAGAGCTGGTTTCTGCTTACTCCTTAGGAAAGAATTCTGGTTAAAGATTAATAAGGAAGGGGTGTGTCTGACTTTACATTCCATCGTGGCCGGGCACTCAGTTTTTAAGGTTTCCCTGGGGTCCCCGTGGCCAAGAGGGGGTATATTATGTTCAGTTGCTTGTGGGGCTTAGGATTTTATTTTTATTTCTCAGACGTTGTCTCCAGATGGAGACACACTGAGTTTGAAAAATCAATTTTTAGTTGCTAGAGAGCCCTTGTGATGTCAGATGTCTGAATCTTTAAGGCTGATGATGTTCCAGGGTGATGCGCGTATTTTTTGAGTGGGTCAATTAAGACTCTAAGCCTGACAAAATAAAAAGGGCCTGGGAAAGCATTTCTTGTCCCTTGGACTTGGACCATGGCTCTCTGACTCTAAAGTATCTTGGTTTTGTTGCTGCAGGAAGAAAAGAAGCTGTCTCCTTTGAAATCCAGAATTCACATATTCTAATTGCCTGTTCTGACTCTAAACTGAAACCTGTGGCTGCCTGTTGTTAGGTGGTTTCAGCCTTAGTTTGTGTTGTGCTGAACTGAAAGCAGACATAGGCTCTGTGGACAGAACTCAGATTCTGGGATCCTTGCAAATCACTGCTCTGTGGAGCCCTAATTTATAAAATCGTCATGGATACTTTTTGGGCTTTTCTGGACTATTTGGATTTTTCTCTGATTAGGCCATCTGAAATCCAGTTGCTGATTACATATTTATGATTGTAGGAGAGGAAAAAAACCATTCTGTGCATTAAAGATTTTTATTGAGACAGGGTTTCTGCTCTGTTGCCCAGGCTGGAGTGCAGTGGCATGATTACAGCTGACTGTAGCCTCAACCTCCTGGGCTCAAGCCGTCTTCCTACCTCAGCCTCCTGAGTAGCTGGGACTACAGGCATGTGCCACCACACCTCGCTAATTTTTGTATTTTTTATAGAGACATGGTTTTGTCATGCTGCCCAGGCTGATCTCAAACTCCTGGGCTCAAGTGATCCGCCCACTTCAGCCTCCCAAAGTTCTGGGATTACAGGCGTGAGCCACTGCGCCTGGCTCAGCAAACATTATTTCCTCTTCCCGTCTTAGGTTCATAGGCTGGGGCCCTACTGAAACAGAAATTAAAAGAAATGAAAGAGTGTGTAAGCAAAAACTCAGTTGTATGTAAGAAAACCCAACTCCCCCTGAGAAAGAGAAAGAACTGGAGTCCTTTAAAAAATTAACTGCCTGTTTTTCTGTGGCTAGTAAGCCTTATCTCTCCTCCCTTCCCAGGCATTGTGAAGACTCTGTTTCCCTAGCTATGCAACTGCAAGTTCACTAGACAGATAAACTCAAGTCGCAAAACATGCTTTTCCTTAAAAAGTAAGAAATGATGTAATGCATGTCTCAATTGAATAACTGCCTTTGTTTCTCTCTTCTGTAGTATCCTTCCCCCTGCACAGATCTCCCCCCAACCCCCTGCAAGAAATGCTTAAAAGGTAACTTCAGGCCAGGCACGGTGGCTCACACCTATAATCCCAGCAATTTGGGAGGCTGAGGTGGGCGGATCACGAGGTCTGGAGTTCGAGACCATCCTGGGCAACATGGTGAAACCCCTTCTCTACTAAAAATACAAAAAATGAGCTGGACCTGGTGGCATGCGCCTGTAGTCTCAGCTACTCGGGAGGCTGAGGCAGGAGAATCGCTTGAACCTGGGAGGCGGAGCTTGCAGTGAGCCGAGATTGCGCCATTGCCCTCCAGCCTGGCCACAGAGCAAGACTCCGTCTTAAAAAAAAAGGTAACTTCACTCTTTGTTCAGGGCTCAGTCCTTTAGATGTTAATCTGACTGGGCCGGTGCACCTAAATAATTAATAAATATCATATCCTCCTGAACCCCATCAGTCTCTTCACACCAGAGAACTCAGTGATGAGCAAGTGAAAGAAGTGGCTAGAACTTCAGACTTATTGAGCATCTTAACAAAATAACAATACATTTGTAGAGAAGTGGCCAGACAAAAAAGAAGGAACTTTGAACTTTGAGGGGTGTCAAATTGTGCAAAGACAAATATTTGGGGAAACTAATGGTAGATGAGGGCTAGTTACTAAGATTTGTTTGTGTAGACTTTGTCCAGTGATAAGGTTGTTATCCCGTTTCTTGAATGGAAGTAGGGGTTGGGGATACCATCACAAGAGACGTTTATATTCTGCTTTCAGGCAGACAGAAGTAGGGCAGACAACTCATCCTGCGTCTGCTTTTTTTCAATTCCCTTTAACTCAAAATAATTCTTATGTCAAAATGGCATGTTTTGGGGTGGCATAGTCTGAGCCCCTTCATGATACAGAGGCTAATTGCATTACTGATTTATAATCCCTGTTGAAAGCTGTAAGTTGGAGGAGGACACATCACAGGGAGTGTAACCCCTCCAACCACTCCTGACAGACTGGACTCTCCCCATCTTGAGACTATCTCATTGCTGTTGACTTGCTCTTTTCAACTTTCCCAATTAGTTTCAATCTGTGAAAATGATCTGACAGCCTGAATCTACATCCCTCACTTTTGTCCTAACACACACACACACCTTAGTAAGGTAGGGGGAGGACACATTTTCCCTATATCTTTTGAGGGCTTGATAATTGAATCTATGAAATAAACTGAAAACTGGCAGATTAACAGAACAAAAGGTATACAAACTTATTACGTGCATGGGGCATCATATGAAAGGAAAGTTAACGCCCCAAACCCAGTGAGATCAAGAAGCTTATATACCCTCTTTTTAAAGGAGAGGGGAGGGGAGATGTAGGCAACTTACTTAGGGGGAGTAAATTGTTTTGATGAAAAATGAATGGGCCCTCAGAAGAATATGTGACAGCCTGTGACGAAGTCTGTCTGGACACGGGGTCAACCTCCAGTGTTCTCTCCAGTGAACCAAGTTTAATCTTCCTGGTTGATAAGATTCCCTGGGAAGGGATTCATGACATCTGAGTTCCTTTTGGAGGGTCTATCTTTATGCAGATAAAGGGAGCTCAGAGAAAATCCTGTCTTGCATTTGCTATTTCTCAAGTGCCTTCATTTTGAAGTCCAAAGTGATATATTTTGGAGTGGCATTTCCTGACCTTAGAAGTTTGATTATTAAATGCAATTGACCCCAGAAAAGGATTACTAATTTCTAGGCTCAGTGTATAATTTGGATGAAAGAGGTGGGAGTTTATGTTAGCCAATTTTGAAAGTTTTTGAAAATTCAGGATTTCATTCTGGACATAAGATGGAGCAGGGACTCCTTCTTAGTGGCCTGCCAGGACCCCCACGCAGGCATGGAAATAAAGGAAAATCTCAAGTTCCTTCAAGGGAAATTCCAGGCACTACCGGGCCCTGAGAAGTAAGTTTGCAAGCTGATAAGCAAGAAGGTAATAATAGCTTACAACAACAGCCAAGGAAGTTAGAGTCAGGTGATGTTTGGTTCTCTATAGAAACCAAAAATAGGGTCTTAAGCGTGAGCTGCGGGATTCTCCTTGCATGGCAACCCGCAAACAAATGCCCTCCTTTCTCTTGTTGCAAAACCCCACTGTGGGTGTTTGGCTTTACTGGGCTGGGCAAGTGGACCCCAGTTTTGTTCAGTAGCAGACAATGTGAGCATGATACCTCTTTATGCTTAAATTGCATGAAAATGTTTTTTTGGTGAAAGTCCTTTTGTCCTTTTTGTATACACTTTTTCCAGTTGAAAGATCTGCGTGAGAATGGGATATAACTGAACAAAAATATATGATTGCTGAATAGGACTCTCTGACTTTGTCGCAATGGAAAAAAATAGAAACTCAGCCCCCAGGGAGGCATAAAGGAGAGGAAGTCATTAACAATCTTTTTGTTTTTCAGAACTGTTCCTGGAAGATTTCCCTTCTGTCTGACGGAAATCTTCCCACGCTGTCTTTCCAAACTCCTACTTAATGCTTTGAATTCAGATTGCTGAGCCTCTGAGCACAACAGACAGCACTGGGGTTGGAGGTGGGGATCCACTCTGGAACTTTCCATCCAGAAAACCTCAGATGTCTTCCTCACTCCTGTGTTTGGAACTGATAGCTTGAAGGCAGTTCCTCTGAAAGCAAGGACTTCAGTGTATTTTTTGGACTGGGATGGAAACCTTACGGTGGTAGGCCTCACCATGGAAGGCCACATGGTGGGGGTTGTAAACCTGTACTGCCTAAGGCATGTCCCGCTTGGGCTGCCATGCATGTCCTCTGGGATTGTGCTTTGTGTCTGTGTGTACCTGACTGTCATGACACTGTCTCAGCCCAGGAAGGTGATCAGGTCCACTTTACTTTCCTGGCCTCAGCTGTGATGTGCCACCAGGTTAAAAGTTTAATATAGACATGTACGGAGGAAGCTCTCTGGACTTCTAAGATAGACCTTTATAATTAATCAGATTTGTTTAAGCTGGCTAAATTCAGGATCCTTAAAAGAGGATAAATACTGAATGTATTGGAAAAAACTGAGATCAATACTGACAGAGATCCTAGAAATAATAATTTTACTATAAAGTTGCCTTGCTAAGGACTAAGGGGATGGACCATGCAGAGTTAGCATGGCAAGTTTGAAACTGTTATCTTTAGAAAGACTTGCTTGCAAGGTTGGCCCTTGGCTAACATCAGGGAACTTGGATTTTTAAGTTTTCTAGCTATTCTATAAATGATATGGGTGGCTTACTATGCTAAGACTGTTTATGCAAATGATGGAGTTTATGCTAACACTTGCTTTCCTTCTCGAAGTCTGGAATTTTGGTACATGCTAGGCAGAGGGTGCATACATGATCAGTCCCCAGTAAAACCCTTGGGCACACAGTCTAACTGGCTTCACATGTGTTGTCACAATTTGATGCTGGAGGAATTAAGCACAACCTGATGACTCTACCGGCCCTCTTGGAAACCTATACCTGATTTTCTTTGGACTTGGCCCCATGCACTTTTTGTCTGTGCTAATTTTGCTCTGTATACTTTTGTTATAATAAGGCTTAGCTGTGAGTATGACCATATGTTGAATCCTGCTCATCTTTCCAGTGAATCATCAAATCTAGGGGTAGTCTTGGAGACCCTGATGTCAATTTCCTAGAATTCTCTTTAGAAAAAAACAATGCAGCAGGCTATTAGAATATAACAGCTCCCTCTGGGAGACCAAAGGAGAGAAAAGACAGGCTAAGCCTGACTGAGTGTGGCTCTTTCTCCAACCTACGCAATTTCCTATGAGGATTTCCCTTTGTAAGATTTTCTTTCCACACAATAGCTGTCCCCAGATTCCTCAGCCATCATGCGCATGGCTGGGGATGTTGCATCATTCTTGGGCATACCTAGGACACCTGTCCATCCCCTGGTGGATCTTGGTTCAGGATTTTGTTGCTGGTATGTTCCACATAAATCAGAAGAAAAGAAGGTGCAGGGTCATCAAAAACTCTTCTGTTTATTGCGTCAGACTGGAGTCAATGTCTTTCCCTTTATAATCAAGAGGGAGCTCAGGAGGGTTGTGAAATGATATTTGGCAGGAAATCAAGGGAAGTGAATATTCTAACAGGAACCACCCTGACCTTTATGCTTTATGAGATATTCATATAAAGGGACCATGGCAAAGAGAAAATCATTTTATTCATCAAACTCTAGTTGAGCAGAGCTTGTGTTGCAGGGTGAATTATGACACTGTGAACAAAGGTCATTTTGGGGAAGATCCCAGGTTGGATGTTGAACTAGAAAAAGAATATTAGTGGGACAACTGGTAAAATTTGAACAAGACTTGTAGATTAGTTGATTATATGTTGTCACTGTTAGTTTCCTGTCTTAAAGATTATTCTATGTTTATGTAAGGTGTTAACATGATGGGAAGCTGCGTAAAGGGTATATGGGAATTCTGGGCACCATTTTTACAACTTTAAGTCTAAAATCATTTCAAATAAAAAGGGTTAAAAAGTCAAATTATAGGCTGACAATTATTTTCTCTTGGCATTTTGAAACTATTTCCCACTGTGTTTTGGTTGCTATTGAGAAGTCTGAGCTTAACCTAATACCAATTCCTTCACAGATATTTCTTCTGTTTTTTGTCGTTTTAAAAATCTTTCTGCCTCAAAGGCACTTAAAAGATACTACTATGTTTTTAGGTGACATCTGCTTGGGTGATCTTTTGTGAAATTCATGTATTTGAGGATTAGCATTTTTCATTAATTCCGAAAATTTCGGTCATTGTCTCTTCAACTATTGCCTTTCCTCCATTCCCTTTTATTTGTTCTTCTGCAACTCTGATCACATGCATTTTAACTTCCTCACTTTGTTCTCCATGTCCCTGAATATCTCTGTTGATTTTCCATCTCACTGTTTTTCTGTGCTGCATTCTGAGTAGTTTCTTCGAATCTGTCTTCTAAATCAATAAATGCTTTTCAGCTGTGTATAAATTACTTTTCAACAAATCCTTTGAGTTTCTAATTTCTATTATTTTAGTTTTTATATTTCTAAGTTTTGTTTGGTTCTTGTGCAAATATGCCTAATCAAATTTAATACACTATTGTTCCTTTATTTATTTATTTATTTATTTATTTATTTATTTATTTTTTGAGATGGAGTCTCGACCTGTCACCCAGGCTAGAGTGTAGTGGCATGATCTCAGCTCACTGCAACCTCTGTCTCTTGGGTTCAAGAGATTCTCCTGCCTCAGCCTCCTGAGTAGCTGAGATTACAGGCACCCATCACCACACCTGGCTAATTTTTGTATTTTTAGTGGAGATGGGTTTTCACCATGTTGGCCAGGCTGGTCTTGAACTCCTGACCTCAGGCAATCTGCTCACCTCAGCCTCCCAAAGTGCTGGGATTACAGGCATGAGGCACTGCGCCCGGCCTATTCCTTTGTTAAAACTTAATTTTTTCTTTCTTTATCTTGAAATTTACTAAATACACTAATACATTCTTTTTTTTTTTATTGAGACAGAGTTACTCTGTTGCCCAGGCTGGAGTGCAGTGGTGCGATCTCGGCTCACTGCAACCTCTACCTGCCAGGTTTAAGCCATTCTCCTGCCTTAGACTCCCAAGTGGCTGGGATTACAGATGCCCGCCACTATGCCTTGCTAATTTTTGTATTTTTAGTAGAAACCGGGTTCTACCATGTTGGCCAGGCTGGTCTCTAACTCCTGTCCTCAGTGATACACCTGCCTCGGCCTCCCAAAGTGTACTAAATACATTCTTTTTTATTCTCTATTCAATTACAATATCTGCAGTTTTGTTGCTCTGGCTTATCGTTTATTATCTGGCAACTTTTGCACATTGTGGCTTATTTATTTGTGTGTATTCTTTGATTTTGTATTATGACCTGATATTCCTTGGAACTTTATCAAACTTGGAAATTCTTTGAGAACTATGTAAAAAGTGTTTCCCTTTGAGGGGTGTTTTTATTTGCTTTTGTTAGGTGCATGGGAGCACTACCAAGCCAGAATTGCTTAAAATGAAATTTTCTACTTGAGGTTTTTTTTTTTTTTTCTTGCCGCATGGATAGTGAGAATTTCAGCCCAAAACAATCATGCTTCTCCACTTAAGATTAGAAATTATCAATGACTTTTTTTCCTCCCTGCTTTACTTAGGGCCAAAGCCAAAAACAGGCATGTGTAGCCCCATCATTTACGTCTGCAAGGAGTTTGTTCTCCAGTTTAACCTCTGAATGGGTCCTGGTTTTATGTGAGTTCTATGATACAATGTACCACGTGCAGGCCCCAGACTTTGTCTTCCATCTCCTTCATAATGTAATGTAGTCCATGAGAAAGTGATGTAGATCACCAACACAAATGAACACATGCTTATTCTGGTGGATTTTCACTTTCCTGTCATTTCTGGACTTCAGGGAATTCCTTACTCTCTTATAAATGCAGCTGTGCATTTAAAAAATATGTTTTGCAGATTATATAGCATTTTTCATTGTGATACACAGGCTTTTTGTTCTGTGTATATCTGGTCTACCATAATGCTTGTAAGGAAACACATTTAATCTTCTGTGAGGTATAATTTATTATTCCCAGGTTTTATGTAGGAATATCTTAGGGTCACAGAGGTTAGGTGATTTTTCCCAACACTGTAGAGATACTAAGTGGTGGAGGTGAGGTTGAAATAGGTCTAAACCCAAAGCCAAGGCACTTTTAAAAGATTAATAAAGTTTGTCGAATGATACTTGGACTAACTCCTGCCTGAATTAAGCTAGAAATTAATATAAGTTCTTTAATTCAGTTAGGAAGATCCCAAATCAGAAACAAATCATAATAAAAATTGAGATCAGGAAGCTTCCTGAGTGTAGCTCCTCATATCACTGTCCCACACATAAGTACTGCCCCATATGGCAATCGGGAGGCCCCAGGAATGCTTGCTAGGGTCAGGCCCTGCTCCTCTAAGTTAGTTGAAAGCTCCCTCCCTACTCAGTGACTGCTCTCATACTTCTTCACTGTAGCTGTTGGCTCTCAGAACATGATGCCCAAAGTATAGCGCCTCGGTGTGCTGAGTACTTTGAACTGAAAGACATTGGAAGGGCCTCCGAAGAAAGATCTCTTTGACCTTCTCCTGCCCTCTTGTCTTTCATGCTTCTTTCTCCCCTGGAGTGAACCATGGAAACTAGAATTCCTCTTCCGCAAGACAATGATAGAAACTAGAAGCCCTTTCCCCAAAGCAAGCCATAAAACTTAGGAAGGTCACTCTCTCCCTTCTCCCTTCTCATTTGAAGACCCTTAATCCAGAGGAATCCTGCCCCATACTTGCAAAGAAGAAATGCTACACAGAGAGTCCAAGAAGAATTTGAACCCAGTCTATTACCATTAGATCATACTCTTGTCCAAACACATCTCTACAGAGCTGCCCATTCTTCATGGAACCTAAGCACAAAAACAGTTTTCCCTGGATCTTTGGGTCTTCATTTCTGAAGGCTCTCATATCACATAAAACTTTGATTAAGTAAATTTGTTATGCTTTTCTCTTGTTAACTTGTCTTTTGTTATAGGAGTGTCAGCCATGACTCTTACAATGAGTAAGGAGAGGTATTACCTACCTCCTTTTACCCCTACATGCTCTTGGAGCTGATTATCACAGTTTGTAATTTTTCCACCTTCCATTCCTGCTTCTGTGTATTTTGATAAATTTTTGCAGGTCAGTAGACTTCCCATGGCAGAATATTTCCTGCTTCTCACCAGCCCTTAAGCCAATCCAAGGAAAACAAAAGAACATCATAATGCTTTGTCATATGACAAGATTACAAAAGCAGCATCCAGTGGCAGAATGCCCAACTGCTCCGGGACACAGCCAATAGCTGACTTCAGTGCTCCCCATCCCTGCTTGTCAGTGATTAGTCTAAATTGTTATCACAAGCCCAGTCTGACCAATGAATGTGAGTGAGGGGCCATTTTGATTGTCAGCTCCTGATTCTGCAGAAAACACGAAACTGAGCTGTACAAAGATGCTGATGAGGGGCTGCAGCATGCAATTCACTTCACCAGCAGTCACTAAGGTCTGATCTCTTTTCTAACCATACCTGGAAGATGGAATGCTGGACCCAGGGTATGCATAGAAAATGGGAGTTATTAGAAAAGCAGCTTTGCTTGCTTTAACCCAGGAATTGTATTTCTGGTATGTTGTTTCCTTTTAGACAATTGCCCTAAAGGTTCTTTTGTTTAAGGAGCAGGAGGATGGGGGAGGTTATTTCTGCTCTCAGCAAAAGTCTTAGAACCAGGGTCTCCTCGTTTGTAAGGAAGCAAGTAGGTCCCTGGACCTGGGCTGGGATATGATTTGTGATCAGCCAGGCAAGAGTTAAGAGTGGAAGTCTGTGCTCTCTGCCCATCTTATAATATCTTAAGGGTGATCATCTGTGGTATTCTTGAGTGGTATGTCCCATTCCATCTAGCATTTCATTAGAATTATTGTATAAAGGATGACAGGCAGAGGACACTTGACATGGGAATGCTGGACCTATTGGATGTTTATTCATTAGCTGCAGTTACCCCCCATTAGCCTTTTTTAATACAAAGTAAAAATTTAGTTGACATGTAAAAATTGTATATATTTATGGTGTATAGCATGTTTTAATATATGTATACATTGTGGAACGGCTAAATCAAATTATTTAACATATGCATTACCTCAGCTACTTACCTTTCTTTTTGTAGTGAGAACACAAAATCTACTCTCTCAGCAATTTTCACGTATGCAACATATCATTATTAACTATAGTCACCATGATGTACTATGTTAGCCTCTTAATACGGTATAATGCCTTGGCAAAACCCAAAATCCCTAGCAGGTCTGGATCTTTGAGTTTGGAAATGG
Organism: Homo sapiens; assembly: GCF_000001405.40. Classification (NCBI taxonomy): domain Eukaryota; kingdom Metazoa; phylum Chordata; class Mammalia; order Primates; family Hominidae; genus Homo; species Homo sapiens. The sequence goes on along the minus strand of NC_000010.11, from coordinate 89,341,795 downwards.
TCCAAGGTGCATATACTATGTCTGTGAATACCAGAGGGCAACTCTTTATGGGTTCCTGGTGTAGGGTCTATATTCTAAATTCTGAGAGATGAACTCCTTTAGGGCCACAGTCTTTCTGCCACTTATGAACCTACAAGCAAGTTTCCAGGTGTTAAATCAGCTAGGGAATCATTTCAGAATTTATTTCAAATATTACATTAATTCCTAGGGGATAAGGAATTTAAAAGGAAAGTGTTCAAATGATCATCTTATACATTTATATACTTTTACCTTTCTGTTTACACCTTTGTGACTAGATATTACATTCATGAGTGAATTAAAAATGAACTGCAGAAGTTAATCTCAAGAGTCCATGGAGGCTATTCCCCCATGTGTTTAAGAGACCTTTGCTGTCCAGGTCTGACTTTAACCTGAACAAAATGGAGCTCACCGTGTCAGATGCTGGCAGTTTGAAAGGGACTGCTGTAGACCTGGATGGATCTCTGCCCTTTTGACCAGCCTCACACTGATGTCCCTCACACTCTGTCAGGGAGGCATTTGCCCAGATATTCCTGGGCTTACAGCAACCCTGTCTACAGCAGCAGCTGCTAACTGGGCATGGGGCTTAGTTGGGGCTCCTAGGCTGGAAAGACAGTCATAGTTCCTATAATGTAAGGATAGGCTGCCTTCAGGGGGAGGGTGTTCATTCTAAGGGAGGGGCTCAAATGAACATGTCGAGAATAGTATGGTACGGCTTAGCAATTACCCACTGTTCCTAGTAGGAGAAATTTTGGGAATTAATATTACTGTTATAGTCCCATACACAAACCACACAATTACCTCTATTCTAACAGAGTTGAAATGTTTGGATTTATTGTAGCATTACTATCAGGAATACACATTGATTATGGTATTGCTATCAAGAATACATATAAATACATGCCTGAAGCTATAAGTGAGATAAGAGATATTCCAGGGTTAGTCAAAAGTTAATCTTTGAGTTCCAGAAGTCTGGATGAAAATGAGATGAGACTGCAAATTTTGTTGTTAGGCAGTCACCATTTATGACCCTTGGCAGGGAGGGCAGGAATGGTGGTTATATTGTGAACTGAATGAAAACTGAGAACTAATCAGCATCATGTGGGCCTGAAGCATTTATTGCTACCAGTGATTAGTTGTAAGACCTTCGGACTATGTAACTGTAATGAACTATAATGAACATGAGAAAACAACTCTTTTTTTTTTTTTTTTTTTTTTTTGAGATGGAGTCTTGCTCTGTTGCCCAGGCTGGAGTGCAGGGGCGCAATCTTGGCTCACTGCAACCTCTTCCTTCCAGGTTCACGCCATTCTCCTGCCTCAGCCTCCCAAGTAGCTGGGACTACAGGTGCCAGCCACCACGCCTGGCTAATTTTTTGTATTTTTAGTAGAGACGGGATTTCACTGTGTTAGCCAGGATGGTCTCAAACTCCAGACCTCGTGATCCGCCCACCTCGGCCTCCCAAAGTGCTGGGATTACAGGCATGAGCCACTGCGCCCGGCCAAAAAACAACTCTTTAAAAATGTACCTTAGAGCAACATGCAAAGCTTCCCTGCTCAGCAATCCCAGGTTGGGGCCCCCTGTCTTCCTATCGTCCTACCCGTCACAACCACCACTGCAGGCTTCTGATGCTCTGTTTTCCTCCTCTGTCTCAGTTCAGTTGCTCTGAGTTAGAGAGGAGCTCTCTGGGACTGGAGCTGACTGCGCCCTGGCCCATTTCCTCACTACCATCCTCAAGCTCAGATGCTGACAGGAAAATACTGCCTATGCCTGAAGGGGCATCCCTTAGCAGGCGGCCCAGTTCCTTCTCATAACATTTGGCTGCTTGCAGCAGATCTCCATTCTGCTTATGAATTAATCCTTGAAGATACCAATAATTTGGTGCATTTTGTGGAAGCAGATTTTCAGATACATTCTGTGGTTGGTCTTTGATCTCTTCCTTGTCAGTTGATTTTTTGCTTATGGACAAACCCTCTAAACCATGTTGCACAGCAGTGTCTTCAGACTTCCCATTATATTTCTGAAGGTTGCAGTAGCGCTGATGGGATTGTTGCTTTTCAGCATCAGGGACTTCCTTATTGAATGGTGTCTGATAACATTCCGTCTCCAGGAACTCAGCGAGATCGGAGTATGCATTCAGAGGATTCAGTCCCTTCTCAAGAGCTTTATTCGAATAGTCCATAGCATATTGCTTTAGTGCTTCAATCATCTCTTTATTTCCACTAGCTTCAGATTCTCCTGTATTCTGCATTTGTCTTACTTTTGCCTTGTAGCAGCACCCAATCTGGTGATAGAGGTAGCCATTGTTTGGTGTGGATTCCAACACCCGTTGAAACAGTTCAATAGCTTTGTCTAGGTCACCTTTTCTTCTGTAAAATTTGGCTGCACTGCGGAGGACATCTGTTTGGCAAGGAGACTTTTCCAAGGCTTCTTCAACAAACTGCTCTCCTTCAGCTTCTTTATTCATCTTCTGCAGTTTCAGGCCCAAGAGAACCTTGACGTATTGGTTATCAGGACTCAGCTCAATGGCCTGCTTCAAAACATCAGTAGAGAACTGTTTCTCTGGGTGATTATCCAGATGGTACATCGCAATTGCCAGTCCAGAGGAGAATTCTGGGTTGTTGGGCTTTTCTTCCAGAGCCTTCTCAAAACACACCTTCGCCCTTTCATTTCTTCCACACTTCAGTTGTGTCCACCCTTCCTCACAGTCAAGTTCAGAATACTCAATACTGTATGGATTTGAAAATTTCTTGCAGGTTTGTTTCACCTTATCTACATAAATCTGAGCATCTGAGAGTCTGCCCAAGTGATAGTAGACCCAGGCGTAGTTTCCCCAAGTGACTAGACTTCTGATTTCTGCTTGGTCAGCATGTTCTTGCTGGATTAACTCTTCAGCTTGCCGTAAGCATTCCAGGGCTGCCTCGTTGTTACCATCTAGGTGTTTTATGTAGGCCAACAAGTTGTACATTGTAGCTTTGAACTCAGTGTTTAAAAATTCAATCTGGTTACACACTCTATCTTCTAGATCCCTTGAGACACTGTCTTCCTTGAATAAGTTCCAGGTGAAATGGCATTTCAGCTGTGGAAGGATTTTCTCCAGGGAATTCTTGGTGACCTCACTGTGGAGAAAATAAACATGGTCACTGTGATGTACACTGCCAAGCACTGCACCCTGTGATCATTAATTTTATATGTCAATTGAACTGGGCCACAGGATGCCCAGATATTTGGTCCAACATTATTTCTGGGTATGTATGTGAGGTTGTTTCTGGAAGACATGAACATGTGAATTGGTGGACTGAGTAGAGCAGATTGCTCTCCCCAGTATGGGTGGGCATTATCCATTCTGTTGAGGGCCTTAATAGAACAAAAAGGCAGAGGAAGGGAGAATTCTCCCTCTGACCGACTGCTTGAGCTAGGACATTGGTCTTTTTCTGCCCTTAGACTAGACTTGGACTAGAACTTTCACCATTGGCTTACCTGGTTCTCAGACTTTTAGACTTGGACTGGGACTACACCATCAACTTTCCTTGGTCTCCAGCTTGCAGACAACAGATTATGGGACTTGCCAGTCTCCATAATCAGGTGAGCCAATTCCTCATAATAAATCTCTTTATATATAGATGTTCCTTGACTTATGATGGGGTTATATCCTGATAAACCCATCATAAATTGAAAACATTGTAAATAAAAAGATGCATTTAATACATCTAACCTACCATAGCTTAGCCTAGCTTAAATGTGCTCAGAACCCTTACATTAGCCTACAGTGGGGCAAAGTCACCTAACACAAAGCCTATTTTATACTAAAGTGTTGAGTATCTCATGTAACTTATTGAATACTGTATTTTAAGTGAAAAACAAGAATGGAATTATCACTTTTGTACCATCACAAGGTTGGAAAAATTGTAAGTTGCTTCCTACATTCACTTTTCTTTAGCTACAGTCTGTGCAGACACCCACAAAGCACATCCCTTACACCGTGTAAGCAGATATGCAGGAGGTGAGGTAAGATGGGTAAGAGGAGGCAGCTTCAGTGACAGGAAATGAGATCTCTCTCACGCTGCTCAATTACCAAGTCAGCCAGGAATGGTGACTCATGCCTGTAGTCCTAGCACTTTGGGAGGCCAAGGCGGGTGGATCACCTGAGCCCAGGATTCAAGACCAGCCTGGGCAACATGGCGAAAGCCTGCCTCTACTAAAAATACAAAAATTAGCCAGGGATGGTAGTACATGCCTGTAGTCCTCGCCATTCGGGAGGCTGAGACAGGAGGATCACTTGAGCCCAGGAGGCAAAAGTTGTAGTGAGCTGAGATCACACCATTACACTCCAGCCAGGGTGATAGAGTGGGACCCTGCCTCAAAAAAAATAAAAGTAAGAATAAAAATTAAAAAATACCAAGTCAGTTCTCATTCCTTGTACATTCTGGGTAAGGTTTGTTTAGCTATCCCATGACTCTTTATTGGGGTACCTCTTTTTGTCACTTTATTAGATATTATGGATACTAAGAAAAATAGAGATTATCCCAACCTTCTCTGCCCGCCAGGTGCTTTCAGTTTTGTTAGGAGACATGTAAAGAAATAAAAGCCCAGATATGTCTGCCAACATGTTATGTGATTTAGGTATTTTTCCCTTCATCTTTTCCACCACTTACAAACAGACCCACGGAGGCTCAGCTTGAGTCTGACTGAAGTAGTCTCCCCACCACACAGGCCAGATTCCCAGACAGAATGAATTTGTTGCAACAAACAAACAAAATGGACTCATTTTTGTTTTGTAGTTGGAAGATACTAAAGGAGATCACTTGCCTTATTTAGCTGGATAAATTGCAAGAGTTCTCTAAGTGTGTTCCCATTATCTACATTTGCCTGGGGCTTGGGCTGTATGTCCCTCACTCTTGAGTTTGTGCTTCTTCCTTCTTACCAGTGGAGTCACGGCACCATAAGATTGGAAAGAACCTCCAGAAATCATTAAACCAAGTGTCCTTATTTTTGGATTTCACAGACAAGCACAATTTCAGAAAAAAAGTTATGAACCAAATAGGGCTGCTAATGTATCTGAAAAGATACCAACCATCTATTCTGACCAATATTTTATTTTAAAAGATAGAAAAGAAAGAATTTTCCTTGCCACTGAAAAAGTAATCTCAGAATAAACAAAATTCTTTAAATTGAATGCATTTTGTTCTACAAGGAGCCATTGACTTTATTTGCAATTTACCATGGACGAGCACTGGCCCTCACACCGCTACTGCAAGTGTACTGATCTATTATACTTCCTGTCTGTCTCTCCAGTAATGCTGATCTAAACCATTTTTGGCCCAATATGATTGCACATGAAATGCTTTATAGTGAGAGATGCAGAATCAACTCAAGGGCAATGGGAGTGAGGAGGGAAGTTGCCATCTACATCCGGCTAGCCTCTTTATGTGTGTGCTTTGATTTGGGGACAGTCCTTTTCCTTTTCTTGGTCCCTGTCTAGGGTTCCAGTGTCAATATCTTCCCTGTCTATTATAGGGTCCTTCCTTTCTTCCTTCCTTCTTTCCCTCCCTCCCTCTCTTCCTCCCTCCCTATTTTCCTTCTTTCCTCCCTTCCTTCCTTCCTTCCCTCCCTCCCTCCCTTCCTCCCTCCCTATTTTCCTTCTTTCCTCCCTTCCTTCCTTTTTTTGCAGAGACAGGGTCTCACTATATTGCCCAGAGTGGTCTCAAACTCCTGGTCTCAAGCAATCCTTCTGCCTCGACATACCAAAGTGTTGGGATTACAGGTGTGAACCACCACACCTGGCCCTAGGGGTTTTCAATTTGGCTTTACCTGGGTATTCTAACTACCCTGTATGAAGGACTACAAGTCAAAAGTCAAGTTAGCAATTATTTAAAAAATGAATACCAAAAGTAAGTTATAACGATGATAATTGAACAACTCTGCTTATATCTGTTATGCCACTAAATCATAATAAAGTCATGGAAACATGAGTTAACTTTGCTGATGTGTGAATTAGGAAGGTTAAAAGGAGAAAGTGTGAGTCTCAGATCAATAGAATGTATCTGCAGATTTGTAGGTACATATGGGTGCCTGAAAAAAATAGCTGAACACTAGTAATTAATAGAGAGTATCCAGTGGACCTGCAGGATGACAGGTGATGTTGGATGTATTGTTGGATGTATTTGCCTCAACGAAACCGGAAACCACCTTGCAAGTCTGATGACACTATCTCTCTCTCTTTTTTTTTTTTTTTTGGAGGGCAGAAGGCTTTGACATATCAATGCACCAGGGATCTTACCAAACTAAATTTTAAGCACTTATAGCTCAAGATTCTCCCTCTGAGATGAAACATACTTCCACCCTGTCATGTGTCAGCTTCAGAAGATATCAATTGCTCAAGAAAGTGTTGGACAAGCAGAAAAGCACACTGAACATTTCTGGACTTGTGAAAGAGCTCTGAATATGGATCTCTCAGGGATATTCCATCCCCACCAATGCTTTACCAATGCGAGAGCTGGCCAGGCTGAGACATTTAATGATAACATGGAACAATTTATTCAGGAAGATAGTCAACTACTCATGTGGCTTTATGATTATAAAACCCACTGAAAATTGGGTCCCTTGATTCTCTTGATTTTTCCTAAGCCTTACTCCCTAAAGTCTCCAATTTGATGAGGTATTTGATACTTGATCTCTCCTTGAAGTAAAATTTGGAGCAAAATATATTGGACTGGAAGGCCTGAGACCTCGATAAGAAGAAACATGAACCCCAGAGCCACAGGTCAGGAGGTTTTCATTATAATACTATTGCCCTCTTAAAACAAATACTCCAATTGCCAAGGTTTCCTCACTTAATAATTTATCTCATATGTGTTTTTGAAAGTTACTCTGAATACTTCTTATATGTATAAATAAGTTAGTTAACAGTAATTAATGCAGATATTTAAATAAATACAAGCAGGCAGGTGGGATGATGACTACAGTCACTTGATAAAGAACAGCTAGGTGGCCGGGCGCGGTGGCTCACACCTGTAATCCCAGCATTTTGGGAGGCTGAGGCGGGTGGATCATGAGGTCAAGAGTTCGAGACTAGCCTGGCCAACATGATGAAACCCCGCCTGTACTAAAAACACAAAAATTAGCCGGGCGTGGTGGCAGGCGCCTGTAATCCCAGCTACTCGGGAAGCCGAGGCAGAATTGCTTGAAACCGGAAGGCGGAGGTTGCAGTGAGCCAAGATCGGGCCACTACACTCCAGCCTGGGCGAAAGAGCAAAACTCCGTCTCAAAAAAAAAAAAAAAAAAAAAAAAAAAAAAAAAAAGAATAAAAGAAAAAGAAGAAAAAACAGAATAGCTAGGTTCAGGTGAAACTTGGGGAGTAGAATGCCAGTCCTACCTGGATCTGCATCTAGTAGAAGACCTTAGGGAGATAGGATTCCCTCAGGTCCAGAAAGAGATTTCCCATGACCTCGGATTGCAGACATAAGATTTCGCTTACTAAAGCAGTTAAAGCTAGTGCTGCTAGTCCTTAGGAAATCCCCAGAATCAACATAGTTACAGTCTCTCACCTAACCCAGATCATGACCACCTGTCTTGCCCACAGACTCCAGGGTAGATACCACATCTCCTTCCCAGTCAAAGCTATTACTAGAGTAGAATCTTGAAATTTTCAGAAAGTGGCTTTCTTGAAGTGGTAAGAGTGGGGATTTCCCCACTCTTGTCTGCACATGTGCAGCTTGTCCCCAGCATGTGCTGGTTATGCTCCAACTGACTACGTGAAGGAACTGGCAGACCTGTGCTCAGTTGGTTGGTCAGAACAGGCCCAATCCAAGGAGTCCATCACTTCAGAAAGCAAGTGAAGGAACTCTCCAGAGCCGGACTTCTCAACCTTTAATGTACATATGGACACAAACATCTGGAGATCTTTTTAAAATGCAGATCTGGATTCAGATAAGCTGGGATGTTACCTTTCTTACAACCTCCCGGGGGATCTCAGCTTCAGACCACACTGTGAGCAGCAAGGCTCTGGGAAGACTTCCCTTTTTGGCAGTGATTTCCAATCACCAGTTTCTCATACTTAAATTACCCTTTAAACAGTCAAACTTTGCTTTATTTTTATTTTATTTTTGTTTTTTTGTAGGTCTCACTTTGTTGCCAATTCTGGTCTGGAGCCCCTGGGCTCAAGCAATCCTCTTGCCTCAGCCTCCCAAAGTGCTGGGATTACAGGCTTAGCCACTGTGCCCAGAAACAAGCTTTGCTTTATTTCAACATTCTTCCCACCCCTCCCCCCTCCTGCCTCTTGGGGTTTCCTCCTTCACATTTACACACATACAATGCAGGAAGCCTTGTATGCATTTAAGGAAGAGAGGATTTGGAGATGGACATTTCTTCTGTAAGCCATTCAGTATGCCTATGAAGTACTTGTGGTCCTCTTTAAATATATGTTTGTTTCTGGACCTTATTTCTGTTTTACTCAATCAGGATTTCAGAATGCAGGACCTAGAAATTTGCATTCTATTAGAAGACTCAGGTTGATATGATTCAGGCCACTCGCAGAACACAGTTTGAGAGACTGCAAGCAACACCTTCTCCCTGTTCATTGATCACGTGGGAGGCTTAGCAGGTCACTAGACCTGCTAGAGGACAACTCAAGTAGACATATCCCCCAATTATGAAAAAGTGCATTTCAAGGTAAAAGTGACCTCAACATAAATTGGAATTTTGCAGTGCTGAATTAATTATTGACACATTTGCTGAGAAGCAAGCATGGTTTAAAAATAACCACAGTCACAACAAAACCACAAACCTCTGACTTAGGCTTTCTAAATATAAGAAACAAAAGACGAACCAGAACCTCCAGTAACTTCCCTCCAGGCCCCAGCTTTCACTGGCCCGATTTTACCTGAAAGCATCTGAGCATGGGCTCTCTAGGATCTCTCAATATGCCCCGTCCCTTCCCAGCTCCCAGCTCCCATTTCCCTGTGTCCTTTGGCTGCCTAACTCTATACATCACAAAGAGCTACAGAAATAAAAATGCATGAATTGGTAAGGCAGATTTATGCTTGAATTAGATAAATGCATATTTCATCTCTAAGCAAACACTGAAATAGCATAAGTCAGGAAGTTGTACATAAGAAATTCTGTTTCCTATCAGAGAAGCAGGGACTATTTACCTCATGATGGCTGTTTCCCTGCAGTTCTGAAAAGCTGGGGTCCCGGTTGATTTTGTTTTTAGCTTACTGATTCCAAGCAAATGCTGAAGAGGTTTCCACCCAGGGTGCTGTTAGGTCTGTGCTTTTATGAAAGGGGAAAGGAAAGTGAAACTGATGGAACCCTATCAAGATCCCTCTTGAGGGGAAACTGAAACAGAATCTGTGAGAACTGAGCTCACTCACGCCAGGAACATGTTCCAGACAGATTTGGAAAACTGTGGTTTGAAAGTTGTAAAAAGGCACTGTAAAAAGAAAATAAAATTTTAGAAGCTTCCAAATGTGTTATGTCAAGAGGCAAAGTTAAGCCCTGAAAACTGACTCACGTAACGTGACTGTTTTTTTTCTCAGGTGCATGACTGTTGCTCTTTGACCTGTGTGGTGAGGGGTTACATGTTAACCAGACTCCCTAGTCTCACTGCAATTTCTGCCTCTCGGGTTCAAGTGATTCTCCTGCCTCAGCCTCCTGAGTAGCTGGGATTACAGACGTGCACCACCATGCCTGGATAATTTTTGTATTTTTAGTAGAGGCGGGGTTTCACCATGTTGGTCAGGCTGTTCTCGAACTCCTGACCTCATGATCTGCCCGCCTTGGCCTCCCAAAGTGCTGGGATTATAGCCTTGCACCACCGTGCCCGGCCTCAGACAACCTAGTCTTTATTAAAACGTAGACCTCATGTTATGGAAATAGAGACCCTTTTGATTGTTACTTTTTTTTTTTTTTTTTTTTTTTGAGACAGGATCTCACTCTGTCATCCAGGCTGGAGTGCAGTAGCACGATCTCAGCTTACTGCAACCTCTGCCTCCCAGGCTCAAGCGATCCTCCCATCTCAGCCTCTCCAGTCAATGAGACTATAGGCACGTGCCACCACGCCTGGCTGATTTTTGTATTTTTAGTACAGACGGGGTCTCACTATGTTGCCCAGGCTGGTCTCCAACTCCTGAGCTCAAGCATCTGCCCTCCTCGGCCTCCCAAAGTGTTGGGCTTATGGGTGTGAGCCACTGCGGCCAGCCATGTTACCTCTTTACAAAAGAATATTAAGCAATTCCCTTGGACTGTAATCAATAGTAGCCAATCAAATTGTATATCTGTATGTTAGCCTCTGTATGGAAAATGTTGGCCAGGCACGGAGGCTCACGCCTGTAATCTCAGCACTTTGGGAGGCCAAGGTGGGTGCATCACTTAAGGTCAGGAGTTCAAGACCAACCTGACCAACATGGCAAAACCCCATTGCTACTAAAATACAAAAAAATTAACCAGGCATAGTGGCGTGCTCCTATAGTCCCAGCTACTTGGGAGGCTGGGTGGGAGAATCCCTTGAGCCCAGGAGTCTGAGGCTGCAGTGAGCCATGATCGGGCCACTGCACTCCAGCCTGGGTGACAGAGTGAGACTCTGTCTCAAAAACAACAACAGCAACAACAAAAACAACAACAACAAGAGAAGTTGTCATTCTGTTGAACACCTCTGTCTTTGCCTATGTAAACAGTCCTCATTTTTCTCTACACTGGAAGTACTGTTCACCATTCTTGGGTGCAGCTCTACTCCTGGGACTGCTGCCCTCAACTTTTTGTTGAATAAACTCTTTTAACTGGATCCTGAGCCTTCTGATTATTGTATATTGACAGTACTGACTATGCAGTCCTACTCCCAGAGATTCTGGTGCAGTGAATCTGATGTGAGCTTAGAAACCTGTGTTTTCACAAGTGCCTTGGAAATTCAGTGCAGGAGTTCCTGTACCACATTTTGAGAAGTGCTGTCATAGAGGTATTTTAAAAAGCAGTTTTCCCCTTTATTTATGGAGCTAATGTGGTGAATTAAGCAGCATTATCAGGCATCTTGAGTGAAGGGAAGAAAACCACAGGACACCTGGATTTCAGTGACCTCTTTGCTTAGTTCTGGGATATTTCTTGAGTCATATCACTGAGCCTCATTCCCTTATCCTTAAAATGCCCTAGGATGAATTTCCTTTTCCCTTCATCCAAATGATAGAAAATTATGCCCTGGGGAGAACCACTTTCACCCTTCTCCAAGATCTGGGTTCAGTTCTTGTGGCTTTGGCCACTCTAAGGCATGGGTAACCATCAAAGGCTGGCCCTTACTCTCCAGATAGGAAGCCCATCCCTGGCCCCCTCTCTAAAGTGAGCATAGTTGAAAGCATTAAGATCTTTCACCTTTTGGCCATTGGGCATAGAGTCAGATGATCAGCAGTAGAGTTTGGTGCCTCCATTAATGACTCTGCTCTGACACCTGCTCTCTATCTGATGTCTTGGGCAAGTAATTTGCCCTTCTAAGCCCCATTTTGGTCATCTAGAAAATGAGGCTAATAATAGAAATAATAGCTCTTACTTCCTAGGGCTGTTGGAAGGGTGATATGAGGTCATGCGTAAAACGTGTTTAACACAGTGCCCACTTGTCAGGCCTCTGAGCCCAAGCTAAGCCATCATATCCTGTGACCTGCATGTACACATCCAGATGGCCAGTTCCTGCCTTAACTGATGACATTCCACCACAAAAGAAGTGAAAATGGCCTGTTCCTGCCTTAACCGATGACATTATCTTGTGAAATTCCTTCTCCTGGCTCATCCTGGCTCAAAAGCTCCCCTACTGAGCACCTTGTGACCCCCACACCTGCCCACCAGAGAACAACCCCCCTTTGACAGTAATTTTCCTTTACCTACCCAAATCTTATAAAATGGCCCCACCCCTATCTCCCTTCCCTGACTTTCTTTTCGGACTCAGCCCACCTGCACCCAGGTGAAATAAACAGCCTTGTTGCTCACACAAAGCCTGTTTGGTGGTCTCTTCACACGGACTTGCATGAAACCACTAACTACAGATCACAAAGAAATGTTACCACCATGATTGCTGGTACTAATATATTTGTGTTATAATTTTAAGTGAATTTGTGAGTGTGTAAAGGGAGCAACAGAGTTCCTCAGTGGATGGGGCAGAGGAGGATGCCCATCAGCTGGCACGTGCCAGTGAGTTCTCCAGGTGATTTTCCCATTTGGAAATTTTTAGCACAACTGGGGAGGAGCAGCCCAATCTCTTCCTGTTCCTATAGCCTCTGGAAATAGGAGCACCTTGATGTGAACCTGAGTCCAGCATAGTTCAGAGAGCCCCCCTCAGACCTCCTCAGGTCAGTGGCTATAGACACACCTAAAGACAGGACCCTGTAAAACCTTTCCTGCAAGCTGGCTACTAAGACGCCTTGCTCTCTGGTCAATCCCACTCACACAGACACAATTAACATCACTCTTGACCAGGAACTTATTCTATATAAAAGGGTATTCTATATACTGAGGTATTTGGCAGTGAATTCCTCTTACCCATCTCATCCCCAAACATGACATTGCAGAGCATCTTCAAGTCCTTGGGGCAGAGTAAGGTAGGGAATCCAGTTTTCCTTTTCTGCCCCCCTGAATGGTCGATGGGGTCTTCCCTCCCTGGCAATCACCTCCTCACTCCTTTCCTAGAGATGCTTGGTGGGAAAGGCATCCTTTTCTCTTAGTTCTCCCTAACATGCTATCCCCTGAAGAACTCCAGGAGGTCAATATATAAATTTAAAAATCAAGTTTACTGAGATTATGCTTTATATACAATAAGATGCACCCATTTTCAGTGTATAGTCTGATGAGTTTTGGTAAATGTTTATGCATATGTAGCCACCATCACTACCTCCCTATAGACTATTCCTATGATTCTAAAAAGATTCTTTTGGGAGCCTTCCTACTCAATCCCCACCATCTCCAGGCAACCACTGATCTGCTTCCCACCATTAGAGATTAGACTAGTTTTAGATAATAGATTAGGTCATTACACTTTTGAGGAGAAATTCTTTTTTTGCTGCTGACCAGCATTCACTACATCAATAAAAATAAATGCTAAGCTTTGGGTTTGTTTTTATATAAGAAATGACAAAAATGCCCATTTGTAAGAATTGTTTCTTCCACTTCCCACCTTAAAGTAATGCAACGTTTCAGGGCAAAATTGCCTTCTTCATGAGTGGGTTTGCAGTACTGATTGTATCTTTCACAATATCTGTTGAAAATAAATTCCTCCTTTTAAAATTACAAGAAAAAAAGCCTGTGACTTAATCTTTTCAAACAAAATGACAATAACAGAAAAACCCAAAAGAGTAATTCCCTTAGGTCTACCCTTGAATCAGCCAAGTTTGTGGCTGAGTGAAATACACCGCTCCTGCCAAGCCTTCCTCTCATTGCAGGAAATAGCTGCACACAGGGAGGAAACATGAGCTGATGCATTCCCCACCCTGCCTCCCCCCATGTAGTTCCGTAGGGAACCATTCCAGAAACTTAAGAAGCCTGTGTGTACACCAAAAAAAGCCACAGGGAAAAACCCCTCAAACATCTTACAAATGCTCAGACTGATAAAGACATATTGAATCTATAAACATCAGGACAATTCAGGAATGTGCCTGCACAGTAAGAAACTCAACTTACAATTTGCACTCAAAAACAAGCATGATTATGCATTCTTATTTCACTGACCTCATGACTGCCCTCTGTGTCTCTGCTGTTCCGAAAAGCTGGTGACCAGGCTGATTTGTTCTTCAGAAGTCTTCCTGTCTGCCTCAAGTAAATACTGAAGGAACTATATAAAGGGGTGGGAGAGTAGGGCACGCATCAGCTGATGTTTTCTCCGTTTTTGAGTAATTGCTTTTAGGGGAAGGAAGAGGAAACTGGAAAGTGAAACTAATTTAAAATCGTTGGGAGGAGGAAAATGAAACCTAACGGCTTGAGACCTGCAATGGCTGAGCCAGAGTACGTTATTCAAAACTGTGACTAAAATTTGTTTGAGAGAATGTGGAAGCATTCCTAATGTAAACCAAAAAATTAAATTCTAAGGCCATACTCACCAACCATGTGACTGGACCCCTGCTTTTGGCCAAGGGCATTCCAAAGTTAACCTGAAAACTGATGTGAAGGGGAAGCTGGATATGCCTCATTACATCCTTTTTCCTTTTGGAATTACTAATAGAACACACTCTTTTTTTGTTTTTGTTTTTGTTTTTTTTTGAGACAGAGTCTTACTCTGTTGCCCAGGCTGGAATGCAGTGGCATGATTGCGTCTCACTGCAACCTCTGCCTCCTGGGTTCAAGTGATTCTCTTGCCTCAGCCTCCCGAGTAGCTGGGATTACAGGCACCCACCACCATGCCCGGCTAATATTTGTATTTTTAGTAGAGACGAGGTTTCGCCATGTTGGTCAGGCTGGTCTTGAACTCCTGATAGCAGGTGATCCAACCACCTTGGCCTCCCAAAGTGCTGGGATTACAGGCATGAGCCACTGCACCCAGCCAGAACATGCTCTTTTTAAGTGTATTAAGAAACATTTACAACCTATTCTCTCTGAAGCCTGCTACTTGGAGGCTTCATCTGCATAATAAAACCTTGGTCTCCACGACCCAGACATTCCTTTCTAATGATTGTCTATTGAATTTCTATTGGATGTCTCCAAACATTCCTTTCTATTGATAATAACTCTTTCAACAAATTGTCAATCAGAAAATCTTTGAATCTGCCTATGACTTGGAAGCTGCCCCGCTTCCCTGTTTCCAATTGTCCCACCTTTCTGGACCTAGCCAATGTACACCTTACATGTATTGATTGATGCCTTATGTCTCCCTAAAATGTATAAAACCAAGTTGTGGCCTGGCACATGTTCTCAGGATCTCCTGAGGGCTGTGTCACAGGCCATAGGTCATTCATATTTGGCTTAGAATAAATCTCTTCAAATGTTTTACAGAGTTTGACTTTTTTTGTCAACATTAGGTATCTGACCATCAGTCTAGGGTGGGGCCCAGGAAACAGCATTTTTTAAGCCAATTCTTATTATTTTTAAAAATTTTTTGTGGACACATAGTAGATATATATATTTATGGGGTACATGAGATATTTGATGCGAGCATACAATGAGTAATAATCACATCAGGGTAAATGACTTCAAGCATTTATTCTTTGTATTACAAACAATCCAATTATACTCTTTTAGTTATTTTGAAATGTGCAATAAACTATTGTTGACTATAGTCATCCTCTTGTTCTAACAAACACTAGATCTTATTAATTCTATCTAAGTATATTTTTGTACCCATTAACCATCCCCACTTCCCCCGCTACTACTCTTCCCAGCCTCTAGTAATCATCATTCTAATCTCTATCTCCATAAGTTCAATTGTCTTAATATTTTTAGCTTCCACAAACAAGTGAGAATATGTAAAATTTGTCTTTCTGTGCCTGGCTTAATTCACTTATAATGACCTCCACTTCTATCCATGTTGTTGCAAATGACAGGATCTCATTCTTTTTATGGCTAAAGAGCACTCCGTTGTGTAAATGTACCACATTTTCTGTATCCATTCTTCTGCTGATGGACACTTAGGTTGCTTCCAAATCTTGGCTATTGTGAATAGTGCTGCAATAAACATGGGAGTGCAGATATCTCTTTGATGTACTGATTTCCTTTCTTTTTGATGTATTCCTGGCAGTGGGATTACTGGATCATATGGTAGTTCTATTTTTAGTCTTTTGAGGAACCTCCGAACTGTTATCCATAGTAGTTATAATAGTTTACATTCCCACCAACAGTGTACAAGAGTTTCCTTTTTTCCACATCCTTGCCAGCATTTGTTATTGCCTGTCTTTTGGATAAAAGCAATTTTAACCAGGGTAAGATCATATCTCATTGTAGGTTTTTTTTTAACTTATATTTTATGTGCAGGTATACACGTACAGGTTTGTTATTTAGGTAAATTGCATGTCATGAGGCTTTAGTGTACAGATTATTTAGTCACCCCACTCATAAGCATAGTACATGATAGGTAGTTTTTCAGTCCTCTCTCTTCACCCATTCTTTACCCTCAAGTAGGCCCCAGTGTCTGTTGTTCCCCTCTTTGTGTCCATAATGTTCAGTTCCCACTTATAAGTGAGAACATGCAGTATTTGGTTTTCTCTTCCTGCATTAGTTTACTTAGGATAATGGCCTCCAGTTCCATTCACATTACTGCAAAGGACATGATATTCTTTTTTTTGTGGCTGCATAGTAGTCCATGGTGTATATGTACCACATTTCCCTTATCCTGTCTTCTGTTGATGGGCATTTAGGTTGAGTCCATGTCTTTGCTATTGTGAATAGTGCTATGATGAACATACTTGAACATGTGTCTTTATGGCAGAATGATTTATATTCCTTTGGGTATGTACCCAATAATAGGATTGCTGGGTTGAATGGTACTTCTATTTTAAGTTCTTTGAGAAATTACCACATTGCTTTCCATAGTGACTGAACTAATTTACATTCTCACCAGCAGTTTGTAAGTGTTCCCTTTTCTCTGTAACCTCACCAGCATCTGTTATTTTTGTTGACTTTTTAATAATAGTCATTCTGACTGGTATGACATGATATCTCATTGTGGTTTTGATTTGCATTTTTCTAATGATTAATGATATTGAGTATTTTTTCATATTCTTTTTTTTAGGGTATCTGAAGGAAGAAATTTATTTTCTTTTTTTATTATTATACTTTAATTTCTTGGGTACATGTGCACAATGTGCAGGTTTGTTACATAGGTATACATGTGCCATGTTGGTTCATATGTTTATTGCGGCACTATTTGCAATAGCAAAGACTTGGAACCAACCCAATAGACTGGGTAAAGAAAATGTGGCACATATGCACCATGGAATACAATGCATCCATAAAAAAGGATGAGTTGTGTCCTTTGCAGGGACATGGATGAAGCTGGAAACCATCATTTTCAGCAAAATATCACAAAGGACAGAAAACCAAACACCACATATTTTTTCATATTCTTATTGGCCGCATGCATGTCTTCTTTTAAAAAGTGTCTGTTCATGTCCTTTGCCCACTTTTTAATGGAGCTGTTTGCTTTTTTGCTTGTTAATTTGCTTAAGTTTCTTATAGATTCTCAATATTAGACCTTTGGTTATGCATAGTTTGCAGATATTTTCTCCCATCTGTCAGTTGCTTGTTTACTCTGTTGATAGTTTCTTTTGCTATCAGAAGCTCTTTAGTTTAATTAGGTCCCGTTTGTCAATTTTTGGTTTTGTCGTAGTTGCTTTTGGTGTCTTCATCATGAAATCTTTGCTGGTTTCTATGTTGAGAATCGTATTTCCTAGGTTATCTTCCAGGGTTTTAATATTTTTAGGTTTTACATTTCATCCATCTTGAGTTGATTTCCATATATGATGTAAGGAAGGGGTCCAATTTCAGTCTTCTATATATGGCTAGCCAGTTATCCCAGCACCCTTTATTGAACAGGGAATCATTTCCCCATTGCTTGTTCTTGTCAGCTTTGTTGAAGATCAGATGGCTGTAGGTGTGTGCCCTTAAGTTTGGGCTCTCTATTCTGTTCCATTGGTCTATGTGTCTGTTTTTGTACCAGTACCATGCATTTTGGTTACTATAGCCTTGTAGTATAGTTCAAAGTCAGGTAACATGGGCTCTCTATTCTGTTCTATTGGTCTATGTGTCTGTTTTTGTACCAGTACCATGCTATTTTGGTTACTGTAGCCTTATAGTATAGTTCAAAGTCAGGTAACATGATGCCTCCAGCTTTGTTCTTTTTGCTTAGGATTGCTTTGGGTATTTGAGCACTTTTTGTTCTATAGGAATTTTAAAATAGGTTTTTCTAATTCTATGAAGACTGTCATTGGTAGCTTGTTAGGAATAGCATTGAATTTGTAAATTGCTTTGGGTAGTATGGCCATTTTAGCAATATCGATTCTTCCTATCCATGAGCATTTCCATTTGTTTGTGTCATCTCTGATTTCTTTGAACAATGTTTTGTAATTCTCATTGTAGAGATCTTTCACCTCCTGCGTTAGCTGTATTTCTAGGTATTTTATTCTTTTTGTGGCTATTGTGAATGGGATTGTCTTCCTGATTTGGCTCTCGGCTTGGATTTTGTTAGTGTATAGGAATGCTACTCATTTTTGTATGTTGATTTTGTATCCTGGAACTTTGCTGAAGCTGTTTATTAGACCTACGAGCTTTTGGGTAGAGACGTGGGGGTTTTCTAGGTATGCAATCAAATTGTCTGCAAAGATAGATAGTTTGACTTCCTCTCTTCCTATCTAGGTGCCTTTTATTTCATTCTCTTGCCTGCTTGCTCATGCTAGCAGTACTCTGTTGAATAGGAGTGCTAAGAGTGGGCATCCCTGTATTTTTCCAGTTCTCAAGGGGAAATCTTTCAGCTTTCGCCCATTCAGTATGATGTTGACCTTGGGTTTATCATAGATGGCTCTTATTATCTGGAGGTATGTTCCTTCAATATCTAGTTTGTTGAGGATTTTTAACATTAATGGATGTTGAATTTTATCAAAAGCCTTTTCTGTATCTATTGAGATGATCACGTGGTTTCAGTTTTAAGTTCTGCTTATGTGGTGAATCACATTTATTGATTTGTGTATGTTGAACCAACAGAAACAAGAATTTTATAAAGGAATGGGAAATGAGAATTTGGCTGTGGGACATAAATTGGAAGCTCTAGCAGGCATGGCTTGCCTGGCTACAAGAGGCCAGGGTAGGTGGGGTTGCCTACCTTGCCTGAATGTTTCCCAGGACAACAGGAGGCTGTGCTCTCTGGCTGAATTCAGACAGAAGTGGAACCACTGGGATGGAAGCTCTAGCAAGTGTTGCCTGCCTGGCAACCAGTGGCAGGGGTAGATGTAGTCACCTGTCTTGCCCTCCAGGTGCTTCCTGGGAGAACAGGAGGCTATGGTCACTGGCTGAGTTCAGACAGAGAAGTAGGACCAGTAGGCTGGAAGCTGGCACCAAGCCCCATCCAGAAAGGGTTTGAGATGGGGCAATCTTACTGCTCCTAGGCACTGGGACTGCAGCCTTTATTGGGCTATGGCACCAGTGCTGGTCTTCTTGGGGGCACAAGGCTTGCAGAAGTCTCCTTGGACTAGAGAGTTGCCCTCCAAAATGTCTGGGGGGCTCTCTGCCTCAGTCTAGAAGCACGGTGGTGGGGTCGGGGGTGGGCAGGGGTTTCAGGGGCATTCTCCCATTTCCAGTCTTGCACAGGTCCCTGTCGAGAGTGTGAATCCCCTAGGGGGTTCTCACTCACTCACCCTTTCCAGTGTTGGAGAAATTCTCCTGGATCCACGCTGAGCCCGGACAGGCTGGTATCTAGCTTCACCCCTTTCTGCTCTCTGTAATCCCCTTACATCTTGAAGGATCCCGAATCCCTGACATGATTTCTCAGATGATTGGCCTGCAGGGTCAATGCTCACTAGCCCTTTTGTTTCCTTTCCGTGATAGCCTGGCACATGAGTTGCTTCTAGTTTACCATCTTAACCCCGAGCTCGAAACTGCATTTTTTAAAATTTTACTTTAAGTTCTAGGATACATGTGCACAACACGCAGGTTTGTTACATATGTATACTTGTGCCATGTTGGTGTGCTGCACCCATTAACTCGTCATTTACATTAGGTATATCTCCTAATGCTAACCCTCCTCCCTCCCCCTACCCCATGACAGGCCCCAGTGTGTGATGCTCCCCATCCTGTGTCCAGTTGTTCTTATTGCTCAGTTCCGACTTATGAGTGAGAACATGCGGTGTTTGGTTTTCTGTCCTTGCGATAGTTTGCTCAGAATGATGGTTTCCAGCTTCATCCATGTCCCTACAAAGGACATGAACTCATCCTTTTTTATGGCTGCATAGTATTCCATGGTGTATATGTGCCACATTTTCTTAATCCAGTCTATCATTGATGGACATTTGGGTTGGTTCCAAGTCTTTGCTATTGTGAATAGTGCTGCAATAAACATACGTGTACATGTGTCTTTATAGCAGCATGATTTATAATCCTTTGGATATATACCCAGTAATGGGATGGCTGGGTCAAATGGTATTTCTAGTTCTAGATCCTTGAGGAATCGCCACACTGTCTTCCACAATGGTTGAACTAGTTTACAGTCCTACCAACAGTGTAAAAGTGTTCCTATTTCTCCACATCCTCTCTAGCACCTGTTGTTACTGACTTTTTAATGATGGCCATTCTAACGGGTGTGAGATGGCATCTCATTGTGGTTTTGATTTGCATTTCTCTGATGGCCAGTGATAATGAGCTCTTTTTCATGTGTCTGTTGGCTGCATAAATGTCTTCTTTTGAGAAGTGTCCATTCATAGCCTTTGCCCACTTTTTGATGGGGTTGTTTGATTTTTTTCTTGTAAATTTGTTTAAGTTTTTTGTAGATTCTGGATATTAGTCCTTTGTCAGATGGGTAGATTGTAAAAATTTTCTCCCACTCTGTAGGTTGCCTGTCCACTCTGATGGTAGTTTCTTTTGCTGTGCAGAAGCTCTTTAGTTTAATTAGATCCCATTTGTCAATTTTGGCTTTTGTTGCCATTGCTTTTGGTGTTTTAGACATGAAGTCCTTGCCCATGCCTATGTCCTGAATGGTATTGCCTAGGTTTTCTTCTAGGGTTTTTATGGTTTTAGGTCTAACATTTAAATCTTTAATCCATCTTGAATTAATTTTTGTATAAGGTGTAAGGAAGGGATCCAGTTTCAGCTTTCTACATATGGCTAGCCAGTTTTCCCAGCACCATTTATTAAATAGGGAATCCTTTCCCCATTGCTTGTTTTTGTCAGGTTTGTCAAAGATCAGATGGTTGTAGATGTGTGGTATTATTTCTGAGGGCTCTGTTCTGTTCCATTGGTCTATATCTCTGTTTTGGTACCAGTACCATGCTGTTTTGGTTACTGTAGCCTTGTAGTATAGTTTGAAGTCAGGTAGTGTGATGGCTCCAGCTTTGTTCTTTTGGCTTAGGATTGTCTTGGCAATGCAGGCTCTATTTTGGTTCCATATGAACTTTAAAGTAGTTTTTTCCAATTCTGTGAAGAAAGTCATTGGTAGTTTGATGGGGATGGCATGAATCTATAAATTACCTTGGGCAGTATGGCCATTTTCACGATATTGATTCTTCTTATCCATGAGCATGGAATGTTCTTCCATTTGTTTGTGTCCTCTTTTATTTCATTGAGCAGTGGTTTGTAGTTCTGCTTGAAGAGGTCCTTCACATCCCTTGTAAGTTGGATTCCTGGGTATTTTATTCTCTTTGAAGCAATTGTGAATGGGAGTTCACTCATGATTTGGCTCTCTGTTTGTCTGTTATTGGTGTATAGGAATGCTTGTGATTTTTGCACATTGATTTTGGATCCTGAGACTTTGCTGAAGTTGCTTATCAGCTTAAGGAGCTTTTGGGCTGAGACTATGGGGTTTTCTAAATATACAATCATGTCATCTGCACACAGGGACAATTTGACTTCCTCTTTTCCTAATTGAATACCCTTTATTTCTTTCTCCTGCCTGATTGCCCTGGCCAGAACTTCCAACACTGTTTTGAATAGGAGTGTTGAGAGAGGGCATCCCTGTCTTGTGCCAGTTTTCAAAGGGAATACTTCCAGTTTTTGCCCATTCAGTATGATATTGGCTGTGGGTTTGTCATAAATAGCTCTTATTATTTTGAGATATGTCCCATCAATACCTAGTTTATTGAGAGTTTTTAGCATGAAGGGCTACTGAATTTTGTTAAAGGCCTTTTCTGCATCTATTGAGATAATCATGTGGTTTTTGTCTTTGGTTCTGTTTTTATGCTGGATTACATTTATTAATTTGCATATGTTGAACCAGCCTTGCATCCCAGTGATGAAGCTAACTTGATCATGGTGGATAAGCTTTTTGATGTGCTGCTGGATTCAGTTTGCCAGTATTTTATTGAGGATATTTGCATTGCATCGATGTTCATCAGGGGTATTGGCCTGATATTCTCTTTTTTTGTTGTGTTTCTGCCAGGCTTTGGTATCAGGATGATGCTGGCCACATCAAATGAGTTAGGGAGGATTCCCTCTTTTTCTATTGATTGGAATAGTTTCAGAAGGAATGGTACCAGCTCGTCTTTGTACCTCTGGTAGAATTCAGTTGTGAATCCATCTGGTCATGGACTTTTTTTGGTTGGTAGGCTATTAATTATTGCCTCAATTTCAGACCCTGTTATTGGTCTATTCAGGAATTCAACTTCTTCCTGGTTTAGTCTTGGGAGGGTGTATGTGTCCATGAATTTATCCATTTCTTCTAGATTTTCTAGTTTATTTGCATAGAGGTGTTTATAGTATTCTCTGATGATAGTTTGTATTTCTGTGTGATTGGTGGTGATATCCCCTTTATCATTTTTAATTGCATCTATTTGATTCTTCTCTCTTTTCTTCTTTATTAGTCTTGCTAGTGGTCTATCAATAATGTTGATCCTTTCAAAAAATCAGTTCCTGGATTCATTGATTTTTTTGAAGGGTTTTTTGTCTCTATCTCCTTCAGTTCTGCTCTGATCTTAGTTATTTCTTGCCTTCTGCTAGCTTTTGAATGTGTTTGCTCTTGCTTCTCTAGTTCTTTTAATTGTAATATTAGGTGTCAATTTTAGATCTTTCCTGCTTTCTCTTGTGGGCATTTAGTGCTATAAATTTCCCTCTATACACTGCTTTAAATATGTCCCAGAGATTCTGGTGTGTTGTGTCTTTGTTCTCATTGGTTTCAAAGAACATCTTTATTTCTGCCTTCATTTTCTTATGTACCCAGTAGTCATTCAGGAGCACGTTGTTCAGTTTCCATGTAGTTGAGCAGTTTTGAGTGAGTTTCTTAATCCTGAGTTCTAGTTTGATTGCACTGTGGTCTGAGAGACAGTTTGTTATAATTTCTGTTCTTTTACATTTGCTGAGGAGTGCTTTACTTCCAACTATGTGGTCAGTTTTGGAATAAGTGCAATGTGGTGCTGAGAAGAATGTATATTCTGTTGATTTGGGGTGGAGAGTTCTGTAGATGTCTATTAGGTCTGCTTGGTGCAGAGCTGAGTTCAACTCCTGGATATCCTTGTTAACTTTCTGTCTCGTTGATCTGTCTAATGTTGACAGTGGGGTGTTAAAGTCTCCTGTTATTATTGTTTGGGAGTCTACATCTTTTTGTAGGTCTCTAAGGACTTGCTTTATGAACCTGGGTGCTCCTGTGTTGGGTGCATATATATTTAGGATAGTTAGCTCTTCTTGTTGAATTGATCCCTTTACCATTATGTAATGGCCTTCTTTGTCTCTTTTGATCTTTGTTGGTTAAAGTCTGTTTTATCAGAGACTAGGATTGCAACCCTGCTTTTTTTATTTTCCATTTGCTTGGTAGATCTTCCTCTATCCCTTTATTTTTAGCCTATGTGTGTCTCTGCCATGAGATGGCTCTCCTGAATACAGCACACTGATGGTTCTTGACTCTTTAGCCAATTTGCCAGTCTGTGTCTTTTAATTGGGGTATTTAGCCCATTTACATTTAAGGTTAATATTGTTATGTGTGAATATGATCCTGTCCTTATCATGTTAGCTGGTTATTTTGCTCGTTAGCTGATGCCGTTTCTTCCTAGCACCGATGGTCTTTACACTTTGACATGTTTTGCAGTGGCTGGTACCGGTTGTTCCTTTCCATGTTTAGTGCTTCCTTCAGGAGCTCTTGTAAGGCAGGCCTGGTGGTGACAAAATCTCTCAGCCTTTGCTTGTCTGTAAAGGATTTTATTTCTCCTTCACTTATGAAGCTTAGTTTGGCTGGATATGAAATTCTGGGTTGAAAATTCTTCTCTTTAAGAATGTTGAATATTGGCCCCCACTCTCTTCTGGCTTGTAGAGTTTCTGCCGAGACATCTGCTGTTAGTCTGATGGGCTTCCCTTTGTGGGTAACCTGACCCTTCTCTCTGGCTGCCTTTAACATTTTTTCCTTCATTTCAACTTTGGTGAATCTGCTAATTATGTGTCTTGGAATTGCTCTTCTCGAGGAATATCTTTGTGGCGTTCTCCGTATTTCCTGAATTTGAATGTTAGCCTCCCTTGCTAGGTTGGGGAAGTTCTCCTGCATAATATCCTGCAGAGTGTTTTCCAACTTGGTTCCATTCTCCGTGTCACTTTCAGGTACACCAGTCAGATGTATGTTTGGTCTTTTCACATAGTCCCATATTTCTTGGAGGCTTTGTTCATTTCTTTTTACTCTTTTTTCTCTAAACTTCTCTTCTCACTTCATTTCATTCATTTGATCTTCAATCACTAATACCCTTTCTTCCAGTTGATGAATTGGCTACTGAAGGTTGTGCATGCGTCATATAGTTCTCATGCCATGGTTTTCAGCTCCATCACATCATTTAAGGTCTTCTCTACGCTCTTTATTCTAGTTAGCCATTCGTCGAATCTTTTTTCAAGGTTATTAGCTTCTTTGCCATGGGTTCAAACATCCTCCCTTAGCTCGAAGAAATTTGTTATTACCGATTGTCTGCAGCCTTCTTCTCTCAACTCATCAAAGTCATTCTCCGTCCAGCTTTGTTCCATTGCTGGCAAGCAGCTGCATTCCTTTGGAGGAGAAGAGGCACTCTGATTTTTTAGAATTTTCAGCTTTTCTGCTCTGGTTTCTCCCCATCTTTGTGGTTTTATCTACCTTTGGTCTTTGATGATGGTGACATACAGATGGGGTTTTGGTGTGGATGTCCTTTCTGTTTTTTAGTTTTCCTTCTAACAGTCAGGACCCTCAGCTGCAGGTCTGTTGGAGTTTGCTGGAAGTCCACTCCAGACCCTGTTTGCCTGGGTATCACCAGTGGAGGCTGCAGAAAGGCAAATGTTGCTGCCTGATCCTTTCTCTGGAAGCTTCATCGCAGAGGTGCACTCTGCCGTATGAGGTGTCAGTCAGCCCCTACTGGGAGGTGCCTTCCAGTTAGGCTACTCAGGGAGGAGTAACAGACTAACTCCCACTTGAGGAGGCAGTCTGTCCATTCTCAGATCTCAAACTCCGTGCTGGGAGAACCACTACTCTCTTCAAAGCTGTCAGACAAGGGTGTTTAAGTCTACAGAAGTTTCTGCTGCCTTTTGTTCAGCTATACCCTGCCCCAGAGGTGGAGTCTATAGAGGCAGGCAGGCCTCCTTGAGCTGTGGTGGGCTCCACCCAGTTTGAGCTTCCTAGCCACTTTGTTTACCTACTCAAGCCTCAGCAATGGTGGGCGCCCCTCCCCCAGCCTCACTGCTGCCTTGCAGTTCCATCTCAGACTGCTGTGCCAGCAGTGAGCAAGGCTCCCTGGGCATGGGACCCTCTGAGCCAGGAGCAGGATATAATCTCCTGGTGTTCTGTTTGCTAAGACCGTTGGAAAAGCGCAGTATTAGGGTGGGAGTGTCTCAATATTCCAAGTACCATCTGTCATGGCTTCCCTTGGCTAGGAAAGGGAATTCCCTGACTCCTTGCACTTCCCGGGTGAGGCGATGCCCCGCCCTGCTTTGGCCCACACTGTGTGGGCTGCACCCACTATCTGACAAGCCCCAGTGAGATGAACCCAGTACCTCAGTTGGAAATGCAGAAACTACCATCTTCTGCATCACTCATGCTGGGAGCTATAGACTGGAGCTGTTCCTATTTGGCCATCTTGGAACCTCCTCTGAAACTGCATTTTTAATAATGTCTCTAGGAGATTCTGATGTAGGGGTTTCTGGGAGCCGGTTATATGAAAGACTTCCAAAATGTTTTGTAAAAAAAATAGTAGTTTTAGTATACATATGTAACTAACCTGCACAATGTGCACATGTACCCTAAAACTTAAAGTATAATAAAAAAAAATAGTAGTTTTGTCCAGTAAATTGTCCCCCAGAAGTAAATTTAGACCTAGAGACCTAGATTTAATTATCTCTGTTTACTTTACTAGTTCTCGAATTTTCCAGGGGCCATATCATTGAGCCAGAATTTCCTTTTTGCCTCACACTAAACATACGAAGCCAGGCCCTGGAGGGATCTGTGAGCTGTTTAGCTTTCCAAGCTCTGGATAATAATTTAGTTTACCCAGCTGTAAAATGGGCAAAAGTAATACACATATTATTGTTTAATGGATGGATTATATATTTATGCTTTGAGCTCTGAAGGAGTTGATACTACCCTGAGAGGTTTTTTTTTTCTTTTCATTTTTATAATACTTCCCAACCATGATGTAAATATTCATAAAAACCTAGGGAGTATAGTTGTCATGACTAATTTGATAATGAAGGAATTGTTAGCTAGAAGCGTTTCCTCCATCCTGTAGCTGCACAAAGCAGAGACTCTTGTGTAGCAAAATTAACATGACATATGGTGTTTCCAACAACAGAGTCTCATGAGATACTTCGAGTTCAGAGGTTGTTATAGTCTAAGAAAGAAACCTGCAACTTGGAAAAGTCTAATTCTGATTGGTTGTTTAACTTAACAATTTGTTATCTTGGTGATAATAAAGTGACATATCTTTATAAAAGGTACATATATTTGTGATATCATAAATGGTATAAATACCATCCTTATACCCAGTTAGAAGGTGCCTTTGGCCCCGTGCTTTAGAGGGTCCCATATATCACAGATACAAACATGTAAAATTTTGAAAGAACAAATAGCACCTCTGTTACTCAGAATCCAGTGCTTAATTCTGGTAGAATTGGACTTGAAACCCTAAACATCCAGCCCAGGGAAAAGTTGCCTATCTTCCCTTCTTTGCTCACAATGAATGGAGATTATATCATGCATGTTTGTGCATTGTGAGGGAGCTGATTTTTAGAGACAGATTCTGCTTTGGAGTTCAGAGAGGATTGTAGCAATAAAGATCAGAGAAAAGGCAAATTCAGCAAACTGCTCAAAGACTGTCTTTCACCAGAATGCAATAGATTCTTATGTAATGAATAATTATTTTTCCAGTACAGTAGGACCTATTGTCCATTTTCTTGCTTTTCTTTTTGTTCTAATTCCTGGCTCAAAAAGTACTCATGAATTAGCAGTATTTGCAACAGTTGCACATGGTGACTGAATAACATTCTGCATCATTAAGAAATTCATACTATTCTTTTTTTTCTTTTTGACAGAGTCTCGCTCTGTAGCCAGGCTGGAGTGCAGTGGCACAATCTCGGCTCACTGCAACCTTCACCTCCTGGGTTCAAGAAATTCACCTGCCTCAGCCTCCCGAATAGTTGGGACTGCAGGTACCCACCACCATACCCACCTAATTTTTGTATTTTTAGTGGAGATGGGGTTTCACCATGTTGGCCAGGATGGTCTCGATCTCTAAACCTCGTGATCCACCCGCCTTGGCCTCCCAAAGTGTTGGGATTAGAGGCGTAAGCCACTGCGCTCGGGCATAAATTCACATTATTCTTAAACTTGTACACATGCAGATTTGAACTTACATATGGAGTCAAATTCTCTTCTGTATTTGGACTCTTTCTTTGTGCCAATTTGCCAATCAGTAAGGTTCCTGCGTATGAGTATTTAAATATAAAATCAGATGGGACCAGATTTTCATAGCACACCCAACTCAGAAAATAGAATACATAACTTATCTAACATATCTACCGAATGTGAAAGCAATGACAGTATTCAAAATGCTACTAATAAGGATACAACACAATGAAAACAAACTTAGAAGTAAAAATAGATAACAAAAGAAAAATTTTCTTTATTATATTTGGAATAAGAGTGCCCATTTTTAACAGCTATAATAAAATATAATTCACATATCATATAATCCACTCATTTAAAGTATACAATTCAATAGCTTTCATTATATTCACAGTTATGCAACCAGCACCACAATCAATTATAGAACATTCTCAAGCTGTCATCTCCCATCGTCACAACCCCCTCCCCTAGCCTTAGGCAACTGCTAATCTATTTTCTGTGTCTATAAATTTGCCTCCGTTCCACATTTCATATAAACAGAATCATACAATATGTGACTTTTTAAATTGCCTTTTGTCACTTTGCATGTTTTCAAGGTTCATCTGTGTTGTATCATGTATCAGTAAGTACTTCACTTATTTTTGTTTCCAAATAATATTCCATTATGTGGCTCTACCATATTTAATTTATCAATTCATCAGTTGATGGGTCCACTTTTTGGCCATCATGAATAATACAGCTATGAACATTCATGCACAAGTTTTGTGTGAACCTATGTTTTCATGTTTTCCTTTTTCTTACATATGTATCTAGGAATGGAATTGCTGGGTCATATGGTAACTATGTTTAACCATTTGAAGAACTGTCCAACTATTTTCCAAAGTGGCTGCACCATTTTACATTAAACATACTTATTTTTGAGGTAATACAGATTTTCTTATCTGAGATCTCAAGAGATGAGTTACTGAAAGAGAGAGAAGGCTGTAGGAAGGAAAATGTGCTGGTATGATCTTCATTTCTGACTAAAGGATAAACTGAAAAATGGAACCAGATTGAATTGGTTGCAGTTCAGTCTATACCTCTGCTATTCAAGGTGTAGTTTACAGACTACAGGCCTTGTTTTGACCTGAGAGCTTGTGAGAAATACAGAGTCTCAGGCTCCACCCAGATCTACTGAATCATAGTCTACATTTTAACAAGATCCTCAGGTGATTGTGCACATGAAAGTAGGCACTGCACATTAAAGTCTGAGAAATACTGGTCTAGTTAGAACTCTAGATATTCTACAGGTAATAACATGTAAGACAGTGCTGGACTACACACAAAAGTGTGTGCTCGTGTGATTGAAAGCTAGAGTGTATTCTAGGTATGCAAGCCATGTCCTCTGCCAGTCATTTTCTCCCTCCTCCCATGTCTCCTTCTTGGATAATTTGCTCTCATTCCTGCAGAAAGCATGCACTCTAAGCCCCTGCTTTCTCTGGAATATGATCTCATTCTCTTGGTCAACTGGATTATTATTATTATTATTTTTTTTTTTTGAGAGGGAGTCTTGCTGTGTCACCCAGCCTGGAGAGCAGTGGTGCAATCTCGGCTCACTGCAAGCTCTGCCTCCCAGGTTCACGCCATTCTCCTGCCTCAGCCTCCCGAGTAGCTGGGACTACAGGTGCCCGCCACCACGCCTGTCTAATTTTTTGTATTTTTTAGTAGAGATGGGGTTTCACCGTGTTAGCCAGGAGGGTCTCGATCTCCTGACCTCGTGATCCGCCCGCCTCAGTCAACTGGATTCTATTGGTAATGGATATTGACTTGAAATGAGACAAACAGATATTTCTTTGGAATTTTGATCAGAAGAAAGTGATTCTAGAAAGTCTTTATTGAATTATTATTATTATTTATTTTTTGAGACAGGGTCTCATCTCACTGTGTTGCCCAGGCTGTAGTGCAGTGGCACGATCTCAGCTCACTGAAGCCCCCACCTCCTGGGCTCAAGTGTTCCTCCTACCTCAGCATCCCAAGTAGATGGGACTACAGGTGCATGCCACCAAGCCCAGCTAAGTTTTGTATTTTTTGTAGAGATAGGGTTTCACCATGCTGTCCAGGCTGGTCTCGAACTCCTGGGCTCAAACAATCCGCTCACCTCAGCCTCCCAAAGTGTGGCGATTACAGGTGTGAGCCACTGCACCTGGCCTTTGTTGAATTATTAGGAGAAGAGATAAATAACCTGGTAGGCATGTTTTCCACTTCATGCACAGAGACGCAAAGTCATCTCTAGAAAGAGAAACTTGAAGGAAGAAGACGTAAAGGGAAGATAAAAGTGAGAAAGAAGGAGAGAAAAAGGAAGAGAGAGATGGTGGGGACAGACAGAGAGAGAGGAGAGAAAACTAGCATTCTGGGTGTGGAGAGGATTTCCGTCATACAGATTCCACACTTGAATATTTTATTTTTCTGTGATCTATACGCCAGTGCCTTTTTTGGAAATATATGCATGCACTCATCAGATTGACAAAAATTAAAGACTGGTAACATTCAGTATTGGTGAAGATGCTGAAAACAGTATTTCTCATACATTGCTAGTGGAAATAATAATTTCCTTTTTAACACCTAGACAAATCAACTCTTTTCCATAACCTAAAAGCCTTAATCATTATTTAAAATGTTTCTATTTAAATATTCTAGTGAACTCTAGTTTTCCTTAATCAACAATTAGAAGATATATTACAAAGTTTTATACATATGTTTTAAAGCTCCAACTTATGTAGGTGTTTCACTAAATGCAAAAAACGTACAAGTAGGTTTGAGGGTTTTTTTTTTTTTTTTTTTTTGAGACAGGGTCTACCTCTGTCACCCAGGCTGGAGTGCAGTGGTACCATCTCACTGCAACTACCACCTCCCAGGTTCATGAGATTCTCCTGCCTCAACCTCCTGAGTAGCTGGGATTACAGGCACACACCGCCATGCCTGGTTAATTTTTTTTTGTATTTTTTTTGGTAGAGATGGGGTTTCACCATATTGATCAGGCTGGTCTGGAACTCCTGACCTCAGGTGATCTACCCTCCTTGGCCTCCCAAAGTGCTGGGATTTTAGGCTTGAGCCACCACGCCCAGCCAGGTTTGAGTTTTTAAATGTAGTGCTTGATGACAAATTAGTAAGTTTCATTTAAAAATGAGAAAGGAAAATGTGTGCTCAGTGGTTTTATATCACAGTGCCTTTGCTCTGTAATATCTGTGAATCAAAAGCAGAACATAAATAGGCTCATTTACTTGGGATATCCAGGATTCTGGAAAGGTAAAGAAAGACTTTTCAAATATTTTAATTAGATTATATCTGTATAAACACACTGGGGCCAATTTCCAGATCTCTAGAAGGGTTTCAGGAATTTCTAGGTTCAGGGCAGAATTTACTATATATTTTTACATTTTACTCAGAAATAACACAAACTATGACTCATTATGTTTCCAAAACAAGTGAGACATAAACCAAGGCTCTGGGGTCTATTTGTATCGTTTACCTGTTTGGTAGCCTCCTTTTCAACAGCAGCCTACAGAGAACCAGAGGAGAAGCAGAACTGTTTGGGATTTGTTTCCACAGGCTTCCAACAAATCCTGCCTCTGGTCTCTTCTCTAGTCTTAAGTCCTGTATGTAAAGCAGCTGAAGGGAGGCCCCATGTAGAGCTGAGAATGCCTCTCTTACAAGTGCATGCACCTAGGTACATCTAAGGATTTTAGTGGGTTTCCCTCTTTGCAGCCTCCCTAGAAGGTGTAGATAATCAGCAATGAGGTAGCTGCACTATTAATCATGGGGAAAATTTCTTACATATTAGTCTAAGTTAGTCCCTTTTCCAAAAAGGGCAATAGGGCAAATGTAGGTTGCAAACTGCAACCCTCAGATTGGCATCCAAGGTTGATTGCACGTATGGTAGGGATCCTAACACAAGGCCTATCTGTGTTATAATCAGAATTCTAATGCTTCCAGTCTTCCAGTTGCACTGGATCCAGTTGTATTGGATATGTCAATTGACATAGGGTATGAAGGAAGGTGAAAGTGCAGCATGACTCAAGGTCAGCTGTCCCCAGGGACTGTGTCTGAGCTCTATGGAGAAAGACAAGCAGAAGTGATGAATCTTTTTCACTGAGGACTCTGAGGCAGAGAAATAAATAAGAACTACTTGGAACCAACACAGAGATAAGAGGAATTCTTCTCACTCTTTCACTGGCACTAACACACTTGAAAACATTGTTGGCAGAGATATTAGTACTCTCAAGGTGGCAATCAAATACAGAGAATGTGAAATGTATTGAAGGCAGTTTTAGGGGCAATGGTCATTGATGGATATGGGTGTTGAAGCTACATAAGTAGCAGATGTGGTCCGATAACTCTGATAAACGGGTTCATGAGCACATAGGAGACATCTACTAGGGGCTTGCCGTGTTGGATGAATATATGAAGGGAGTCAAATGTCCTGCCCCGGGAAATGTGGCTAAAAGGCTGGGAATTACAAGTCAAGCCCAATTAATGTGACTTCATTTGTTATTCTTGGATAGTGAAATTTCAGGAAACTGGAGCTATGTACATAATTTTCATTGTTTTCCAATCATTTGTTAACTTTAAGCCCTCATATTAAGTGTAATATGTTATGTTTCCCTTTTCTACCCTTCTTGCTGTTTTCCCACTAAGGGTCCTGTTCCAGCAAGGGACTGGAGGCATGACATGCAAGGACAAGATTACATACATCCATCTTTAGCACACACAGGTACCAAGGGTCCTCTCTCAAGGTCGGCATACCTGTCCATTTTAACCTTCCACTCAGAATACGTGTGGTGTTCCTTCCCAGGCACCAGATGTAGTCCTAATTTACTCAGATCAAGGTGAGCTAGATCTTCCCCTGAAACATACACTTGTCCATTTTGATCCAATGAAATGAGTTTACCTTTGCAGTTGGTGTGATTTGTGTTTTCCATTAGAGGCCTCTTGAAAAATAATAGAGATTTTGGGCCTTCTTGTCTCTTCCTATTCTTTACTTAATAGGGAAGACTCTTTAACATGCATTTGGATTGCGTCCAGGATGGGGCATAAAATGGAATCAGTGACTTTTATTTCTCATAACAGAGGTCAGAATAGAGAAAATGTGATGAAAGCACAAAATTTAACAAAGAAAAGGGGAGCAGCCCACCCACCATCAAGGTGGAGACAGAATGTCTGTGTTCACGTAGGTCAATGGTAGCAGGTGGCAGATGGCAGCTGTTATCCGAAGCCCTGGACTCTTAAAGCTGAGGAAAAAGTTTTGTTCTGTTCAGGTGATTATGATAGTAGACCAGTCGAGGTTATTTGGATTTGGTTCACACCTGTGTAACGTTTCATTTATCAGTAGCTGAGTCTGAAAGATTTAAAGTACAGCAAAATTCCAGATGAACCAGAACACTGCTTTATGTTTTATCATATTTAGGTTATTTATTAATGAAAATATATGACATTTTCAGGAATACAAATTTTGCACCCTGATGACCTCAAATGCGTGCAACAAGATGTTTAATACAGAAAATAACACAAAAACTGTTGTTACAGTGGTTAGAATTTTTAACTTTAAAAAACCATGAATTTGTATTGTTTTAATTGCACAATAAAATAATGTTGATATATACTTAAGCTTAAATTAATTCCAACAGGCAAACATTTTCCAACCCAGAGTGTGGCTGATGCTGGGTCAGCTGACTCTATTTTGGTTCACACCAACTTTGATGTCTAGGCTATTCAGCATCTACCTAGAAAATCTCAATCGTTCCAAGCATACCGTGAATTTTGTGATTTCTCAGAAGATTTTCGGAGTTAAAAGAAGTGTTTATATCACTTAATATCCAACATTTCTAAAGGGGGGAAAACCCCACCATCTATTATCAATGACATTTCCCAAGTCCTTGCACCAGGCCCTTAGTCACCAGGTTCCCACGTTTTGTTGCTTTCCTACCGTCTCAAACCAGGTTCATGAAAGCATTTGAACAGAGTTCAGTCTTCATTTTACAAAAAAAAAAAATTCCTAATAGTGGCTAAAATACTGCAAATTTCTCCATTCGATTACAATCTACAAAGATAAACCAGCATTCCTTTCTCTTTCTCTCTTTTGGTTACTTTTCCCCTATCCCTACTGGTGGAACATTTATTTTTTCACACAGGTTTTAAAGAAATACATTATGTTGGTTTCTAGTGTATTGTACAGAATCCATTCTCATTCTTTACTTGCTACATTATGACTATGAGGAGGGCAGAGTAGAGGTGAACTCTCTGTATACTTGCTGAAAGTCTTCTTGTACACATTGCTTTTTGTACCCGTCGCTTCTAGCTATGTATCTTCCTGTTCTCTGCCCTCGTCTCAAACTATGTTGCCACCTCAATTAATCAGGCACTTGAATTCACATTGTGTAGAATACTCAAGGTTGATGATAGACTGGGAAGGAGGAGGAAGGAGGCAGAGATAAGCGATGGGGGATACTGAGCCCTATTTAGACTTTGGTCCGCCAGCTTTTGGATGAACTTAGCACATTACTGGCTATGCAGGACTAACCTCTATGGGATGCAAAATGACTCCAAGTATGGAACAACATTGCAAAAATGGACTTCAATATTACATGAAGGATTTGGCTGCTTTATATAAATATAGAAACAAGCCCAGTAGATTACTCCACTAAAGGTGACTAAGCAAATGTTACAGTTCAAATTGCACTCAAGAAGTCAATCGAGAAATAATTCTATCACCAAGCCCGTGGACCTACCCCCCAATCTGGTCCCTCTCCCAGAACTCCTTGGGCTCTCTCAAGACCCAGCAATTCAGGTGTTAACATAACCCTGTCCAGTGGTATGGCCAGTGTCTTAGTCCAATCTTTTGCCATACCAGTCATTACATATTTTGAATACCAACTTGGTGGAGGAATTTCAGCTCCCTTTCAGCAGTAGCCTAGTGGGCACCACATCTCTATTCTTCATTCCCCATTCCAGCTTGATGCTGAAGGGATGAGGCTTCCAGACTCCAAACCCCTCTCAGAGTCTTCATCTGCTTGTTGCATTTTTTCATTCAGCTCCTGAAGGAATGCCAAGACATGCAAAGCCTCAGAATCTGCTCCATTTTTAGAAAGTCGCATTTTGGCAATTTTTTGCAGTTTGTCTTTCATCTTTTCTTTCTCCCTTGATTTCTGGTTTATTTTTACACCCTCTATAAAGTGGTGGATGGCCTTGTCTTCACACTTCATTTGGTACAGCTGAAAGTTGCCATACCGCAGATGGAGCAGTTGTTTCGCTACAGGAGTAAGCT
Organism: Homo sapiens; assembly: GCF_000001405.40. Taxonomy (NCBI): domain Eukaryota; kingdom Metazoa; phylum Chordata; class Mammalia; order Primates; family Hominidae; genus Homo; species Homo sapiens. Next base: position 89,307,046 of record NC_000010.11, on the reverse strand, counting down.
CTTTACTGAATTCCTTTTGGAAGTAATACTCTGCGTCTTCATACTGATCTGCTAGAGCATGGAGGCTGGCAAGAATGGAACAGACACGGAAGAGATTATCATTGGCCTCATCAGCTTTCTTCAGATGAGCCACAGCGTGTCCTATTAGTTCCAGTAACTTTCTTTTCCCATACATTCCATTCTCTCTTAGATTCATTACTTGGAAGACTTTTGCCCTATAGCAGCACCCAATTTGGCAATGCAGGTAGGCATTGTTTGGTATGTATTCTAAAGCCTTTTTAAGCAGTTCAATCGCTTTGTCTGGCTCATCTTTTCTTCGATAAAACTTGGCTGCACTGCGAAGAACATCTGTTACACCTGGGGCTTTCTCCAAGGCTTCTTCAACTAACTTCTCTCCTTCACCTTCCTCTTCACCTTCTTCACGCATCTTATGAAGCTTCAGAGCCAGGAGGACTTTAAGGTACTGGTTGTCAGGATTCAGCCGAATGGCTTGCCTCAGAGGGTCAATGGCGTTCTGAGATGGTGGCCAGTTGTCCAGACGGTAGCTTGCTATTGCCAGTCCAGAGGTGAATTCTGGGTTCTTTGGCTTCTTTTCCAGAGCCTTCTCAAAGCACACCTTCGCTCTTTCATTTTGGTTTCCTCCACACTTTAACCGTGTCCACCCTTCCTCACAGTCAAGCTCTGGACTCTCAATTCTATAGGGACTGGAAAACTTCTCACAGACATGTTTCACCTTGTCTACATAAATCTGAACGTCTGAGAGTCGGCCCATGTGATAGTAGACCCAGGCATAGTTTCCCCAGGTGACCAGACTTCTGATTTCTGCCTGGTCAGCATGCTCTTGCTGGATTAACTCTTCAGCTTTACGTAAGCATTCCAGGGCTGCCTCGTTTTGCCCTTTGAGGTGCTTTAGATAGGCCAGTAGGTTGCACATTGTGGCTTTGAATTCACGATTCTGAAACTCAGTCCGGTAAAATACTTTGTCTTCAAAATCATCCAAGGAGTTTTCTCCCTCCATCAAGTTCCAGGTGAAATGGCATTTTAGTTGCCGTAGGCTGCTCTCCAAGGAATTCTTATTGTTCTCACTGTAGGGAAAAACACAAAGATGGACTTTGAGACACAGATTTATATGTCAAGAAATGGGAGCATGGCAAATAAAATGCTCCTCCTCCTAAAGGCTGTTAACACAAATCAAAGAAACTCCCCTTCTTTTCTTTCTATAATATGTTTTTCCTTATTGTTAATTCCTGCATGTGGTAGCAGGAGTTTAGGGACTGTGGGCAGCAGAAGAATTAGGGCGAGGGCAGTGGGTTGTTCTCTGAGTCTGTGGCTAGGTTTTCATGAATAAGACAGTTTTTGTTAAACAGCTCTGCCCTCTCTGCTTTCGAGGGTCTCTGTGGAGGCTTGGTTTTATTTATGTAGTTTTAAAGAAGTAAGTCTTTTTCATTGCTGTTTCTGTTCTTCATTCTTCCCTAGCTTTACTTTTGTACTTTGAAAATTTCAGCTTTATAATTTTTTATTCTTTTAATGTTTTGCCATGGTGATTTTAATTTCTCATCCCTCCGAAATGCAGCTTCATTTTATCTTTGATATTCTTAATTCCTTAGTTCTCCTTCATTTGCCTTTAAAGAAATCTTTATCACTTTCGATTTTCTGTCTATTTCAGCTTTTAATATATCCTTCATTTATTTTGTCTATTCAAACTTTCTGAGCTTTTATCAGATTGGTTTTATTTTGTATTGGTTTATTACTTTAACATGCTACATTCTCATTTTTTTCTGTGAATTTTTCCATTTTAACCATTTGAATCTTATTTTCAACCATTCTTAATTTTTACTCATTTTATCTGCTTTTGTATTATTCTCTCATTTAATTTCAAGTATTATTTATGTTAGCAATGTCTTAAACATTTATTTTGGAATAAAATGTAATTTTTTTTCCTCCCCTCCCCCCCATACCTCTATTTCTTAAACTGGTGATTTCTGTTCTTAACACATCTCATTGAGTTGCTCTATTAATAATTTTGTACTTTATTGTTTTAATTTTTTTTTTGAAATTTTATTTTTCTCTTCTGGGTTTTGCTTTTATAATAAGGGGCAAGAAGTGCAGCTACAGGGAAGGCTCACAAGGCCACTAGCTCCTTTTCTTATAGAAAGAGCTCTTTTTTCTTTAGGGTACCCTTATGACTCTCCTGGAAAGATTTTCCATTCCCTTTAGTGTTGGTCCTCAAAATAAATAAATAAACCAAAATCAACCAAACCAAAAAACAAAACAAAACAACAACAAAAAAACCCCTAAAAAACCCAGAGAACAGACAAATGAGCAAAAGCCTGTATTTCGAATTACTTTGGAGATAAATAGTATTCTATGCCCCAAATTATTTCTCAACACTGTCTGTGTATTGGAGTCTCTGTAATGTTGCCTTTTCTTATTTAAATTTTTTTTTCGTGGTATCTATACAGCAACCCTTGTATCAGGAGCTGTATTTCTAAATAGTATGGCTTCTTATACAACCAATAGATATCTGGAATGTCATGCAATGTGGCAGGATCACTTATGAAACATATGTCTAGATAGAAGATTATGTGACCCCTCTTTCTAACTGCCCCTCTCTCTCCCACTTTTTATACCACTGCTTCCCACTCCCATTTTGATTGGGAATCTTCCTGTAACCTCACTAAGAATAAAAACAGATCTGTTTGGACATGAGCTTTTCAACGGGAATGCATCTGCCATTAGGATGCCTGATAACCAAGCCAAGCACTCTCCGGGGCTCCCGCACCTGGGGTTAGTTACATCAAGGGACTTAGACAACCTGGCTCTTTGCTAAGACCTATTTGGAGCTTTGAATGGAAGGCGGGTCCTTCCTATAAACTCCTGCCTATTTTCCATCCTATTTTTGTTTGTTTGTTTGTTTATTCTGCCTGGGATAGTTAAGTCTCCATTTGTTCCAAGAAACAGAGGTGAGCAGGAACTGATTTAAAGTTACTAGAGTGCTTCACAGGACCATGGGTAGGACTGTAGTGACCCCAGGAGGATCAGAACAGGACACTGGGGAGCTTGGAGGGCTCAGACCCTGTGTTTTCTCCATGTGCATCTCAGTCACACTCTCTACTGCATTCATTACAGAATATGGTGAGTCCTACAGAATATGACCACTCTCAGACCCCAAGCATGTGCAGCACGCATCCTAACACCTGAAGACTCACTATAGCTTCCTTGCTCCCTCTCAATTCTATTTCCAACTTCCAGTTGAGTTTGGGAGCTCATTCCCTTAACACATAAACTCCTTAGCTCCTTTCTCATTTTACAAAAGAAACAGAGAGAGTAAATAGAATTGAGGTTATCTCCACCATATAAAACATAAAGTCTATTGTGCATTTGCAGGATAGAGATATTTAATATACACACTTAGGTAAAAGCCCTTTGAGCAGCCATTTAAAAGGCATCCAACTTCACTGCTTGATTTTGGGTTTTTATTTCCACTGGTAAGTTAGAGAAGCTGATGCCAGACACTTGCTTCCTGGGCTCTGGCTTGTGAGGACCTATTCTCCCGATTCCTATAGAAGTTCCAGTTGTATACACAACAACAACAATTTCTTCCTTTGCCTCTTATCTGGATGAAAGCCACAGTGACATTATCAACCAGGCTCAGAACTAATGCTACCACCGCAGTCTCAGAATCACTGAGGAGCCTTTTAGAAACACACATCCTCAGACTCTAACCCAGACCCACTTAATGAGAATCTCTGGGGAGTCAACCCTAGGACTCTGTCCTTAATAAGCTGTCCAGGCAATTTTTATGCATGCTCAATTTTGAGAACCACTGTCTTAGGGCACAAGGGCAATGCCCAGTGAAAGTCACAATAGATAAAGAATTAAGGAAAGAAAGGACAGATGGGTCTGTATTGTAATGGGAAAAATTCTAAGATAAGACCATGCTAAAATTCTAAGAAATAAGAAAAGGGTTCTATAGATTCTGGGTGACTACAAAAAAAAGAAATCTGTAAATATCTCAAATCTTTTTTTTTTTTTTTGAAATCAGGCAGAACATTTAGACTAGCAGGAAATAATATCGTTTCAAGAAGAGAAATCAGGAACCTCACAGACAGAGGGCAAGGTGTCTCATAGGAAGTAAGCACAGGGGTTGGTAACACGGGATTCCAGAGCTCCCAGGATGAGGGTTAGGCAACCAGGTCCGGCCACCCCACCTTCAAACTGGAGAAAATATTTCCCTTCCTATTCAATGAGCTAACACTTCCTCTCCAGGGCAGTCTCATGTTTTGGGGATAGAAGGGAATGTTAGAGGTGAGAACAGAACTATTTTCTCCAAGCACTCCATCTCTAATTCATACTCAGGAGGCATTTTGGGGTGAAAATATTTAAGTTTACCAGCCCTTGTGCAAATCTGAGATGAAGAACTACATTAAAAGTAAAATTCACCTTTGCAGGAAGTGGGGTTTGCTATTCTGTGTATATCTTTAACAGTATCTGCTGAAAAGAACCCTTTTGTTAAATAATTGTATTACAAGTCCCCAACTTAATCCTTTCAAATATGAAATAAGACAGGGTCAGTGCACAAGAGCAATGCCCCCAGACCCATCTTTAAGTGAAGCACCAGGCCGATGAAACATCATCCCTCTCTGCTGCCTTCTTTCTCTGATTGCAACTCAACTCCCCAGGCGTGCAGTTCTGGAGATGAATTTAGGAAGCTTGCCAGTGTGAAGCAGAAAATTGTTCAGGAGGGAACAAACCACCATTGGTAAGACAGATTTACAACCAACAGAGGTAGAGGCATAGTAAGGCTATAAACAAACACTAAAATGGAGCTGGCCCTCTTTGGGAACATAGCTTCTCAGGATTTGCATTGGACAAGATGACTCAACAGCACTACCGAATACGAAGGGAAAATATTTACCTCATGGTTGCAGTGCAATTCTCAGCTGTTCGGCAGGGCTCGGTTCAGGCAGCTGCACTCTTCAGAAATCTTCCTCTTCTGCCACCAATAAATGCTGAAGAGACCTATATATACAAGTGGCCTCTGGTTCCTTTTTGTTTGTTTCCCTTCAGCTGACGTTACAAAAGGGAAAGTGAAACTAGAAAGTGAAATTGGCAGGACTCTTTTTCTTTTTTTCTTTTTATTATACTTTAGAGGACTCTTTTTCCTCCGGAGCTGAGTTGTGATCAGAGAAAGAAGGCAGCAGAGAGGGATGTTTCATCGGCCTGGTGCTTCACTTAAAGATGGGTCTGGGGACATTGCTCTTGTGCACTGTCCCTCTCTTATTTCATATTCGAAAAGATTAAGTTGGGGACTTGTAATACAATTATTTAACAAAAGGGTTCTTTTCAGCAGATACTGTTAAAGATATACACAGAATAGCAAACCCCACTTCCTGCTAAGGTGAATTTTACTTTTAATGTAGTCCTTCATCTCAGATTTGCACAAGGGCTGGTAAACTTAGATATTTTCACCCCAAAATGCTCTTGAGTAAGAGCCAAGCCCAGCTGCGTAGTGAGTTAGAAGAACTTCCTCTTTGTGGAATGTACTGATGGCATCAAGGGAGCACAACTCCTAGGAGGACACATTTACAAAGCTCCCTGCCTTGTGATTACCATATTAACCCATCTTTGCTCTGCCTTATACCAATATGATCCACAGGCCACTGTAAGGAGCAGTTATTTAGCCTCGACAGGGCAGGGGATTTTAGTCTGAATCATTGCTGAATCTCCAGTCCCTGCAAAACAACCTGCACATTGCATGGTATGGCAAGCATTCCAAAAGTAGTTGTTGACTAAATGAATACATGATTAGAAGCATGGGCAGTGATGTCTGTCTATCTGGATTTGAAATCAGCTTCCACCTTTATGCTATGAAACTCTGGGGAAAATTATTGAATGTCTCTGCTTCGGTTTTGTAAATTGGGAATAATACAACTACTGGTTTATTGTGGTGTTGGGAGGATGAAATGAGAGAATACGTGAAATGTCCTTAGAATAATGCCTGGCAGTAATAAGTAAATGCTAGTTTCTATTATAATTATTAACTAAAATCGTTAACCAAAGTGATCAGAGGGGAAACTCTTTTTTTCAGGCTGGAGTGCAGTGGAAAGATCCTGGCTTACTGCAACCTCCACCTCCCTGGTTCAAGTGATTCGCCTCAGCCTCTCGAGTAGCTGGGATTACAGGCACGCACCACCACGCCCGGCTAATTTTTGTATTTTTAGTAGAGATGGGGTTCCACCATGTTGGCCAGGCTGGTCTCGAACTCCTGATCTCAGGTGATCTGCCCGCCTTGGCCTGCCAAAGTTCTGGGATTACAGGCGTGAGCCACCACGCCCGGCCAGGGGAAATTTCAATGTTGGCTTTTTCCAGAACTTTATCTCCTCTGACATTCAACAATCCATCACAATTACTGACCTAAGCCAAACAATTCCTAACATCTCCTTATGTTCTTGGCTTCCCCAAGCCCCACAATATTTTCCCCCTTTTTATTGATGTATAATAATTTACATATTTATGAGTTGCATGTGAGTGTTTGTTACGTGCAAAGAATGTTTAATGATCAAGTCAGGGTAATTGGGGTATGTATCACCTTCAGTGTTTATCATTTTTATGTGTTGGTATCATTTAAAGTCCTCTCTTCTAGTTACTTTAAAATATACATAATATTGTTGCTAAGTATAGTCACCCTAGTCGGCTATCAAACATTAGAACTTATTTTTTTTATTTAACGGCATGTTTGTACCCATAACCTAACTCTCATCTTCCCACCACCCCCCTTCCCAGTCTCTGGTATCTATTATTCTATTCTCAATGTCCATGAGATAAAGTTTTTTAGCTCCCACATTTCAGTAAGAACATGCAGTATTTGTCATTCTGTGCCTGGCTTATTGCATTTAACATAATGGTCTCCAGTTCCAACTACATTGCTGCAAATTACATGATTTCATTCCTCTTTAATGGCTGAATAATATCCCATTGTGTATATATACAATATTTTCTTTATCCATTTGTTCACTGATGAGCACCTATGTTGATTTCATATCTTTGCTATTATGAATAGTGGTGTGATGAACATGTGAGTGCAGGTATCCTTTTGATTTACTGATTTATTTTCCTTTGGATAGACATCCAGTAGTGTGATTGCTGGGTCTTATGAAAATTCTATTTTTAGTTTTTTGAGAGCTTTCCATACTGTTTTCCATAATGACTGTACTAATTTACATTCCTACCAACAGTGTATAAGAGTTCCCTTTCCCCTGCATCCTTGCCAGCATTTGTTATTTTTTTTTTTAATAATAGCCATACTAACTGGGGTGAGATGATATCTCATTGTGATTTTTATTTGCATTTCCTTGGGGTTGAGTGATGTTGAGTATTTTTTCATATGCCTGTTGGTCACATATACCAGAGCTCCTTTATAGGTGATGAGATGCTTTTCCTTTGCTGTCTTTAAAATTTTCTTTTTGTCACTGACTTTAGATAGTTTGACTATAATGCGCCATGGAGAAGAACGTTTTTCACTGTATCTGATTGGGGATTGCTGGGCCTCCTGTATCTGGATGTCTAAATCTCTTACTAGACTTGGGAAGTTCTCATCTATTATTTCATTACATAGGTTTTCAAACCCTTTCAGTTTCCCTTCGCCTTTGGAGATACTGATAATTCATATATTTGGTCACCTTATGGTGTCCCATAGATCGTGAAGACTTTGTTCATACTTTTTAATTCTTTTTTTTTCTTTATTTTCGTCTTATTGGATTATTTCAAAAGACCTGTCTTCAAGTTCTGATGTTTTCTCTTCTGCTTGGTCTAGTCTACTGTTGAAGCTTCTTGTATATTTTGTATTTCATTCAAGGAATTCTTCAGTTCCAGAATTTCAGTTTGGTTATTTTTATGATACCTATTTCTTTGGCAAATTTCTCATTCATATCCTGAATTGTTTCTCCGATTTCTGTGTATTGTTTGAATTGTATTGGATTTGGAAATCTCTTGTATCTTGCTGAGCTTCTTTAGTATTTTTTATATATACATATATATTATTTTTTTATTTTTTATTTTTTTGAGATGGAGTCTCACTCTGTTGCCTAGGCTGGAGTGCAGTGGTGCGATCTCTGCTCACTGCAACCTCTGCCTCCCTGGTTCAAGTGATTCTCCTTCCTCAGCCTCTCGAGCTGGGATTACAGGCATGTACCACCGTGCCTGGCTAATTTTTGTATTTTTAGTAGAGATGGGTTTTCACTATGTTGGCCAGGCTGGTCTGGAACTCCTGACCTCAGGTGATCCACCCTCCTTGTCCTCCCTAAGTGCTGGGATTACAGGTGTGAGGCACTGTGCTTAGTATAATTTTGAATAGTTTTTCCTGGATTTCTTTTTGATTGGGATCTGTTGCTGGGGAATTGTATTCCTTTGAAGGTATCATATTTCCTTGCTTTTACATGCTTCCTGTGTCCTTTCACTGATATCTGAGCATCTAATATAATAGTCACTTCTTTCAATTTTTGAATTTGCTTTTGTAGGGGAGGACTTTTTCCTGAAGATATATCAACAATATTGGTTGAGTAAGGCACTTCAACTTTGATTCTGAGTGTGCATGGTAGTGTAGCCTCTGTACAATTTATTTGGCTGTGATCAGTGATATATATGATTTCCTTGATGGTTTAGGGTGGGGTTTATTCTTGGAGGCTATCGTGACATTTTACTGGGAACAGGGTTGCCATGTGGGCCAGTCTTCAGGCCCCAGTGGTGGCAGCAGTGGGTTGAGGATGTCTGATCTTCGGCCCCAGAACAACATACACTGGCACTGGTGTTAGTGGGACCAGGTAGGCTAATTCCTGGGCCCCCAGATAGCTTGCTCAGATGCTGATAGTGGCAGCAGTGGGCCAGGTGGGTGAGTGGGTTCTCAAGTCCCTGGGCAGCTGATGTGATCTGGGCAATGGCAGTAGCCAACGGTGGGACAAACCCTTGGGTTCTGATAAGTGTACACTGATGTTGGCAGTGGCTGTGGTGCAGGGTTGCCACCTATACCACAGACACACAGCTCTCAGGCTCTTTCATTCTCTGTAATAGCAACCCCGCAGCACTGTGCAGAGAGAGGAGAGACGCTGTTCTTTAGGTGTGAGCCTAGGCACAGAGGCCATGCGTCCAGTGGGGGTGCAGTCACCACTCACAGCACCAGACAGGCGGCCATCTGGCTTCCCTGCCCCAGCCTCTGGTAGTAGCATCAGTGGCTGTGCCTGCAGCAGTGTGTAGAGGACAAGAAGGGGCTCTGCTCTCTACATGTAAGCCCAAGCACACAGCCTGCTTCACTAGTGGGAGAGTATCTCACTATCCACTTGTGAGGCCGAGTACAGAGTTTGTGGTGCTGCTAAGGGTAGGGTCACTTCTCACAGCCCCAAACAGGAGGCTCTGGAAAGGACATGTTTTAGTTTCCTTTGTATCAGGGGCTGTCTTTTTGGCACATTGCACCATTCTTTCCCTGGGGAGTAGTACTCCCTGTGGGCTGGGGTGCTGCGGACACTGTATTACCTTTGGGTCTAGCCAGTGCTGTGTCACTGTAGCCCACTGGGTGGATACTGGGAAATATCACTGGGGGCTCCTGGGATATGGAGATATGGGAGCTGCGGTTCCCAGGATAGGATGTAATTCCATGACTATAGTCTCACAATGGTGCCGCTTAGGTCTTGGGGGAGCTGAGAGACCCAGCGTGAGTTCCCTGTCTCATGAAATACCCTTGTGGGGTCTCCAAATCACCACCCATACTGGTGTCAGAGTTTGTATGGGTAGAGAAACTCTCTCATGTTTCAGATTGCAGCAGTTTGCAGGAGGGATGTGGACTGCTGAAGTTCTCTCATTTGACCTTTCCCTGAAATGCCAAGGCCCTCTGTTATCCTGGCCAATCTCAGCCAAGCTGGCCACTTGATACCTTCTTCTTCTGCGCCTTGGGTGTTTCCCATGACTTCTCTGTTGAATTCTAGTGTTGTCTCCTAGATGTTCTATTCGAGGTATAATTATCTATTCATAATTTTGGTTCTTCTTTCTAGAGAGGGTGGGTGTCTGATGTCTCTAGTCAGCCATCCTGAACCAGAATCCCCACCATATTTTAAATCCCTGCTTGTTGCCCTGGTATTTGACATCCCCAAATCACAATGTACAGCCATAGTGTTTTGTAATGATAGAAGAAATGTATTTTCCTTATTCATACCCTTAGTCACAAAGGGGGTAATCATGTATATAGGCCCAAAAGAAAATAATAGTACCTCAAAGATTGAGGTCAGAAAATTACACAAAGCACAGATAGAACACATTCTCCAGCAAAACTGAGGTTGTTAAGGTAGGTTATTCAGTCTTGGGAAAAGTTATTTACCATAATTTTTTTTCTGCCTAGGGCAGGGAGGAAAAAGAAACTATCCTTCCTAAAAAGTCTCCACCCTTTGATTAGGATGCACAGCTAAGCCTGTCCCAGTTGGAAACCCTTACTTTTGTGTCTTACGCAAGAGTTTCAAGTTCCTTTTCTGTTTACAAGTTCTTCTTCTTCTTCTTTTTTTTTTTTTTTTTGAGACAGTCTCGCTCTGTTGCCAAAGCTAGACTACAGTGGTGAGATCTTGGCTCTCTGCAACCTCTGCCTACCGGGTTCAAGCAGTTCTCGTGCCTCACCCTCCCAAGTAGCTGGCTACTTGGCCCAGCTACCAGGCCCAGCTGATTTTTGTATTTTTAGTAGAGATGGGGTATTGCCATGTTGGCCAGTCTGGTCATGAACTTCTGGCCTTAAGGGATCTGCCCGCCTTGGGAAGCACTCCCAAAGTGCTAGGATTACAGGCATGAGCCACAGTGCCTGGCTTCTATTTACAAGTTCTATTAGGTACTTACAGAAATGTATGTTAGGTTTTTAAGAAATGCTGAAATAGGAAAGTGGAAATGCTGTGGGTTTGGTTTGATTTATTTTTTGAACTCAGTATTCAAGAAAACTATTGGATAGGAATTTTAAAATCTTGTGAATAAAGGTACTGGTTGGGGAGAAGCATAGAGAAAGGTTTTGCCATGGTCACTGTGCTTTGAAATGGTTGAGATACTGATTTACACTTCAGAAATTTGTATGGCTAGTGCCTGTATATAATGTTACCACAGCAGGTATGCATCAGCTGATTTAGTAGCTGGGTTAGTGTGAGACTATGCATGCAATGTGATTGCAAAATAGCAACTGAAAAGGAAAACCAACTTTCTCCTGGTGTTATTTCTATTTTGAGAAAATGAAACTTATTAGAAAGAGTTCTGCCTAACCTCGTTGCTACAAATATATATGTGTCTTTTTCCTGGAATATAGGCCCTGTTCATATTTCCTAGAACAATAGATTTCATTTATATAGAATATAGATTTGCTTCCTGTTCCTGGAATGGGTTACATCAACTACAGATGGTATAATGCAATAATTCTCATATTGCTACTTGCCACCAGCAATATCAGCATCACCTGGAAGTGCAAATTCTTAGGCCCCATTCTAGACTGATAGAATCAGAAATTCCAGTGTGGGACCCAGAAATCTAGGTGTTGATAAGCCTTCCAGATAATTATAATGGATGCTAAAGTCTGAGAACCAAATAATATATTGAATGTAAGCAAAAATACTTTTACTTCTATAAAATGAAACTCTATGCTTTTTCCTTGAGATTTTTTAAAAAATTTGACCCTCTTTTTTGTTTTGAGTCTATTTTTAACTGAAGTTTTGTCCACCTAGAAGAGCTGGTGACTGTTCAATAGTATTCGCACTTGTTAGAGGAATACTTAGGTAGCCCAGTGGGTTCTCTTGATCCCCACAATGGGCTGTAATTTGAAAACAATGTGTTCCCACCTATATGACATTCCCTTCTGTACTCATTCACAAATACACGTTTAAAATGGTCTTCCACATGAACTTCAAAAATATTGATATAGTTAATAAAATAGCTCCCCATTCTTTTTTCCTTTCCATTCCTTTCCTTTCCTTTCCTTTCCTTTCCTTTCCTTTCCTTTCCTTTCCTTTCCTTTCATTTCATTTCCTTTCCTTTCTTCCTTTTTTTCTTTTTTCTTTTCAGACAGAGTCTTGCTCTGTCACCCAGGCTGGAGTGCAGTGGCGCAATCAGAGCTCACTGTCGCCTTGACCTCCCTCCCAGGCTCAAGTGATCTTCCCACCTCAGTCTCCTGAGTAGCTGGGATCACAGATGAGTGCCACTACACCCAGCTAATTTTTTATTTCTTGTAGAGATAGGGTCTCACTATGTTTCCCAGGCTGCTCTCAAACTCCTGGGATCAACTGATCTTCCTGCTTCAGCATCCCAAAGTGCTGGGATTACAGGCATAAGCCACAGCACTTGGCCAGCTCCCCATTCTTATTCTTTTTTCAAAAATTAATTAAACACCATTTCTTCTTGCTGTGGTTTGAATATGTCCTCCAAAGTTCATGTGTTGGAAACTTGATCCCCAATGTGGCAGTGTTGGGAGGTGGGACCTAATGGGAGGTATTTGGGTTATGGGGGCATTGTCCTCTTGAATAGATTAATGCCATTATTGAGGGACGGAGTTCCATATAAAAGGATGACTTCAACCTTCTCTTGCTCACCCTCACCCCCTATTTACCCTTCCATCATGGGATGACCCAGTAAGAGGGCCCTGGCCAGATGTGGCCCCTTGATCTTGGACTTTCCAGCCTCCAGAACCATGTGTCCATAAATGTCTGTTCATTATAAATTACCCAATCTCCCAATCTGCCCATCTGTGGTATTCTGTTATAGCAGAAAAAAATGGACTAAGACATTTTTCAGCATTAATTTTTTAGACTGCAGTTGGGCAGTCTTTGAGTGGAAACTTGATGCGGGTAAATGACTTTATCTTTCCATAGTCCTATTCAGAAATAAGACCATGCTAAATAAACTTCTGCTGGGACAATTTGTACACTTATCCCTGTTAGAACACTAGGAGTATTTGTTTCATTCATTCATTCACCATTCGTTCATCAAATCAATACTTACTGAGAATCTACTATGTGCCAGGCACCATTCTAGGCTCTTAAGATACATCAGTACACAAAGATCTCTGTCTTCATGGAGCTTATATTCTATCAGGAAGAGATGGCAATAAACAACTGCTTTGGACTGAATTGAGTTCCCAACTCCTTTCCCAAAATTCATCATTGAAGCCCTAACCCTCAACGTAACTTTGTTTGGAGATAGGGCCTGTGAGGAGGTATTTAAGGTTAAATGAGGTCTTAAGGGTGGGGCCCCTAATCTGGTAACCCCTAATCTGGTAACACTGACGTCTTCATACAAACAAGAAGAAAAAGAAGAGACCTCAGATATCTCTCTCTCTCTCTCTCTCTCTCTCTCTCTCTCTCATCTCACACAGAGGAAAGGCCATGTGAAGATAAAGAAAAGGCTGCCATCTCCAGGTCAGGAAGAGAGGTCTCACCAGAAACCAACTTGGACTTCTAGCATCTAGAACTGTGAGAAAATAGATTTCTGTTGCTTAAGCCACCTAGTCTGTGATTTTTCATTATGGCAGCCAATGTAGACTAATACAATAATAAATAAATTAGACAATATGGGACAAGTCCATGGGGAAAAAAAAGAGTAAGTGGAGACCGTAAGAGGAATTACATATGGGTGGAGAAAAGGGGGCCGGGATCTGGCTGCTGCTGTTAAGTAATAGAGATGGAAACTGTGTTAGTCTGTTCTCATACTCTAGAAAGATACTACCTGAGACTGGGAAAGAGGTTTAACTGAATCACAGTTCCATGGGGAGGGCTCAGGAAACTTGCAATCATGGCAGAAGGCAAAGGGGAAGCAAGGCACCTTCTTCACAAGGCAGCAGGAGGGAGTGAATGTAAGCAGAGGAAATGTCAGATGCTTATAAAACCATCAGCTCTCATGAAAACTCACTCATTATCATGAGAATAATATGGGGGAAACCACCCCTATGATCCAATCCTCCCATCAGGTCCTGCCCTTGACACATGAGGATTATGGGGATTATAATTTGAGATGAGATTTGGGTGGGGACACAAAGCCAAACCATATTAGAAACCTTTCTGTGCCTCAATTTCTTCATTTTTAAAATGAGAATTGTGCCCAGGTACAGTGGCTCATGTCTGTAATCTCAGCACTTTGAGGGGCAGAGGCAGGAGAATTGCTTGAGGCCAGGAGTTTGAAACAAGTCTGGGCAACATAGCAAGACCCTATCTCTACAATTAAAAAAAAAAAAAGTAGCCAGGCATGGTGGCATGAGCCTGTCGTCCTAGCTACCCAGGAGGATTGCTTTAGCCCAGGAGTTTGAGGCTGCAGTGAACCAAGATTGCACCATTGTACTCCAGCCTGTGTGACAGAACGTGACTAGGTCTCTAAAAAAGAAAAAGGAATTATGTTAGTATTTACCACATAGGGTTTTGTGGAGATTGAGTGGACTACTATGTATAAAGCTCTGAGAACAGTGCTTGGCACATGGTAAATGCCCAATAAGGGTTAGTTATTACTACCTTCTACTGCCACCCATACCATTTACCATCTTTGAATACCACTTACTTCTAGGGCCAGGGGCCACTCACCTGAAAGTGGTCTGTTCTCTAATGTGGAGCTTTGACTATAGTATTATCAGGTATTGGTGGCTGCCGCTGGATTGCTATTTCAGATCCTTTTTTTCTTTTTATTCGCTTTGTTGGCCACAGTGAGAAACTGGGATGCTACTCCAGAAGAAGACAAATCAGTGCCTCTGTACAAAGGGATCTTTGTGCTGCCAAAAGAGTAGAAAAGTTTATCCCAGAACCAAAATATTTCAGAATTGTGGAAAATCAAGTTTTGGAAACCTACTCAAAAGAAGAAGAAATATTGCTATCACAGAATCCCTGAATTAGTATACACCTAGCCGCTGTAACAAAGATGCTCAAAAACATAAATGACACTGTAAAAGAAGTTTATTTCTTGTTCACATAACTGTCCAAGGCTGGTGTTCCTGGGCAACTTCCAGTTCTCTTCCATGCAATGATTCAAGGACACAGAGTTCTTCCATCCTGTGACTCTACCATCCCCTAGAGCCTGGAAATTGAGAGTAAAGAGGGTACACCTGATTCTTAACCATCTTTACTTGGAAATGACATACATCACATTCACTCACATTCTATTAGGAAGCACTAGTTCATGGCCCACCTGGGGAGAAGTGAAGGTTAGTTCATGTAGCTGCAGAGTAGGAAGCCCCCTTCCTGGTGACGACTTCATATTATGAAGGGGAAACACTAATTTGGAAGGATCATGAGTTGTTTCCACAACAGTATCCTGCTCTGGCCCTAAATAACCATGTATACACTTCTTCCCAAACATAGAACATAATGGGACCTTTCCCAGGGGAGCCAACCCACAGTCAAGGAATCATTGCACTCAGCTCATGGTCAGGGATTTCTGAGTAAAGCACTGTCCTGCCTAAAGGTCAGTATGTGACTCCTTGTGGTCTCATGCTTAAAAGAAAAAAAAAATCAAAAGGCTAGTTAAGACTATATAACTCATGTGTATCATGGTATCATGTATTGTGGTAGGTTAACTATAATAAATACTTTAAACTGAAAAAAGACAGCATGGAAGAATCTCAGGGTGTGGCAACAAATCACAAAATAGGCACCAAAAGAGTTATATGTGGTTACCTCTGGAGACTGGGAAATAGGGTGGAATGGGGAAGGGGGTTGCTATGTCTCCTACCTTGTAGATCACGTTGACTATTTAAATGATGTGAATGTATACATTTAATTAAGCTAAAAAGGAAGGAATCTGGAAGGCAGGGAGGAAGGGGAAAAAATGAGGAAGAAGAGAATGGAGGGAAGGAACAAAGGAAGGAAGTAAGAGGAAGGATTGGAGAGAAGGAAGGAAAAAAGGAATGAAGGAGGAAAGGAAGGAAGGATGGAAGAAAGGAAATGAAAAAAAGAACAAAGAAAGGAGACCGAGAAGTCATCCTACATCCTACATCCATATTTTGCAATATTATTATGAAGCTCTCAATACCCATGTCATTGAAAAATTGTAATAATATCAGAAAACACTCACAATATAATGTTAAGTGAAAGGATAAGATGAAACCAACTGTAACATACACCCTTAACTTTGAAATATTTTCCAAAGAAATCTATTTTATATAGTTTCACTCTTTTCCACGTGAAGAGACCACCAAACAGGCTTTGTGTGAGCAATAAAGCTTTTTAATCACCTGGGTGCAGGCAGGCTGAGTCTGAAAAGAGAGTCAGTGAAGGGAGATAGGGCCGGGGCCGTTTTATAAGATTTGGGTAGATAGTGGAAAATTACATCAAAGGGGGTTGTTCTCTGGCTGGCAGAGGTGGGGGTCACCAGGTGCTCAGTGCGGGAGCTTTTGAGCTAGGATGAGCCAGGAAAAGGAATTTCACAAGGTAATGTCATCAGTTAAGGCAGGGACAGGACGTTTTCACTTTTTTTGTGATTCTTCAGTTACTTCAGGCCATCTGGATTTATACGTGCAGGTCACAGGGGATATGTTGGCTTAGCTTGGGCTCAGAGGCCTGACATTCCTGTCTTCTTATATTAATAAGAAAAATAGCATAAAATAGTATTGAAGTGTTGGCAGCAAAAATTTTGGGGGTGGCATGGAGAGATAATGGGCGATGTTTCTCAGGGCTGCTTCTAGAGTGGGAGAGATTAAGCTGAAGAAAGATTTTGTGGTAAGGGGTGATACTGTGGGGTTGTTAGAAGGAGCATTTGTTGTATAGGATGATTGGTGATGGCCTGGATACGGTTTTGGATGAATTGAGAAACTAAATGGAAGACATAAGGTCCAAATAAGAGGAGGAGAAAAACAGATAATAAAGGACTAAGAATTGGGAGGACCCAGGACATCTAATTAGAGAGTGTCCAAGGGGGTCCAAGAGGGTTTAGTGTAATTACTTGCTTGGTTGGCAAGTTTTTAGGCTCTATCTTTGAGTTTTTTTTATTGTTGTCATATACCAGGCCAGATTGATTTAGGTAAAAACAGCACTCTTCATGTGAAAATATACAGAGTCCCCCCCACCCTTTTTTTTTAGCAGTGAGTAAGTCAAGGCCTCAGCGATTTTGTAGGAAAGAGAAATGCAAAGCCAGCAATTGTTTGTTAAAGAAGGATTAGAAATGGCTAGGAGAGAGTGACTGAGATTGATAGTGTGGTGGAGATAGCTGGGGAGAGGTAGAGGGTGGCCTAAGAATGGGAACGAGAATAAGAGTAAGTGTAAAAGTAAAGAATAGGACTTCATCGGGGTGAAAGTATTAGAGTATACTTTGTCACCAAAGATCTTCTATCCGTTCAAACAGAGACTTAAGGGTGGCAGTTTGAGGTAAAACCAGGCGCCACTGAATACCAAGAGCCTGAGAAACTGCTTGGGTGATTTGACTAATAAAGGCCGGTTCGTTATTAGACTGTATAGAGGTGGAAAGGCCAAACAGAGGAATTTTGTCTCACAGAAGGGAAGAAATGACCATGGTGGCCTTTTCAGACCCTGTGGGAAAGGCCTCTACCCATCCAGTGAAAGTGTCTACCCAGACCAAAAGGGATTTTAGTTTCCTGACTTGAAGCATGTGAGTAAAGTCAATTTGCCAGTCCTGGGAAGAGGCAAATCCCCGAGCTTAGTGTGTAAGGAAGGGAGGGGGCCTGAACATTCCCTGAGGAGCAGTAGAATAGCAGATGGAACACTGAGAAGTGATTTCCTTAAGGATAGATTTCCATGATGGAAAGGAAATGAGAGGTTCTAAGAGGTGGGCTAGTGGCTTGTAACCTACATGGAAGAGGTTATGAAATGACGATAGAATAGAATGGGCCCGTGAGGCTGGAAGGAGATATTTTCCTTGGTCCAAGAACCATTTGCCTTGTGTGGGAAGAGATTGATAGGTGGAAGTTTCAGTGGGAGAGTAGGTGGGAGTGACCATTGAGAAGGAGAAAAACTGGCCGTGAAGGACAGAAGTTGGAATGCTAGCTGCTTCTTTAGCTACCTTATCAGCATAAGCATTGCCCTGAGCAATGGGATCTGATGCCTTTTGATGGCCCTTGCAGTGAATGACTCCAGCTTCCTTTGGAAGTAAAGCAGCCTTGAGAAGAGTTTTTATTAAAGAGGAATTAATGATGGAGGACCCTTGCGTAGTGAGGAAACCTCTTTTTGCCCATGTAACAGCATGGTGGTGCAGGATATGGAAGGCATATTTAGAGTCAGTATAAATATTGATGTGTGGTACTTTTGCAAGAGTGAGGGCCCGAGTTAAGGCAATGAGTTTGGCTTGCTGAGAGATAATGGAGGGGGCAGAGTGGTAGCCTCAATGATAGGTGTGGAAGATACTATAGTATAGCCTGCCTTTGCTGGTGAGTGGAGATTAGGCCTGGTGGAACTGCCATCAATAAACCAAGTGTGATCAGGATGAGGAACAGGAAAGAAGGAAATATGGGGAAATGGAGTGAATGTCAGGTAGATCAGAGAGATACAGTCATGGGGGTGGGGGCCAGCCTAAAACAATAAGGTCAGGTTGTTTGGACAGAAAGGCTACAGGATGCAGTCCTGGCTCTTGTGTAAGAATTTTGACTGCACAGCCCTGTACTTTCGCTGTGTGTAATGAAAAGGGTTGGGATGAGTTAGGGAGAGCTAGCATGGGGGCAGCTTCTAGGGCTGTTTTTAAGGAATGGAAAGAGGAGTGGCAAAAGGATTTAGGATCTATGGGGTCAGCTAGGTTTGCTTTTGTCAGTTTACATAATGGTTTAGTCAGGATGGTAAAACTAGGTATCCAAAGGTGGAAATACCTAACCATGCCTAGGAAGGAAAGCAGTTGTTGTTTTGTAGAAGGAGTTGGGGTTTGGGAGATTAGTCAGACATGATCAGCAGGGAGAGCACATGTGTTTTCATGGAGAATTATGCCAAGATAGGTAACAGATGAAGAAGAAATTTGGACTTGACTGAAGTAATGGGGGCTGTCCGCAAAGCCTTGCAGCAGTACAGCCCAGGTAATTTGCTGAGCCTGATGGGTGTCGGGGTCAGTCCAAGTGAAAGTGAAAAGAGGCTGGGATGAAGGGTGCAAAGGAATAGTAAAGAAAGCATGTTTGAGATCCAGAACAGAATACTGGGTTGTGGAGAGGTTGTGGAGGGAGGTATTGAGGACAAAAGAGTGTACGAGTTGGGCACTACAGGGTGGATAGGCAAAACAATTTGGTTGATAAGGTGCGGATCCTGAACTAACCTGTAAGACCTGTCTGGTTTTTGGAGAGGTAAAATGGGGGAATTGTAAGGAGAGTTTATAGGCTTTAAAAGGCCATGCTGTAACAGGCAAGTGATAACATGCTTTAATCCTTTTTAAAGCGTGCTGTGGGATGGGATATTGGCATTGAGTGGTGTAAGGGTGATTAGGTTTTAATGGGATGGTAAGGGGTGCATGATCGGTCACCAAGGAGGGAGTAGAGGTATCTTATACTTGTGGGTTAAGGTGGGGGGATATGAAAGGAAGACATGAAGGAGGCTTTGGGTTGGGAAGAAGGGTGGCAATGAGATGTGGCTGTAGTTTAGGAATAGTCAGGGAAGCAGATAATTTGGTTAAAATGTCTCAGCCTAATAAGGGAACTGGGCAGGTGGGGATAATTAAAAAAGGGTGCATAAAAGAATGTTGTCCAAGTTGGCATCAGAGTTGGGGAGTTTTAAGAGGTTTAGAAGCCTGGCCGTCAATACCCACAACAGTTATGGAGGCAAGGGAAACAGGACCTTGAAAAGAAGGTAATGCAGAGTGGGTAGCCTCTGTATTGATTAAGAAGGGAATGGACTTACCCTCTACTGTAAGAGTTACCTAAAGCATCTGTGATGGTCCAGGAGGCTTCTCAGGTGATCGGGCAGTGTCAGTCTTCAGCCACTAAGCCCAGAAGATCTGGGAAGAAGTCAATCAGAGAGCCTTGGGCCAGAGTTCCAGGGGCTCTGGGAGTGGCTGCCAGGTGAGCTGGACAGTCTGATTTTCAGTGGGGTCCCACACAGATGGGACACAGCTTAGGAGGAATCCCGGGCTGTGGGCATTCCTTGGCCCAGTGGCCAGATTTCTGGCACTTGAAGCAAGATCCTGATGGAGAAGGTCCTCTAGGAATGCTTGACTGCTGCGGCTTAGGCATTTTGAAGTTCTTGTGTGCTGGAGATGTGGCTGGGGTTTCTCTCACAGTGGAGGCAAGGAATTGCAACTCAGAAATACATTGTTACTTGGCTGACTCTACTCTATTATTGTACACCTTGAAGGCAAGGTTAATTAAATCCTATTGTGGGGTTTGAGGGCCGGAATTTAATTTTTGGAGTTTTATTTAATGTTGGGAGCAGATTGGGTAATAAAACGTATATTGAGAATAAGACGGCCTTTTGACCTTTCAGGGTCTAGGGCTGTAAAGCATCTCAGGGTTGATGCCAAACAAGCCATGAACTGGGCTGGGTTTTTATATTTGATGAAAAAGAGCCTAAACGCTAACTGATTTGGGAGAGGTTGGATAAAGAAAAAGGAGCATTAACCTTGACTATGCCTTTAGCTCCAGCCACCTTTTTAAGAGGAAATTGCTGGGCAGGTCCGGGAGGGCTAGTCGCAGAACGAAACTGGAAGCTGGACTGGGTGTGAGGAGGGGAGGTGATAGAAGGATTATAGGGTGGGGGAGCGGAGGCTAAGGGAGAATTGGAACTGGCTCGGCCTGGCTAGGAGCAGCCTGGGGAGGAGGGGAGAGGTCAGATGGGTCCGTAGAAAAGGAAGATTGGAAAGACTTAGTGACACTTGGGGTTGGAACTGAGGGGACAGGCAGGAGGGAAAGAAGGAAGATTTGGGATGAGTTGCATTGGGAACAGAGATTAGGGAGGGACGAGGGACCGATGTGTAAAAGAATGCCTGGACGTCAGGCACCTCAGACCATTTGCCCATTTTTCGACAAAAATTATCTAGGTGTTGTAGGATGGAGAAATCAAAAGTGCCATTTTATGGCTCTTTGGAACCACTGTCGAGTTTGTATTGGGGTTAAGTGGCATTGCAGAAGAAAATAAGGCATTTGGGTTTTAAGTCGGGTGTGAGTTGAAGAGGTTTTAAGTTCTTGAGAACACAGGCTAAGGGAGAAGAAGGAGGAATGGAGGGTGGAAGTTTGCCTATAGTGAAGGAGGCAAGTCCAGAGAAAAGAGAGGGTAGAGACACAGAGAGAAGGGGTGGGGGGTTCTTGCACCCCAGGAACATGGGGAAGGGGTGGGGTGTTTGTCCCCCAGGGAAGTGGAGAGAAAAGAGAGGGTAGAGACACAGAGAGAAGGAGTGGGGGGTGCTTGCCCCCCAGGAAAGTGGAGAAGGGGTAGGGGGTCCTTGCCCCCCAGGAAAGTGGAGAGAAAAGAGAGGGTAGAGACATGGAGAGAAGGGGTTGGGTGAGCAGCCCTGGGCTGCAAATGTGGGTGAGCAGCCAAAGCAGGTGTCCCCACAATTGCCTTGCCACTAAGGGAATGTGGGTGAATGACCAAGGCAGGCATCCCCACGGTGATCAGACACCAATGAAATGTGGGTGAATAATCAGGCAGGCATCTCTGCAGTGATTAAACACCAAGGGAAGACTGTCTTCCCGAATCTGTGACCAGCACTGGAGTTTTGAGTCCACAGATAAAACACATCTCCCGTATCTCTACCAAAAAAGGAAAGGAATTGAAATTAAGAGAAGGGAAAGATTGAAGTGTGGTGCCGAGATTGAAAGGAGAAAGAGGTTGAGGGATAGTGAGAGAGATTGGAGAAGAGAGTAAAGACAGGCCACTTACCCGATTTAAAATTGGTGAGATGTTCCTTGGGCTGGTTGGTCTGAGGAGCAGAGGTCGTAGGTGGATCTTTCTCTTGGAACAAAGAGCAGGAGGACAGGGGATTGATCTCCCAAGGGAGGTTCCCCGATCCGAGTCACGGCACCAAATGTCACTCGCGTCCATGTGAAGAGACCACCAAACAGGCTTTGTGTGAGCAATAAAGCTTTTTAATCACCTGGGTGCAGGCGAGCTGAGTCCAAAAAGAGAGTCAGTGAAGGGAGATGGGATGGGCTGTTTTTATAAGATTTGGGTAGATAGTGGAAAATTACAGTCAAAGGCGGATGTTCTCTGGCTGGCAGGGGTGGGGGGCACAAGGTGCTCAGTGGGGGAGCTTTTGAGCCAGGAAGAGCTGGGAGAAGGAATTTCACAAGGTAATGTCATCAGTTAAGGCAGGGACAGGCCATTTTCACTTCTTTTGTGATTCTTCAGTTACTTCAGGTCATCCGGATTTATACGTGCAGGTCACAGGGTATATGATGGCTTAGCTTGGGCTCAGAGGCCTGACATATAGCGTATACAGGTGTACACAGAAGCATAATGTTTAAATATTTTAATTTCAGTGGGTGATATAAGGGGCAGTATGATTTTTTTTCGCTTATACTTGCTGGCATTTTTCCAAAGTTTCTTTAGTGTGCCTATAGTATTCATATCCTGAGAAAAATCTTTCATGATTCTAATCTTTTTATTATTATTATTTTTTAAAGATCACTGAGAACTAAGAGCAAAATGCAAAGGGAGATCTTTTTGAGGTCTGATCAAGCCCAGCTTCACTGGAGGCTTTTAGGGGCCTCAGAGGTGTAGATGCTGGTTTAGTGCCTGACTGTGGCTCCTTAGAAAAGAACCAGCTAAATGCAGCCTGTCCTTTGCTAGAGCTGCCAATGCTGAGCTCTGACACAGAGAAACCCTGCCTCTATGATGAATATAGCCTCATGCTCCTGACTTTCAAATGAAAAACAGAAACACACATGCTTGTTAAGAACGTTTCAGCCTGGTTTGCATCATTAACTGATGAAAATGTGCCTGCAAGGACAGAATGAAATAGATTTGCCCCTCCTCCTCCAGCAACCCCTCCTATGAGGGACGTTCGTCTCTGGCTCCAGGCTCTGGCCACTTCCTGGTTAGGATTGCTAAAGGCTTCCATCAGGGAATGTTGATATGAGTCTGGAAGCGCCACAGATTTTAAAATGCCTGAATTAACAAGAAACAAGTATTCTCTAAGATATGTTAAATATTTAAGCAGATGCCCAAATCCAGCACCTAAGAAAATCTACCTTGAGGTTTTCAAAGGCACACAACATAATTTCAAGGGATAAATGCAAGAAAAAATCCTTTACCTCATGGTCGCAGGCTGGGCGCTGCACTGGTGTCCTGCAGTGTTCTGGCAAAGGCTGATTTGCTGCTTAGAAATCTGCCTGAGCTGATGGCAGATTCAGAGGAAAGGAAGCACTGTGCTGCTGATGAAGGATACCTTTATGTGTACTTGCAAATATGAAATGGAAGTGTATCCTGGCAAGTACAAACAACATAACTACACTGGTTTCCTGCTGGAGGGAAAGGAGATTTCAGCAGGGAGAGCTTTAATCTTTCTGGCTGGGCACTCAACTGGAACAACGTTTAGGGGGAATAGTGTGTAAGGAAGTTCAAGGTAGATGAAAATTTACTAGAAGGAGGATTAGCAATGTAGTGGTCAGAGAACCAGAAATCTAAAAATGACCACAGGACTAGGGTGGATTCCGGAGAACTGTTGTCATCACTAGCTAATATTAATAGTGACATCAGTAGCTAATGTTAAAAGAAAAACCTTAGACAAATTAAATTTAGTAGAGTTTAATTGAGCAAAGAATTATTCACCAATCAGGCAGACTTCCGAGCCAGAGTGGCCTCAGAGAGACTCCGGTGCAGCTGCCTGGTAGAAGATTTATGGACAGAAAAAGGAAAATGACCTATAAAAAACAGAAGTGAGGTACAGAAATGGAAGTGTTGGTTACAGCCCAGCATTTGCCTTATTTTAACATGGTTTGAATGGTTGGCCACCTTTGATTGGCCAAAACTGTGAGTGGCACAGGAGTAGGTTACAGTCTGTTTACACATCCAGTTAGGTTATAGTTTACTATGTACAGAAAAACTGTCAGGGTGAACTTAAAATATGCAAGGAGGCAGCTTTAAGTGAAACTTAATTCAACACTAATATTGATTGAGAATTTTTGCTCAGGGCTTTATAGGACTTACCTAATTTACTCCATTTTACACTCATGTGAAATATGGCCATTTAACAGATGAGTAAGAGAAGATTCAGAGAACTTAAGTGATATGCCCAAGGACAGAAGTCCAGGTCTGCCCAATTCTAGAACTTCCCTTGTTCAGTGTGTTCCTTAAGTGCAGCAAGTCTCTGGATCTAAACTATATAGTTTCTGATTTCAACTCTGAAATGCACTGCTTGTGTGAACTTGCATCCGTTCTTCATCTGTAAAGAGTGGTAGCACCTATTTCATAGGCTTGTTGTGAAGCTCTTAGAATAGTGCCTGGCACATAATGGATTCGATGAAAGTATCTGTTTTCTTTCTTTCTTTTTTTTTTATTTTTTTGAGACGGAGTTTCGCTCTTGTTACCCAGGCTGGAGTGCAATGGCACGATCTCGGCTCACCGCAACCTCTGCCTCCTGGGTTCAAGCGATTCTCCTGCCTCAGCCTCCTGAGTAGCTGGGATTATAGGCATGCACCACCATGCCCGGCTAATTTTTTTGTATTTTTAGCAGAGACGGGGTTTCTCCATGTTGGTCAGGCTGGTCTCAAACTCTCAATCTCAGGTAATCTGCCTGCCTCAGCCTCCCAAAGTGCTGAGATTACACGCATGAGCCACCATGCCCGGCCAAAAGTATCTGTTTTCATTTGCTGTTCAGAATGAGTTTTGGCCTCAGCTGTATTTCCTACTTCTGTCACCAACTGTTTGTGATATTAGATAAATCATAAAACAGGTCTCAGTTTTATGCTCAGAGAAATAAAAATCGTTGGTCTGGATGATCCTTCCAGGACCTTTCTCAGTATGAAATATGATGACTAACATTTCATGAATCCATATCCTGGAATCAAGTTCAAGGTGCAAACCAGTCTAGGTCTGAGGTTCTGGGAAAGTCACAGTAGTTCTGTGCCTTGGTTTCCATCTCTGTGGAATGAGAAGAGTAAAGTTGATTAACTCTTGCCTCATCAACAGCAACAGTGTAGACCCTGCATGTGAATGCACATGGAACACTAAAGGGAAAACTCTAATAGTACCATAACTGTTTATTCTGATGGAGAACCAAGAGCCAGGGTTGAATATCTCAGCCAGGAACACTAAGTAGGGATAGTATGTATAGTTCTCAGTAGCTGGCCCTATGATGTTCATGCCAGAGGACTGGATTTCATACCCCAATAGTGTGGCTTATTGCCAAATACCATCATCATACATCCTGCCTAATACTTTCCCTAAAACTGGCATTTATGACCTAAACTGGTTCCAAACTGAGATGTTTTCACAAACTATTGAGCTGAGAAAGTCAGACAAAAAGTGCAGTAGCGAAGTGTTTGTTTGGTTTCTGGAATATCAGTGCTTGAGTTCACATCTGTTCCTACCACTTACCAGTGGTTTGACCTTGGATAATTACTTGATCTATTGGAGCCTTAGTTTCCACATCTGTAAAGTGTTGAGTATTGATAGCAACCTTGTGGAGTTAAAGATAAATTTTGCAGTGGGCACCTGTTAAAATGTCAAGAGAGACTTTTATTTTTTTTCAAGACTATTACAATGAGAGAGACAGACTATTGCAATATGGGAGAAAGACTAAACTCAACACTGAATACAACAAGTGTGGATTTGTAGTCAACAGGCCGGATGAAGGAGTGGATGGAAAATTACTAAAAAGAACTTGCTTAGATATCAAGGCCTGGGAAAGAAGTACTTAATTGTATATCAGGGTGGGGGGGCATTCTTGATAAAGTGGCTCAGCAGGATTCTTTGCTAAAACTGGTCTCTGAAGGAGAAGGATGAGAGCCATGTTGAGGCCTAGTCAAGAAGAGGGCTCTGACTAAAAAGGAACCTGCCTAAAGTTTGGTCAAGGAGGGAATCCTTCTCAAGAGTTGCAAATACTTAACAGACAAATATTTGCCTTCTTTTTAAAATCATAAATAGCCACTGTTTTTAAAACCAAAGTTATTTATTATTTCCTCTGTGGCATGACCATAGTTGGAAATATATTAACGTGCTTTTTCTTCTTGTACTTCTTTGTTTAAGACTTTTCACCTATAATATCTGAGGCAAGAGTTTCTTTAGGGTAAATTGGGATTATAATAGCTGGAATGCAAAGAGGTAAACAGAATTAATATTCAGCCATGAATTCCAAAATTGGCCATTGAAACCAACTTCAGAAATGATACCATTAAAAAACACTGGAGCAGCTTAGTCAGAAATTTCTACTTTGGAATAATAACGAGGAAGAAGGCATCAGATAAAACATCCTCACACATTCTATCTTTAGTGAAACCAGATGGTGAAGAAAACTTCAGACTTCCAACCGACACATAAATATGGGCTACGGTCAAAAGTAGCAGAAATCAGCAGAACCAACATGAGAAACTCTGACTGGAGATGAATGGGTGAAGCTGGGACCAACTTAAAATGGGGACAGTGTTTGGAGATGGCAGATCACAAAATTAGAATTGAGGGTCCCCTCCTAGGAGAGACCGTCACTCTGAGTGCAAACTTCTGAAAGCAGAAATGTAATCCAGCTGTGTTTAACGCCAGGCGAGGCAGTGGGAGGCGAAGGGAGAATGTACCCAGGAGACCCCTCCCCTGCCTTCTAGTGTCTCAAGGAACCTTTCCTGTTTGCCTGAGAGCACGTTCACTTTTTACCTGACTATGGAGGGAGATTCTTCCTTTTGTTTTTTTCTTTGCTACACATTGATACCCTTAAATTTTTTGCATATGTTTTCTAATTATAAAAATAAAAATCTATATATTATAAATTCATCAGTATAAACAAAATAAAAGTCTGAAGTTAAACTTGGATCATAATGTGCTTTAATCACTCCCCATCCATGTTGTTTTGTAGCTGTGGTTTTCAATTCAATGATAAATCTTGGGTATCTCTCCATGTCAGTACTTATAATCTTGCTATTTTTTTTCAAGGACAACATTTAATAGGCATATTTTAATGTTTAATTAATGTATTTTTGCTGGACATTTAAGTCATTTTCAGATTATCACTATTACAAACAATGTTGAAGTGAATATCACTGTATGTCCGTCTTTGTACAATTGTGTGGGTTTTTCAATACGATGCATTCCGGAAATTAGAATTTCCAGGTCAAAGAAATTGACCAGATGCTTCACACCATGTCTTAAATCCTGGCCCCATTTTTTGTCCAAAATGGTGTTGAGTTGCTATTTAATTCACACTTGGCTACCATTTCCCACTTCCTTACTTAAGTACAGTGTGTATAGGCCAGGTTTAGGCTGGAAAATCCCTCCTTCCACTGTCAATTCTGTTACCCCTCTGGGAGCATGGGAAGGTCACTTTTTGTTTGTGGGTTTATATTTTCCTATTACTTTCTCAGGAAATGAATGAATTTTTCTATCAATTGTTCTCTATCATCCCTTGTGGTTTGGCTCGAAGCCCTGGTCTCCAATCAAGGGTCATGACAGGAACTTGGCTCCTGCCAATACATTTAGAAATCTGGAATCCTTCCATAAATGCAAACCCCTTACACTCCCATCTTTCCCTATATTCTGCCACCTGGTAGAAAGCAAATCCCTGAATGCTTCTCCAAAACTCTCTTCCAACCCTAGGACCACCAAAGGCCTCCCTCACACTCTTCATTTATCTGCTAATTCATTCTCTCTCTCCTTTTCTAGAAAATAGTCCTCTTTGGCTTAACTGGTTGGAAATTACACTCTCAGTAAGCTAAGAGGGAAGGAATAAGAGGATATACCATACTATGGGCAGGGAGGGTGGTGAAAGGCCAGGGTTCATTTCAGCTTTAAAGCACTGGAGCTCCAAATGGACACAAATCATCACATAGAAACTCATGATCAGTGCACTTTAGAATGCTTCTCATCTCCCTTTGGGGGTTATTCTATTTCTATTAATGTAGTCAAGAATGGTGGCTATTTTTCTGGGCCAGATTATTTTGGTACTAACTGGTCTTTCACAGAAGCCATTTTCTCAAGTATGTTCTACATTAGCTACAAGCAATTGTTGGTAAAAACCTGTTACCATTCTGTATGTTTCCATTATATATATGTCTCTGTGTGTGTGTGCATATGAAAGAAGACTATATATTATTTTTATCAAAATATATTTAGACCATGTACATTCTTTTAATTATACTATATATAAAAGTAATTTTATATTACATATTTTAAAATATAAACATATGTAAATAATATTACTATAACACATATGTAAGTAATATATATTTTGTGTTCTTCCATAATTACTTTTTTTAACCTAGACTGAAGATTTTACATTTTTCACAATTCAATTATATTTTATGAGACTTCTTACTTTTCCAAAGCATAAAGAACTATTTGGAGCCTGTCTTTGTAATTTTATATTTTTGGTTAATATTCCAAACTAAGATAACATTGCCAGGTCTTCCAGGTCTGAAGCAAAATAGAGCAGCATTTTAGTTGTGTGGCCCTGGGGAACTTGCTTAACCTCTCTTTCCCTCTGCTTCCTATCACAGATGTTTATTGTAAGGATTAAATCAGCTAAACCAAGAAAAGCCTCAGGGATGGTGCCTGGCAAACTGCACGCTGTTAATACATGTTAGTGGACCCTTCTCCACACCTTCCTGCTACACTAAAGCAGAGAGAATTACCTCCTGAATCATGTTTGCAGAACTTCTGGGCACAGTGACTCAACTCCCAGCTATTCTTGTCATGGATTTTTTCTCTTGGAGCCAATCCAGCCATGGAGATCACTGGTCTTGTGACTTATTTTTTCTCTTTCAGTATGAAATCATTAGAACTGAGAAAATGAAAACATTCCTGTTATTACTTCCTGAGAGAAAGAAACTTAGTAACATGCTTTGGTAGGAATTGTTCTTCTTTTTCCTGCTGTGTCCCTCTTGCTGGTCCCACCAGGGCTCTTGGTCCTGAGCCTGATTTACACCAGGAGCATAATCTGATCAAAAAGAGGGAAACTAAAGAAAAAAGGCAGGATTGTATGAGGGGTTCTCACAATGGCAGTACATAATCCCTTATACCTCGTATTATGTAGACCCCTGTGTTTCCAAGTTACCTTTGTAATTTAGGTAAGTGAGCACGAAACACTTAAAAAAACACAAATGAAAACAAGAGAAAGGAAAGAGTGGGGAGGGGTTTGTTTATTTTTGAAAACAACGACAACAACATAGAGTAAAAGTTACCAGGTAAGTTCAAATATAGTAGTACTTTGTTTTCTTGGAAGATGAATGAAAGAAGTCACCTTACTGCCTCCAATCCAGTCATATCCCTGAACCCAATCATGACCAGCAGAGGTTGTTCTAAATTGTTTCCTCCAATATAGAGATAATTGCCAATAATTTTTCAGTGGTTGTTTTCTGTATTCTCTGTATTTTTTAGGGAAGCTGAACTCAGAAAACATACTTTGTCCATCTAGCCATCCATTTATCTTTATGGATCCATCTTTATTCATTCATTAATTCACTCAGTCAATATATATTGAATTTCAACCATGTGTCAGACACTGTTCCATGCCTCTAATGTTCTGCGTATAATGCAAGTAAAACTAAAGATAGCTAACATTTATTGATCCCTACCGATGTGCCAGTAACCCTCTTAGGTGTTTTACTTAAAATATGTGTTTAACCTCTGAAACAGCTTTATGATATATATTGTGATTATCTGCTTTTTAAATACGAGAAAGCAGACTCAAAAGGATTACATAACTTGTATAAGATCGCACACTTGTAAGTAAAAATGCAGTAATGCAGAAATGCAGTAACGCTATTTCCTCTCGTATTGCAGCCACTCCACTCCCAGCGAACCTTCCTACTGCATGCAGGCTTTATTCTTCCATCACTTTCCTCCTCTGTTTCTAAATGACATTTTCACCCCCATTTCCTGGATACTTCCTTCTTTTAATACACAGTAAGTTTATGTGACTGGGTTTGGCATTCATCTAATAAAAACAGCCATTAGGTATATATTCAATAAACATTTAGTGAAGCCAACTGATGAGCTCTGGGGTGAGTACTAGGGATTCAGCAGTGAATGAGATGGAGGGTCGAGACAGGGCTCTGGGGGCTAGGCTGCCTTCGTTCGACCTCAGACCTGCCACTCGCTAGCTCCTCTAGCCATTATTTAGTATTTCTGTTGCAGTTTCCTCATCTATCAAATGGGAATAATAATGGTAATTATTAATTAATTGATATTCTAATTTTCAATTAAAAATCTAATGGAGTTGTCAGGATTAAATGACTTTATACATGCAAACCACTTAGAATAACACTTTGCAGCCACTAAATATTAAATAACTGGCATATGTTATTATTATTAGATGGATCCTACCCTCAAATGCCTTACAGTTTGGTAGACAGAAAAATAAGTCTCTTCCAACGATACTGTTAAACTAATCAGAAACTTGGTTAAGGTCATTTGATCATCTAAGGCTCTACAACAGTACAGTTTTACAGCTCTTATTTTAAAATGTTCCCCTCTAATCCATAAAGATATCTCAAGATAGGGCAATGCCATTACTTGGTGTATTATAGTTAACCAATACTGTATGTGGAACATAATGTGGTGTGATACTTTTGAATTTGTGTCTATCTGCTGTTAAAGAGCCTGGCTGCTAATTGAGTTTCTGGAAAAAGTTGAGAAATGTCTTAGCTCAGGCTGGTATAACAAAATAACAGAGGCTGTAACTACAATCACACTTGCAAGTAGAAGATCTTTGCTTCAAACCTAGCAGTCTGGCTCTAGAAATCAGGACTTGGATGAGGGTGAAGTGAGTGAGGGCCTAGGGCATAAAATTTAAGGAGATACTTACTCTGCAGGTAGTTCAAGTGCTGACCACACATTTGCAAGACGTGAGAGTGAGTGTCTTCTTAATGTGCATTAAGTGCCTTGCTTACCTTACCTATCTAGACCCAGCCCTATCCAGAGCCTACCTTTTACAACTCTACCTTTTAAAGCTTAGCATCCTCTACAAAATTATACTATGGAGTAGAAAGGTTGTACTGTGAACTGAGCTGGCATTATTCTCACACAAGCTATGTACTTCAGCATCAAAGATAGTATTAAAATAGATGCAATCATAACATAATCTCCATACACTGCAGTTAGAAAGTTATTTATGAAGCATCTGGTATATCTGGACATACAATCATCAAGTCACCTGATAGCCCTAGAGCTGGAATGAAATTTGAGAGGATCATTTGGTAAAAGGCATATACTTTAAAAAAACTGAGGCTTAAAAAAGTAAAATAATTTTCACAAAACGACAGAGCCAGAATTGGCAGAAATGAAAGTAGATCACTAGTTTTCTAATCCCAGTTTCACTCGATATCTCTGATTGTGTATTAGTCAGGATCCAGCAACAGAGGCAGAGCCACTGGAAGGGATATACACGTTTCTTTTGGGTATTTGATCTTATGCAATTGTGGGAGCTGGCCAAGCCGGTTCTGTAAGGCTCTTGATTTCATGTCTGGTACTGAAGCTTCAAGTACATAAGGCAGGTGGAAAAAATGGGAAGATGGATGAATGTCCAGTGGGCAGGACAAGGACAGGCTGGAACCACAACCACGAGCTGCAGTTCCACAAATACGGACTAGAACCCAAGTCAGCTCTCACTGCCTCTAACCCCTCCTGCAGGAGAAGCAGGAGCCCTTCATCATGGAGCTAACTACACACCTGGCCCAGGATTCAGAGATGCTGAAGGAGGATTCAGGGGAAGTTGGAGTAGTTGCAGGTCTGGTACACCAAGGAGTTAACCCAGGAGATGGGCCATAGTATTCTGTGGTTCACAAACACACCTGCTTGAACGTTCCAAGCATAAAAAGGCTAAATAGTTGCTTCTTTTCCACCCTCTAAATCACATGCAAAAATGTCTACTGACTCATCCTGACTGAAAACACGAGGAAATTCTGGGAAACACAGTTCAGCCTAGCTGAGTTGAGACATTATTTATTATAAAGCCCCGACAGTTTCAACTCTACTTCTTTACCTAGCTCAGACACTGTCATGTGAGCCTTTTGGCAGTGTCTCTTAAGATAGAATGCCTTTTCATTTTAAGAAAACATTAAAGAATAAAATGCATTCTTGACTTCTGCAATGATGGCAGAAGTCATAGCACCAGAAGCCTCTTCTAATAATGCAGCAGCATCAACAAATTAATTCATTCTGCATCTTTGTGTGTTATAGGAGGAAGAAAACTCCAATAAAGTCTGTCTCAACAGAGGTCACCTCCCACCCATCAGACACGGAAATTCCAGTACCTGCTGGGAGTTCTGGTGGCCATCCTTATCCCTAGTCTCTTGTCATTGTTCAAGGATTAGGGAAAATTCCTCTCAACCTGCTAGATTTCAGCAGCAATAAACGGGATTGTTTATAGGGTCAGTGAGCCCAGGATACTAAGGGACAGACATCAGTCAAAAGCATTTTCCAAAAAAATCCTTTATATTTTAATCAAATCACTATAAAGACATGATGTGTCCTAGTTTCTCAGATGTTCAACCCAACAGTCTCTTTCTTTAACTTCTGGGCTGCCTTTCAGAACTGAGCAGAGTTGTATCCAACACAAAAGACTGTCTGGACTCAGGCACCGTACACATACCCCGTCACTGCTCCTCTCCATTGAGGTAATCTGTTTTTTCTCTAATCATCTCCAAATGATTGATAATGTTGATACCCACATATAAGTTTTTCTTTATCATTTGGACATTAAAAGGTGAGTTTCCTGTGTTCTTTAAAAGAGACAATAGAAAGCAATCCTTTGCTCTACTTTAGACCTTTATTATTACTTAATTAAATTATATCTCACAGGAAATGTTAAATCATTTCAAATAACCAAAAAATCCCCCAGTGAGCTTCTGCACTTTTGTCCAAGGGCCACTGGCACACAAACTCCAGTAGTTCCTATAGTTTTATGTGTCTCATGGATCCCAGGAATGTGACTTATGTCTATAATGCTGTTCTATAGTGGCAGTGGCAAACTTTTTCTGTTAAGAGCTAAATAGTAAATATTTTCTTCGGCTTTGTGGGCAGTATGGTCTATGTATCAACTACTCAACTGTGCTGTAAAAGTAGTGTAAAAGCAGTCATAGACAATACAAATTCCAATAAAACTTTATTTACAAAAACAGGTGGCAGACTGGTTTCAGCCCACGAGCTGTAGTGTGTTAACCTTTGCTCTCTGGCCCTATGAATTCTTCATGTTCACAGAGCATCTTGAAGAAATGAGGCCCAATAAAATACCTGGTTTTATTTCAAATCTGCCTTCTTGCTGTAAATGACCTACAGCTCAGGAATATCTCAATGAATACCCACACATGTTATCTGTCTTTACATCGGCTAAAACCTTTGACTAGATTATGAGTACTGTCCTGTCAGTTGTGATTCTTCTTTCCCTAGCAGGCTCCTCACAGCTCCCCAATTCACAATATTTTTCTCAGCACAACACTTTCCAGGGTGTCAAAATGTTCTTAACCATCAGCTCTGTTTTCTCAGAGCCTTTGTTGATGCTTTACAGAAGCCTAGGTAAATTGGGTTCCAGTGCTCCTGGTCTCCTGAGCTCCTGCTACATTGACACTGTGTTTATGCCACTTGTGTTGATCCAGATGTGATATTAACTTCCCAGTACCCCCAAAACAGTCACACATAGTGCCACAAATGCTTCCTCTGGCTCATCCAGCAACCCCTACCTCTGACTCCATTTCCATTTTTCCAGAGGACACTCAGCTCATCCTCTCATCTTCCTCCTATAATGAGGGACAATATGTTCTACTCTGACTCTAGAAAATGTATCAAGTTAATTTCTTTTACAAAAAACAAAGAGAAAAATAGAAAGGAATTCCTTATGCTTCCCTCCCCTCCACCAAAAGAGGAATTCTGATGTTAACTGTTTAGTCTTCATTTCTAAGACAGGGCACAAGGTTGTAGCTAGTGTTTATAACTTCTTTCTTTTACCTATCTTCAGAGTGACCAGACAACCTACAGAATGGGAGAAACTTTTTGCAATCTATGCAGCTGACAAAGGTCTAATATCCAGCATCTGTAAGGAACACATTTATAAGAAAAAAACAACTCCATTAAAAAGTGGGCAAAGGACATGAACAAACACTTCTCAAAAGAAGACATACATGCAGACAACAATCAAGTGAAAAAAGCTCAACATTACTGTTCATTAGAGAAATGCAAATTAAAACCACAATGAAATATCATCTCACGCCAGTCACAATGGCTGTTAATAAAACGTCCAAAAATAATAGATGCTGGCGAGGTTGTAGAGAGAAAGGAACACTTTTACACTGTTGGTGGGAGTGTAAATTAGTTCAGCCATTGTGGAAGACAGTGTGGTGATTCCCCAAAGACCTAAAGGCAGAAATACCATTCAACCCAACAATCCCATTACCGGGTATGTACCCAGAGGAGTATAAATCATTCTATTATAAAGACACATGCACGTATATGTTCATTGCAGCACTATTCACAATAGAAAAGACATGGAATCAACCTAAATGCCCCTATGATAGATTAGATAAAGAAAATGTTGTACACATACACTATGGAATACTACGCAGCAATAAAAAGGAATGTGATCATGTCTTTTGCAGGGACAAGGATGGAGCTGGAGGCCATTATCCTTAGCAAACTAACACAGGAACAGAAAACCAAATACCGCATGTTCTCACTTATAAGAGGGAGCTAAATGATGAGAACACATGGACACATAGAGGGGAACAATGCACATTGGAGCTTACTGGAGGGCAGGGGGTGGGAGGAGGGAGAGGATCAGGAAAAATAACTAATGGGTACTACGCTTAATACCTGGATGGTGAAAGAATCTGTACAATCAACCCCCATAACACACATTTACCTATGTAACAAACCTGAACATTGTGCATATGTGCCCCTGAGCTTAAAACAAAAGTTTTTTTTAAATTTTTTTTTTTTAAGACAGAGTCTCACTCTGTGTGCCCAGGCTGGAGTGCAGTGGTGCAATCTTGGCTCACTGCAGCCTCAGCCTACCAGGCACAAGTGATCCTCCCACTGCAGCCTCCTGAGTAGCTGAGACTACAGGTGCGTGACAATGTATCTGGTTAGTTTTTGTGGGTTTTTTTTTTTGTAGAGTTGGGGTTTTGATATGTTGTCCAGGCTGGTCTCAAACCCCTGAGGCTCAAATGATCTGCCGGCTTTGGCCTCCCAAACTGTTGGGATTACAAGCGTAAGCCACTGAGCCCAGCCTATGACTTCCTTCTTTTACCACCTGTTCCATATTACACTTGCCCTTGGCAAACACTGGTTCTTGTCATGACTCCTTATCTGGTGAGCTGTCCCATACCTTCATTCTTAAAGGGTCACTGCCATTAGCAGTCCTCACTGCATTGAATTGTTTTCATTTTAATATTGATTTCAGGATATGGAAATACAAAGAGGCACCCCAGAAGACCTCCTGCAAGCCACCATACTCCTCCTTACCCTCACTGTGTGGTAGCAACCCCATTTTCCCTTCATAGCCAGGATAAATCACCCATCAGAACAATAATCACCTTTTTTAAGCCTGCTGGTTAATTAGCATAAGGAGTACAAAGTGGCTGGGGACAGTTTTACTTTCCAGGTTAATGAAGCTACAAATCAATGTAAATCCATCACTCTGGTCATCTCTCCTTCTAGGAACAATGAACATCCAGGTGAACCGTTCAAAGCTCTTTCCACTGGGGGAATGTCCCATAACCACTGTCCTTCAGAATCATCCCTAAATGTGACAGGAGTACTGCATTGGCCATTTTTGGGTGATGCCAGTGTATTGTGCAGAACCATCTATAAAGTAGACCAAATAGTCTCTTCCTCAGTCAACTGGTCACATGGAACTCCCCATGAGAAGACAGATGAGAGAGAAGGGGCAATGTAGTATGAGTAGGGGTCACAGGAATCTTGCTCATGTGACTTGTGCCTTCAGGACCTACATAAGTCTAATTTCATTTACCACTTCCATGTGATGGAATACTGCTGTGCACACTCAACTTTAAGGTTTGATGGGTCAGATAACATCCAATTCATAGCTCAGGTCTTGGGCCATCGTTAAACATTCAGTCTCTACTAGAGCCCCAAAGTAAGCCAGCCACTGTTCATCAAAAGAATAGTTATCTGCAGGGGATGACATAGCTGTGCTCCAAGATCCTAAGGGTATCTTCTGTGATTTACCTGCTAAAGGTGCCATAGAGCCTCCCTATCTGTCACAGACACTTCGAGCACCATCAGATCTGTTGGGTCGTATAACATGAGTAGCAGAGCAGCTTGCCTTTAGCTTAGAGCTGTTGCATTCTCTTGTTCTGGGCCCTACTCAAAGCTGGCAGCCTTTATGGTTATTCAGGAAGTGGGCTAGAGGAGCAG
The DNA here is from genome assembly GCF_000001405.40 of Homo sapiens. Classification (NCBI taxonomy): domain Eukaryota; kingdom Metazoa; phylum Chordata; class Mammalia; order Primates; family Hominidae; genus Homo; species Homo sapiens. Next base: position 89,270,630 of record NC_000010.11, on the reverse strand, counting down.
GCCCAAATGAGGTATATGTTGACCTCCAAAGAGGTCCACTAGGATCAGTGCCTCTTTTTCAGTGGTAGAAGAAAACAGATACAGAAATGTATCCTTCATATTGGAAAGGATATATCAACATGCTCCAGAAAATGGACTTCTGGAAATTGCAATAAGGTGGCAGTCCTCTGAATTTATAAGGGGTTTATTTCCCACCCACTTGTGTCTTGCCAAGGTGTCTAGAATGCTTGCTATTTCCTGCTTACTTGGTCTAAATCAGCAAATACTGTCAGTATCACATTGGACCACATGATGTATTGTGAAATGGAGAAGTGATAAGTTTTGGCAGGTAAAAATCTTTGCAGTTCTGGAGAATTACATATCCCTAAAATGGGACAATGAAGGTGGATTTCTGGCCCTGACTGGTGGAAGCAAACTGCTTCAGCTGATCTTTACCAACACAAATAGACAATATAACATTTGTCAAATATATTGTGGCACACCACATGCTAGGGAATGTGTCAACTTTCTCCAAGGAAAAGACATTTAGAATAGTAGCTAATTTGGAGTGACCACCTGGTTAAGTTTTAATAATCCACAGCTATTCACCAAGGTCCATCTGCACTTTGCACAGACATAATTGAGCAATCCTTCAAAGAGGAAGAAATTGGAGTAAAGGTCACACAACTTATGTCTGACCAGAATACAAAGCTGTGTGTCTCCAAAGTCTAGGCCCACATACCCACAACTGAAGACCTTAGTGGCTCTGTAAACTCATCAGGTTGCTACCTACAAATCTGTACCTGCAGATTCATTACTAAAAATTAGTCTCACATTTTAGTAAAGAATAAAGTTTAAAAAAACCTCATCCTCCCCCAAATTTTTAATACAGCAAAGTATGGAGAGTCAGTTATAGGACATTAACCTTTGGTAAGGAAATTAATATTTTTGAAGCTACAATTGCATTGCTGTATTGCCAACGCATCGCTTTAAATTTCCCCAAAAGAGGAACATATAAGCTTCAGAAACTCCAGTCTCTCATGTACAAACTTTCATGTCATCTTAAAGTATTATATGGTTGACTTCAGAGAAAATTAATGATTATGTCATCAAAGTTTTATTTGTCGAATATGTTGAAGCCTTTGCACAATGTTGAAGAGAAGAATAAAATATTAATTAGAGCAAAAAAAAAATCCTTAAAGATATACCTACATTAGACCTAAAAGTTTTGTTTCTAGGACATGATCCTAGTGAAATTACCATGGATATAGAGCGTATCCTGGCTTAAAAAATAGAAATAAACTAAACTTCTTAAAGTATTATTATTATTTTTTTGACTCTGTCACCAGGCTGGAGTGCAGTGGTGAGATCTTGGCTCACTGCAACCTCTGCCTCCCGGGTTCAAGTGATTCTCCTGCCTCAGCCTCCCGAGTAGCTGGGACTACAGGCATGCGCCACCACGCCCAGCTAATTTTTTTTTGTATTTTTTAGTAGAGACGGGGTTTCACTGTGTTGGCCATGATGGTCTCGATCTTTTGACCTCAGGTGGTCCACCTGCCTCAGCCTCCCAAAGTGCTGGGATTAGAGGTGTGAACCACCGTGCCTGGCCCTAAGTATTTTTAAATAAAGTAAATCATTTAAAGTATTTTTATACTTTTTTTTTTTTGAGACAGAGTCTGTCTCTGTCGCCCAGACTGGAGTGCAGTGGTGCTATCTTGGCTCACTGCAAGCTCCGCCTCCCAGGTTCACACCATTCTCCTGCCTCAGCCTCCCGAGTAGCTGGGACTACAGGCGCCCGTCACCGCGCCCAGCTAACTTTTTGTATTTTTAGTAGAGACAGGGTTTCACTGTGTTAGTCAGGATGGTCTCAATCTCCTGGCCTCGTGATCCACCCGCCTCAGCATCCCAAAGTGCTGGGAAGCATTTTTAAATAAAGTACATCATTCAAATGATTTAAAGTAAATCATTGTAACTCCAGATGACAAAATAATACATGCAACCATTAAAAATGATTTCAAAAAATACTGAATGACATATTTAGATTTCTACTATTGAGTGGGAATAAAAGTAGATAACTAAATAATATATATAGCTTGAGCCTATTTTTGTGAAATTATGTATCAGAGGAAAACAAGTTTGAAAGTACATACCAAAATGGTAACTATATTGAACCTACATAGTAACTAGAATCCATTAATAATCAGCAAATAAATTGGATTTATAAAAAAAATTACTGTCAGGAAAAATATTTAAAAAACACAATCAACTAACATCTATTGAGTGCAAGGCACTATTCTAAGCACTTAACACATATTATCTTATCCAAAATTTGAGATGTCCCTAGACAATATTAATTCTATTTTACAGAAGAGAACTCTAACTCAAGAAGAAGTTAAAAATCTTACACTAGTTTGCACAGCCAGCAAATTGTAGATTTTGCCTTGAATGTGGGCAGCCTGACCCCTGAGTCTGCACTCCTAACTACAATCCTGGACCTCCTATTTTCCTCTTCCAAAGGAGAGTGGATAAAGATCATATGAAGGATATCTCCCATGTAGTATTGAGTATTGGGGCACACATTACATGAACAGGAGGGTTGAAGATAATTTTAAAATAGATAATTTGTGGGAGTAAACTTGATGTTCATAAACAAAGATATTTTAAGTTTCATACTCATAGCCACCCACAGCTTATTCCCCATTCCTTAACTCCCCTGAGTTCCACTTTCCATTATTCTCCACCCTGCCCTATAAAGTGGGAGGTTTACAGCAGAGACTATACTTGCCGGTTCCAGTGTCCTCCGGCTACTGGTTGGGTTTTGTTGACAGGCGGCACCTGCAGGAGATTGAAAGGATGGAGAAAGTGATGGTAGAGTAATTATTTCTTTCTTTTTTTTTTTTTTAAGTTTCTTTTTTTTTTTTTATTATACTTTAAGTTTTAGGGTACATGTGCACATTGTGCAGGTTAGTTACATATGTATACATGTGCCATGCTGGTGCGCTGCACCCACTAACTCGTCATCTAGCATTAGGTATATCTCCCAATGCTACCCCTCCCCCCTCCCCCCACCCCACCACAGTCCCCAGAGTGTGATATTCCCCTTCCTGTGACCATGTGATCTCATTGTTCAATTCCCACCTATGAGTGAGAATATGCGGTGTTTGGTTTTTTGTTCTTGCGATAGTTTACTGAGAATGATGGTTTCCAATTTCTTTGGTTCTCTCCCTGCTGGGACTGCCTGGAGCAGGCTGTGTCAGTCTACTAAGGAATAATTTTCCTTTCAGGGAAGCTTCTGTGAGACTTTCTCCTTCCATTTTCCAGTAACAATCTCATCTCTCTGAGCCTAAGGGTGGTTAACAGCTGAACTGCTACTACCTGGGGCTACTGCACTATCTTATGCTTCCCCTGCCCAACAACTGTTAAATAGTCTGTTTGCAAATCAGCTGTCTTTGAATCATTCCATTTTGAATGCCCTTGTTAGGATCCTGACATACAAGTTGTGATTCCTGTGTTCATAAAGCTGACACTGAGTATTTTGGAAACACATCACGTGAACAGGAGGGTTGAAGATAATATAAAAATAGAGAATGTGTGGGAGTAAACTTGATGGTTATAAACAAAGATATTTTATTTGACATTCATAGCCACCCACACCTTATTCCCCAGTCCTTATTTCTCTGTCCTGGATAGACTAGATACACTTCAGGAATATTTGTAAAGCATGTTGCATGGTAATCTTGATGCACTCTGCAGTTTTACAGATGCTGCTATCTCAGAATAATTACACAAAAGCAATTCTCTCTGCAGTTCTCAGGGCAATATACAGAGCTTCTGGCAAACACAGACATTAAGTCACAGAACACTTTGTAGACCATTCTTGCTCTGGAACAGATTTATGAGGTTACTTGGTAGACCCTCTTTAATTAGAAACTGGGAAATGGAAAATAGTCAGACATGAGTAAAACATTTTTTTATAAAGCCCCCTTATTTTCCACTCAAGATAACACAAAGTACAGATTGAGTATCCCTTATCCAAAATGCTTGGGACTAGAAGTGTTTCAGATTTTGGAATATTTGCATATACATAATATTTCAGGCACGGGATCCAAGTCTAAACATGAAATTCATATGTGTTTCATATACACCTTATACACATAGCCCGAAGGTAATTTTATATAATATTTTAGATCATTTTGTGCATAAAATAATGTTTGTGTACACTGAACCATCATCAGAAAGTAAAGGTGTCACTATCTCAGCCACACATGTGGATAGTCTGTGGTTGTTTGGCATCACCATCATTCTTGACTGAATTTATATGCTACCAATACACAGTCATTTTCTTACATTAATTCACACATAAGAATTTTACATAAAAAAAGACATATCATTAATACAGTAAGAAAGAATGTGTTTAGTGTAACTAAACAGCACCGTAGCATCACTGGAATATCTGCGTCAGCTGTTAAATGACAGCAACAACAAACAACAGCAGGCTTTCAGTCTCCACCTACGATGCTGTGTTTTGATTAAAAAGTTACTGTACAAGGTATTTTTTATGTGAGAATCTGAGGATAGAAAACATATATCATATGTAGAAAACATACATCACAGCTGAAGGGGGCTGGGAGGTTCTTTCTTAGGGACGCTGAATAAACTGTGTGTTGTACACATGCATTTTGATTGCAACTTGTCACATGAGGTCAGAATGGAATTTTTCATGTTGGCCCAAAAATGCTTTGAATCCCGGAGCATTTTGGATTTTGGATTTTTGGATAATGGATGCTCCACCTGTAATAATAACATAGCATCTTCTTTGGTTTTTAGTTCTCTCATGTTGAGGTCTCTCTCATTAACTAGTGAGCTATTTTACAAGTCTGAACACAGCAAAGATTGGAGAACTTGCAATTTAGGAGGAGCCAATGGAAAATGTTTGTCTATAGTCAAGCACCATGGACAACATCTTTTATGAGTTTCCAATCTTTCCCAGTGTTAGAAACTAGACTGCATATTATCAATACTCACTAGATATTAATTGACCCTATGAACAACATTTTAAAAATGTAAAAGGAAAGTAAAATAATTCCAATTCAAGTCCCAAAGAACAAAAGCATCTTTTCTGTATCACTTGGTTTATGTAGCTGAAAGCTACTTATACACTGTTCAAAAATGATTTTCCACAAAAGGATATGTTTACTGATTCTGATGGCAGCAGCGGCCCATCTGGAGTGGCCTCTGCGAAGACGCCAGCTGCACCAGGGGAGGTGTGACCAGGACTGTGTACTCCATGGAGATGGTGGGAGCCCTGTCCCCTTCCGAGTTGGCAGGTCAGGAGCCCCACCCTCCCAGGCACAGCTACAGCTGCCCAGCTGTAGCTGCAGACCTAGGCATCCCTGCAGTTTGGGGGCCCAGGACCCCATGGCCCCCACTCCCCAACCCCCTGCACCCCACTCCTTTCCCCTCACCCCTGCAAGCTCAGAAGTGCCTGCTCCTACTGCCTGGCCTCTCCCTGCTCCTGGCACCCACTCCAGAACAAAGTTGTGGCCAAGCCTAGGTGCTGCTGTGACCTGGTTAGGTGTGGATGTGCTCAGGGTGGCACCAACATGCCAGCCCCCTGCTGCCTGGGCCTCCTCCAGACTTTGGGGGCCAATGAGCATGGGAGGGAGGCTGAAGAGGATGGTGCTGAGGGTTGCTTAGCATGGGCCTGTGGGTTCCCCTCAGCACAAACAGCCCAGGGGCCGTGGATGACACGCAGATGGCAGCAGGAAGCAGATAGGCCCCTGGGCAGAAAGGGGCAGTCCCAGTGAAGCACCACCTTGAAGCCAGGGAGGGCCTGAAGCCTGGGGGCCAACCTATCAGTTCCAGGTGGTGTCCACAGCCCAGAGTGAGAACTTATGGTGCTTTTTCTGGGCCCACCCATGGCCGCCCATGGACCAATCAGCATACACTTCCTCCCTTATGAGCCCATAAAAACCCAGGACTCAGCCAGACTGGGACAGATGTCAGGATGACCTGCCTACGGATAGGAGCTACCCACTCTGGGTGTCCTCTCTGCTGAGGGCTGCACACTTGTCAGGACAACCTGCCTGTGAATAGAAGCTACCCACTCCAGGTTTCCTCCCTGCTGAGGGCTGCACACTTGGGATTACCTGCTTGTGGATAGGAGCTACCCACTCCAGGTCTGCTCTCCACTGAGCTGCACACTCATTGGGACAATCTGCTTGAAGATAGGAGCTACCCACTGGGGGTCTCCTCTCCTCTGAGGGCTGATCACTTGTTGGGACAACCTGCCTGTGGAAAGGAGCTACCCACTTTGGGTCTCCTGAGAGCTGTACTGTTGCTCAATAAAGGACTTCTTCACCTTGCTCACCCTCCAGTCGTCTGCATATTTCATTCTTCCTGGATGTGGGACAAGAACTCAGGACCCCCTGAATGGTGGGACTGAAAGAGCTGTAACACAAATAGGGCTGAAACATGCCCCTACCACCCCCCCTGCTTGCCATGTTGCCAGCAATGAGAAGGAGAGAAGGGCAGCAGAGAAGAGCAGAGGCCCTTCCAGGAGCCCAAACCTAGAGGCTCCCCAAGCCAGGGCTGTGCCACCCTCTTTGGGGCACTGTGGTTTCTGGCTTCTCCAAGTTTCTGGATGCCAGCACACTCCCCTTATCCAGACTTGGGTGTCCATAGGAGAAGCTGCTTGTGGTGCATCTGATCCAGCAGTAGGCTTGCACAGAACTGGCATCTGTACTGGTGCCTGCAGCTGCCCACCCCACCAGAGCAGCTGGCTTGCTGACTCTCCACAGTGGCTGGACCCCACACTCACTTGCTTATGCACCTCTCACCACTCTACACCTGGCTTGACCTTGGAGGCGTGGGATCTGGTTGGTTAGCATGAGCCAAGCACAGCCTGCCAGGCCAAGTGGGCAAAACAAGCCCAGCAGGCCTGAGTAAAGCTCAGGCAAAGGTGCCAACAGCCACACAGGCTTCTGGCTGGAAAAGTGACACCCTAAGGATCTTATGACAGTTCCATATGCTATCAGTACTTCTTTGAACTAAATCTATGCTTCTCAAGCAACTTTTGATTAATCATAACTTTCTGTGTAGGTTTTGTATTGCTTTTGCATGATATGTTTGGTAGGGTTAGAGGACAGGAGAGTTTTTACCATGGCAAATAGAAAGGATCACAGAGATGAAGTTGTTTTCCTGAACATAAAACCAACCAAAGATGCAAGCATATTAAAAGTGACATTTGTAGTTTTTGGTAGCAATCCACCAAAAGGTCTCTGGTAATTTCCCACAAAATGGAGCACTTAGTAAGTAAAGTCCAATACCACTAACACAACCTTCTCTTGTTTTTATAATCTTTCTAAAGTCAGAATAAGGTCACCATCCCTGCAGCAAAACCAAACCTGTTGTCATCCAGCAGAAATTCAGGATCTATTCATGGCCCAATAGGCTTGCAGTTCATTTAAGAAAGTTCACTGAGGGAGTCTTGGAGGCGGTGAAGGGCAATTAGGAGGAAGAGAAGTGAAAGTCAAAGCCAAACTGGCCCTGATACCCTATATCTATTTTGTATGTGAAGAGAAGTTCTAGGAAGAAAGAGGTAAGGAATTCATGAAGACTTGATGGAATCTCTAGTTGCCTCTCCCTTTTATTCTGCCTCAGCTGCCAACAGCAACATGTTAGTATGTTTTAAAGTAACTCCAACAACTGCACATGTAATTGGGCTTGGCAGTTTTTACTGTTCCCTTCACAAAAAGTGATTGTCAACTGAGAGGAATCCTAGACAAGAGTCCACTGAGATTTCTGAGGAAATGTGAGGAAAGAGTTTGGAATTGTTTTGATGAAATTTACTACAAATATGAAAAATACGTTTAATATATAGAATTAGAATCTTGTAAAGAGTGCTTCTCAAACATTCCTCATGTGAGTCACCCTGCGATCTGATAAATTTGCACTCTGATTTAGTAGTTTGGAGGTGAGGCCGGAATTTTGGCATTTCTTACATACTCCCAGATGATCTCAAGGTGCTGGGCCAGGGACCATTCTTTGCATAGCAAGGTTGTAAAAAGGCTGGGATACTCTGATGATATCTGCAGAATGAAGATATAAAAATGTCAAGGTTTGCTTAGCAAAGCTGTGATTCAGACAGGAAGAAAGATACTGAGTTTCCATGACCCTTTGCTCATTGTGCTGTCATTTAGGAGCCTTAGGCTGTAGGTACAGAGAGACAAAGAAAAGAGAGACTCCAACAAGTGCTGAATGGAGAATGCAGAGGCAAAGAGAACAGCTTGTGAGCAGACTCCAGGGATGACTTGAAGCCACTGAGGGAAGCCTTACTAGATACTCAATGCTGTTTAATTCATGCCTCATTGCCTGCATAGTAGCTTGCCACTGTCAGATGGTATATGCTGATTTTTTTTTTTGGAACGTTCAGTCCATTTGTGTGTGCTAAATGAGAGAGCTAGCAATCGTATGCTTTCCCATAGGGAATACCAGGAGTTTACAAGTCCTCAGCACTAGTCAGGTAACAATAAAAATCTTGTTTTCTATTATCTCATCTTTCCCTGATTCTAGCTTGAAGAAGCCAGCAGTAAGCATTGGGTAGGTGAGTAAGGAAAGACCTGGGAAAAGGGAAAAAAACAGATCACATACCCCTTCCCATGGCTGGACTTCATCTTAAGCAGGCCTGAAGTAAAAGAGGGAGAGAAACTTTTAATTGAAAAGCGAGATTGGAATTGGATTGGTTACGGCAAAAAAATCAACCGGGCTGTTCAGGGATAGGGAGGGGAGCTCAGGAATAGCACATTGCAGGGCAGCAATAGAGAGACAGAATTTCTTAATGAATCTGAGCAAGTTCAGCCCATTCAATATAAACTAGTGTTAGATGCACAGGTCTGAACAAGGAAGAATAAGAATAAACCACAGAAGGTACAGAATGAGACTAGAGTTCTATTCTCCTCTGCACTGAGAGGGGGCTGGACTTGACCTATGCCAATGAGTTTTCCCACATTTCTAAGACATTTATTTCATCTTGTAATCAAGAGCCAGCATTCTCTCTGTTTTTCAAGAGAAGCCAGGATTATATATTTTTATGTGAGCTCTTCTGATTTTTTAAATTTTAATTTTAATTAATTAATTTATTTTTTTGAGACAGAGTCTCGCTCTGTCACCCCGGCTGGAGTGCAATGGCACGATCTGGGCTCACTGCAACCTCCTCCTCCCGGGTTCAAGCGATTCTCCTGCCTCAGCCTCCCAAGTAGCTGGGATTACAGGCGTCCGCCATCAAACCCAGCTAATTTTTGCATTTTTAGTAGACATGGAGTTTTGCCATGTTGGCCAGTCTGGTCTTGAGCTCTTCTGATTTTTAACTGTTGACTACTAATTCAAATTTCTAGAACACCCAGAGGGTCCAGCTATTTTGGCAAAGGATGCATATCTGAGGGCCTCTGGCTATGACTTCTGGACTAGGCATCACATCCAATTACTCACATTTATGTAGGAGGGCACTGAAAGCTTGGACTTAGTCATTTCTGTGTCCTCAGCTCCAGGCTAGTTCTTTAGTAGGTGTCCATACATGTCGTTAATAGGAATCAAAGGCAACTATGGGCTGGAAATTAAAGACCCTTAGACAATAATTTCTAGAAATTCTTCTGGTGCTGGAATGTGTCACTACTAGCTACCTTTCACCTTTTGTGATGAAACTGACTGAGAAGCCCAGCATAGGAAAAGGAAGAGGAACCCTTGCTCACCATCGCGGGTCAAAGCCTGGAGCGTCCTGGATATCTGAACTCCATCTTCAAGTGCATGCTAGTAAACCTTTTATCAGCGCTTCCAACCGATACAAAACAGAATGGGACATGTTTAAATTGCCTCCCTTTGGGAGGCAGAGCAGTCTGCCCTGTATGTGCTCTGTAAAGCCTCCTTCCCTTTACTGAGCACACGGAGATGGAGGGCCTTGAACTGTTAAGCACTGTAATGTGTGTGGAGGTGGGGAAAACACAGCCAAAGGCCTGTGAGACTCTGAGGCCCCATGTACCAGAATGTGTCGGCACCTCCAAGTAGGAGGCCCAAGCGTGCATAGGCCCAGACACGGTCTTCCTGGGGAACTGCTGCCCCCTGCTGGCAATGAAGGGTGAGACAACATTCTGTTCTAATCAGCTTAGCCAATCTTCTCCACAGCTACCCAACCTCTCATCCATAAGCCAGGTGAGTTGGGCCTTCCTGTTTTGAGCCTCAGGTTCCCCAGCTTCTCGCTTCCTCCACTATGCACTGAGGGCAGGAGCCAGGTATCCTTGTTCAGCTCGGAATCTGCAACCCTTAGGAGAGTGGCCTATCACACAAAGAACTGCTGAATGAAAATGGGTTAAATTCTCGTTAGTGAAGAAGAGCTGGATCTTTGGCATTAGGCTACTTGAGTTTAAATATCATCTTCATGGCTTGAGTCTCTATATCATCATCTGAAGAAACGGAAAACACCTCTGTTGGGTGGTTACTGATTCAACACGATAATGAATGTTAAGTATTAGGATTATATCTGTCATATAGCAAGGGTTCAATAAATAGTAACTATTAGTATTTTTTTAAATAGGCTTATCGAAGTATGACAGATGAAGATTAAACTGCACATATTTAAATTGTACATTTTGATGAGTTTTCACATGTGTATATACCTGTGAAACCATCACTACAGTGAAGATAACAAATATATTTATTCCCTCCAAGTTTCCCCATGCCTCTCTGTCATCCAGCCTCCTCTCCTCCCCAAAGAAAAATGTCCCCTCTCCAGGAAACCACTAATTTTCTGTGACTGTAGACTAATTTACAATTTCTATATTTTTATGAAAATGAAATGAGACATGTACTGTTTTTGTTTGTCCTCTTTCTCTCAGAATAATTATTTTAAGAGTCATTCATGTTGCTGTGTGCATCAGAAGATCATTATTCTTTTATTGCAGAGTAATATTCCATTGTATAGATACACCACAATTTGTTTATCCATTTACCTGTTGATGGGCATTTGTGTTGTTTCCAGTTTATGGCTATTACAAATAAAACTGCTATGATCATTTGTGGACAAACACTTTCATTTCTCTTGAGTAAATACTTAAGAGTAGAATAGCTGGGCCATATGGTAGATATACTTATAATCTTTTATCTAAAGTGATTGTACCAGTTTACATTCCCATCAGCGATGAAAGAGTTTCCCAGCTGCTTCACATCCTTGCCAACACTTTTTAATTTTAGCCATCCTGGTGGGTAGAATAGTGTTATCTCATTGTGGTTTTCATTTGCATTTTCCTAATGATTAATGGTGTTGAACATCTTTTCACATGTTTATTCATCATCCATATATCTTCTTTAGTGAAATGTCTGTCCAAATATTTTGCTCATTTTTGATCGGGTTTTTAGTTTTTAAGGAGCAGACCAAATCATTTTATAAAGTTAAAAAAACTTACTGAGATACAATCTGCATACCATTCAATTCACCATTTAAAGGGAACAATGGCATTCAGTATATTTGCAGAGCTGTGCAACTATCATTGCAATTAATTTTAGAACATTTTCATCATCCTAACTTCCTCTTCTTCCCCATCCTTTAGCCATCAACCCACCATCATCCCTAGGCAACTACTAATCTACTTGCTGTCTGCAGAGATTTGCCTATTCTGGACATTTCATGCAAGTGGAAGGGTCTTTTTTGAGTGGCTTTTTAAATTTGGCATAATGTTTTCAAGATTCATCCATGTTGTAGTTAGTATCAGTGCTTCATTTTTAAATTATAGAAGAATATTCCATTGTATGAACATATCAAATTTTATTTATTCATGTCTTCATCAGTTGATGAACATATGGTTGTTTCCACTTTTTGGCTATATTGAGTGATGCTCTTATGAACATTCATGTACAAGTTTTTATGTAAACATCAGTTCTTATTTCTACTGGGTATATACTTGAAAGTGCAGTTGATGGGTCATATGATAACTCTATGTTTACCTTTTTGAGGAACTTCCAGACAGACTGTTTTCCAAAGTGGCCACACCATTTCACATTTCCAGCAGCAGTGTGCAAGGGTTCACATTTCTCCACATCCTCATCAACACTTGTTATTACCTGTATTTTTTATTATAGCTATCCTAGTGGGTATGAAGTGGTATCTCATCATGGTTATAAAACGTCTTTTTTTTAGAAAAAAAAGTTATTTTACTTTGAAGGGGTCCAATTTGTTGATATTTTTTCTTTTATAGGTTGTGCTTTTTGTGTTGTATTTAAACAATCTTTGACAAAACTCAAATTTCTTAAGATTTTCTCCAATTTTTTTCCAGGAACTCCTATATTTTTAACTTTCAAATGTATGTGTATGGTCCATTTTGAGTTAATTTTTCTATGACTTAAGGGTCTAGGTTCATTGTTTTGCATATAGCTATTCAAGTGTTCTAGCACCATTGTTAAAAAGATTATTCTTTCCCCATTGAATTGTCATGGAACCTTGGTAAAAATCAATTGGGGGTCTACTTCCCAGTATTCAGTATTCTTATTCTTATTCAGTATTCTTATTTTTAAAAGGCAGCCTTAACTTAGGGCTGATCTTGCTCCAATACTGAGACAATAGTCTTATGAATCTTTTATTGAGTGCCTTCTGTGTTACAATGTTTTCCCACTCTGGCTGGTTGTAACTTAAACCATTCCAAGTTTTGTGTGAGCCTTGGGGATCTTACCGTTTGCAGGTGGTTCTTTCCACTAAACTATGGTCTAGCATAGTTTCTTCACATGCAAACTGTTAGTTAAAGACTTGAAGGAACCCATCTGCAGCTCGCCACAGCCTCTCTCTCTCTTCAGCTCTCTCTGCTCCAGCATTCTGCCCTGCAACTCTGCTGCCTTAAGAGAATTCCTACTGCCAGATGAGAATGCTTTTTTAATTCTCATTTTTCTCCTCTATTTAGATAAACTGCTGGATTTTGCTTGGATTTGGCCTCCCTAAACTACAGCCTGGAAAATCTGTCCAGGCAATTATCTGAGGCATTGCAGGGATCATTTCATTTGTTTTTCTTTTCTCAAGGATTGCTCTTTCTTTTGCACTATTTGTTGTCCAATGTCTGAAATTATCGTTTCATACTTTTTCCAACTTAGCTGTTTAAAGTAGGAGAGTAAACCAGGTCATTGTTACTCTATCTTTGCTGGAAGCAGAACTGCTATTAGTATTGTTTCTGTCTTTATTTCACCAGTCTGGCTTATGATATAAAGTGACCATCCCAAACACACATGTTCATATATGCACACACACACACACACCACTACTACCTCCTGTTTTCTATAAAACTTTCTTTTTATAGTTGTGAAAGTTGTCAAAATCAAAATGAAGTCCTTTATATTAAAGTCCTGGCAAATGGACCCATGGAAGGCCATAAAGGGAGTATTCTCACACATATGCCTGAAATTCAGAACTATCACAAAAGACTGCCAAAAATGCAGTCTTGCACAGAAAATACTTCTGCAAGGATGTCTATTCAGCAACTGTCAGTCCTTGGACCAATGCCACCCTTGTTATTGATCCTCGTAGCCAAGGACAATTGATTCAAAACAACTTATTTATTCTTTCTCATTTTGCCTTTAAAAACTTCCCCTTGTCTTAACTTCTTTAAATATGCACATAGTATAATATGGCACACTTATTCACATTGCAAACCTGAATAAATATCATTTTCTTATGTAGAGTCTCCTTTTCTCTCTTTATTAAGTTTAACTTGGAAAAGGTATAGGTCATCCACCAGTCACTGTGGCTCACAATGGCCCAAAGCAGGAAGTAGGAGAAATCTTCCCCTACCTGAGTGAAGGAACCTCGTGGTTATATTTTCATTCATTCACTCACGGATGACAACCTGGATTTAGTTTGCCTGGGTTGCATTTTGGGCTACATCACTTTTTACTTTTGTGAAATTGTGCTAAGCCCTCTACATACAGTGTCTCACTTAATCCTCAAGACTACCTTCATACACCCATTTTACAAGTGAAGACGCTGAGGCTTAGAAAGGGTAACTATATTGCCCAATGTCTGACACACAGAAATGCTGCTCAATCTGTTGCTCGTTTCTCAGTACTCACTTCACTTAAGCTGTCATTGGCACTTGCCTGGGCTGATCATTTCCTCTTTCATGAAATTTCTTTCTTCAGTTCATGTCAAGTACAACACACTCATTTCTCCTCCAACCTCATTGTCTTCTCAGCTTTTATATCTTCTGAATCTCTACGTGTGTTCTTTGCTACTTATGCTTACTTTATAGGGGATCTCCTCCAGCCTCATGTCTTTAAATACTGTTTCTAATCTGATTAGTCACAAATCATATCTCTAGCCTGGAGCTTGAATACATCTATATATCCTAGTCCCTACTCAACATCTCCATGTGGATGTTTTTCCAATCTTCTCCTTTTTGTTCCAAATCCTTTCCCTGTCCTACCTCTGCTCTGCTCTGTCTTGTGGAGGGTGGAGTGGTCTGACCTCTGCAGGCTCTTGTGTCAGCCACCTTTAGCCTGCCTAGGATCCTCAGAAGGGACTTGTGGAAGACTGAAGGAAGAAGGAAGAAAGAAGGGGAGGTCCAGCTATTTCTAGCTCCTCTCTTTCTTGGCCATGAGTAGTGTCTCTGACAGAGACTGTTGCTCAACTTCTGGTCTATGGTATGACACTTCCTTCATCCAATAATGCCCCAGCTCTTTCCACTGTTGCTAATAATTTCTGTGGTGCCACCCAAACCCTGTTTGTCTTCTCAGCAATGTCATTACCTGTGTAACCATGTCCTCTGTTTGCAATGCCTAGAGTGGCTTCTATTTCCTGACATGGCCTGAGTTGACACAGGTCTCTAAAAGGCATCTCAAAACCAACACATCTAGAACAAACTCCTAATTTCCCTCTCAAGTTGTTCTTCCTGGTAGTTTGTCCATTCAAATTCATGGCAACTCCATTAGTGCCATCCTTGATGCTACTGTCCCTCTCATACCTGTATTCAATCCACCAGCAAGTCCTATTGGTTCAACTTTATAAACATACCTAGAGCTGCCTATTTTTCTCCACTTTCACTGCTATCACCATCCTGGTCCAAGTCATTATTAACTCTCACTTGGACTATTGTGGTAGCCTTCTGATATGGTTTGGCTGTGTCCCCACCCAAATCATTATCTTGAATTGTAGTTCCCATAATGCCCACATGTTGTGGGAGGGACCCAGTGGGAGATAATTAAATCATGGGGGGCAGTTTTCCCCATACCTTTCTTGTGGTAGTGACTAGGTCTCATGAGATCTGATGGGTTTATAAGGGGAAACCCCTTTCACTTGGTTCTCATATCCTCTCATGTCTGCTGCCATGTAAGACGTGCCTTTTGCCTTCTGCCATGATTGTGAGGCCTCCCTAGCCACGTGGAACTGTGAGTCAATTAAACCTCTTTCCTTTACAAATTACCTAGTTTTGGGTATGTCTTTATTAGCAGCATAAGAACTGACACAGTAAATTGGTACCAGTAGAATGGGGTGCTATTGTAAAGATACCCAAAAATGTGGAAGTGGCTTTGGAACTGGGTAACAGGCAGAGGTTGGAACAGTTTGGAGGGCTCAGAAGAAGTCAGGAAGACGTGGGAAAGTTTGGAACTTCTTAGAGAACTGTTGAATGGCTTTGACCAAAATGCTGATAATGATATGGACAATGAAATCCAGGCTGAGGTGGTCTCAGATGGAGATGAGAAACTTGTTGTGAACTGTAGTAAAGGTGACTCTTGCTATGTTTTAGCAAAGATACTGGGGGCATTTTGTCCCTGCCCTAGAGATTTGTGAAACTTTGAACTTGAGGGAGATGCTTTAGGGTATCTGGGGGAAGAAATTTCTAAGCAGTAAAACATTGAAATGGTGACTTGGGTGCTGTTAAAAGAATTCAGTTTTAAAAGGGAAACAAAACATAAAAGTTCAGAAAATTTGCAGTCTGACAATACGATAGAAAAGAAAAACCCATTTTCTGAGCAGAAATTCAAGCTGGCTGCAGAAATTTGCATAAGTAATGAGGAGCCAAATGTTAATTACCAAGACAATGGGGAAAATGTCTGACAGGGCATGTCAGAGACCTTTGAGGCAGCCCCTCCCATCACAGGCCCAGAGGCCTAGGAGGAAAAAATACTTTTGTGGGCTGGCTCAGGTCCTCCCTGCTGTGTGCAGCCTAGGGACTTGTGTCCCAGCCTGTGTCCCAGTCACTCTAGCCATGGCAAAAAGGGGTTAAAGTACAGCTCAGGCCATGGCTTCACAGGGTACAGTCCCTAAGCCTTGGCAGTTTCCATGTGGTGTTGAGCCTGTGGGTGCACAGAAGTCAAGAATTGAGGTTTGGGAACCTCCACCTGTATTTCAGAGGATGTGTGGAAAAGCCTGAATGTCCAGGCAGAAGTTTGCTGCAGGGGTGGGGCCCTCAAGGAGAGCCTGGGCTAGGTCAGTGCAGAAGGGAAATGTGGGATTGGAGGCCTCACACAGAGTCCCCAATGGGGCACTGCCTAGTGCAGCTGTGAGAAGAGAGCCACTGTCCTCCAGACCCCAGAATGGTAGATCCACCGATAGCTTGCACTGTGCACCTGGGAAAGCTACAGACACTCAACACCAGCCTGTGAAAGGAGCCAGGAGGAAGGGTCCCCCTGCAAAGCCACAGGGGCAGAGCTGCCCAAGACCATGGGAACCCACCTCCTGCATCAGTGTGACCTGGATGTGAGACATGGAGTCAAAGGAGATCATTTTGGAGCTTTAAGAAATGACTGCCTTGATGGATCTGGACTTGCATGCGGCTTTTAGCTCCTTCATTTTGGCCAGTTTCTCCCATTTGAAACAGGTGTATTTATCCAATGCCTGTACCCCCATTGTATCTAAGAAGCAACTAACTTGCTTTTGATTTTACCAGCTAATAGGTGGAAGGGACTTGCCTTGTCTCAGGTGAGACTTTGGACTATGGACTTTTGAGTTAATGCTGAAATGAGTTAAGACTTTGGGGGACTACTGGGAAGGCATGATTGGTTTTGAAATGTGAGGACATGAGATTTGGGAGTGGCCAAGGGCAGAATGATATGGTTTGGCTGTGTCCCCACCCAAATCTCATCTTGAATTATAGCTCCTGTAATTCCCACATGTTGTGGGAGGGACCCGGTGGGAGATAACTGAATCATGGGGGCAGTCTAGCCCATACTGTTCTTGTGGTGGTAAATAAGTCTCACAAGGTCTGATGGTTTTATAAGAGGAAAATCCTTTTACTTGGTTCTTTCTCTCACATGTGCCGCCATGTAAGACAAGCCTTTTGCCTTCTGCCATGATTGTGAGGCCTCCCCAGTCCTGTGAAACTGTGAGTCAGTTAAACCTTTTTCCTTCATAAATTACCCAGTCTTGGGTATGTCTTTATTAGCAGCATGAGAACAGACTAATACACCTTCTAATTAGTCTCCCTGCTTCTGTAGTTCAGAATGATCTTTCTAAACTAGATTATGCTGCCCTTCTATTGAAAATATTACACTGGCTTCTCATCTTACTCAGAAGACACGGTAAGATCTTGACAAGTGGCTCCCAAGGCACCAGACTTCTAGGACTTCATGTTCTATTACTTTCTACTATGTACATTCTGTTTTAGCCTCAAAGACCTCACCACTCTGGCTAGGACCCACCAGGAATATTCCTACCACAGGGCCTTTGTACCTGCTATTTTCACCCAGAATGTGCTTTCTCCAGTATCTAAGGCTGTTAACTACCTCCTTGCCTGTGCTCAGGTGTCACTTCATAAGAGTCCTTTCCTGATTACCATATACATATCATCCTCCTTATCCCTGTTTTTTTTTTTTTTTGGGGGATGGAGTCTCACTCTGTTGTCCATGCTGGAGTGCAGTGGCATGATCTCCGCTCACTGCAACCTCCACCTACCTGGTTCAAGCCATTTTCCTGCCTCAGCCTCCCAAGGAGCTGGGATTAGAGGCACACACCACCACACCCGCTAATTTTGTATTTTTAGTAGAGATGGGGTTTCACCAAGTTGGCCAGGCTGGTCCTGAACTCCTGTCCTCAGGTGATCCGCCCTCCTCAGCTTCCCAAACTGCTGGGATTACAGGCGTGAGCCACTGTGCCCAGCCCCTTGTTGTTTGTTGTTGTTGTTGTTTGTTTGTTTTTGTTGTTATTTATAGCACTTATCACCACCTCATGTATTATATAGTTATTCATGATGTGTCTCTTCCCATCAGAATATATACAAGAGAACAGGAACCTTGTTTGGTTGGTTTCTATACCTCCACTGTCTTACTAATGCCTGGCATTTAGTAGGTGCTCAATAAAATCTTTGTTTTAGAAAATGATTAATAAATAATATGTACATATTGAATATTGTTTCCTCTTTTAACAAATCTTTAATAATAATAAAAAATTTAAAGCAGCAAGATTGCTTTGCATCAGGCACAATGATAAGCGCTTTAAATGGAGCCCATGATTCACTTTCATTTATAGAGCCCACATGCTCTCTGTCAGGCGCAGAAGGTGCCAGCCCTGCAGGAGCTTCGGGGGCGGAGCAGAAGGCCGCCTAAAACAGCCTTTGCTAAGAGAGCATGCGTAGGCGACGCGCTGGTAGAGCTGTGGACCTGCCAGCCTGCGAGGCGGAGGACGGGCTCCATCTCTTAGAAACGCCTACGGCGCATGCTCTATGGGGTCAACTGGGGGGCTGGCAAGCGGCAGCGCTGGTCTGGGGCGGAGTCTCCGAGGCACTTCCCGGTGGCTGGCTGCTCTGATTGGCTGAACAAATAGTCCGAGGGTGGTGGGCATCCGCCCTCCCGACAAGGCAGACCAGGCCCCCTGCAGGTCCCCTATCCGCACCCCGGCCCCTGAGAGCTGGCACTGCGACTCGAGACAGCGGCCCGGCAGGACAGCTCCAGGTGAGAGTGCCGGCGCCGCGGCGCTGCCAGGTGCGGGTGCGGCGTGGAAGCTGGTGCCTTCAGCAAGGGGAGGGTCGCGCCCCGAGGCTCTGCCGGCCGGCAAGACCCTCTGCGTTTGGACCCAGCGAGTCTTGCCTGGGGTGCCTGCGGGTGCTTTTTCTGCGGGCGTTGGCTCAAGGCATCTGCCAATCAACCAGGGCAACTTCAGAGAGCAACTTCAGAGAGAAGCCCACTCTCTTCCCTGGGCGCTGTCCACTTTCCTGGACAGGCGCGGTCTCCGGTCAGTGAAGCTGCCCAGTGCTCCTGGACCGCGAGGACAGCAGGGATGTCTGATTCCTCTCTCTGCATCCTCGTGCTCTCCCCTTAGCTCCTCCAGGCATCCCATCCTACCTCTCTTGTTAGCCAACGGCGTGGTCGAAAGCAGACTTGGGCATCAATCCTGGTTAAAGTCCCAGCGATACTGCTTTTTAAACAGCTGACACTTTGCTTCCAGTACTTCAGCTGGGTGAACCTCAGATTCCTGAAAAATGGAATTAATGGTACTGCCATAGGGTCGGTGGAGGAGTAATTGACAGTAGATCAGAAGCGCTGCCTGCGGTGGCTGGCGCCTCGCAAGAGCTTAAATGGGAGTCGTAATAATTGTTGTTATTAGAAAGTTAAATAGCATGCTGCGTTGGGGCCTTTTCTTCTGCCACTGAACTGTTGGACTGCTCTTATCTTTTTTCAGAATCTGTACTATGCATCTAATATATACGTGGCACTTTGCTTGGTCCTGGGGGTACAAAGCTGAGTCAGATTGTTACAAAGTCTAAATAACTGAGATAAAGGTGTTAATACAGCCCAGAAAAGCACACTTAATTCAGCCTGGAAGGTTTTTTTTCCCCCCTCCTTCGAGATTTTCAGAGTATCTCCTTCTTAGTAAGAATTGCTTGGCTTAGTATGTTGAGAAAAACATACTAAGTATGTAGTGTTGTGTTGGAAGGAAAACTTAACTGGGTGAGATTTTCAGCTGAGTAGCTTTAGCTGTTACTCTCATGGACCTTCCTCTGGGCGGTTGATACAGGTTCTGTAGGAAAACCGCTGAATGAAAGCAGCTCCTGCAGATGCTATTCTGTTTTCAATTGTGGTAATTCCTTTAATTTTTTCCCTTTCAATTTACTCCTTATTCTCTAGTAATAATGGACTTTTGGGAGGTTGCATTTATGATAAAAAATAGCCTGGGGCTGTACAATCCTTCCTATCATGAAGAAGTACAAAGTTGTAAGTAGAAGCAGTGGCCTTGCTTTGCCAATGCACACTGAAGGGGATAACGTTTGCTCCTGTTCAGAGTTCACGGTCGGGCGCGGTGGCTCACGCCTGTAATCCTAGCACTTTTGGAGGCCGAGGCCGGCGGATCACGAGGTCAGGAGATCGAGACCATCCTGGCTAACACGGTGAAACCCTGTTTCTACTAAAAATACAAAAACAAAATTAGCCAGGCGTGGTGGTGGGCGCCTGTAGTCCCAGCTACTTGGGAGGCTGAGGCGGGAGAATGGCCTGAACCCAGGAGGTGGAGCTTGCAGTGAGCCAAGATCTCGCCACTGTACTCCAGCCTGGGGGACAGAGCAAGACTGTCTCAAAAAAAAAAAAGAAAGAAAAGAAAAGAAAAAGAAAAAGAAAAAAGAAAAAAGAAAAGAATTTCAGAGTTCACTACTTCTTGGAAAAAAATAATCCCAGGAGGAATTCCATCAACAGAAGGGAGTCAGTTCACTTTTGCAATCTCCTGAGAATCAATTTCTTAAGACTTGTGGAATATTCAGTTTAAACACAAAACTAAAAACAAACAGCTGTATTGGAGTATTATTGACATACAATAGCATGGCATATTTCAATTGTACAATTGTATAAGTTTTTGCATGTGTACACACCTGTGAAACCATCAGTACATTCAATATTATGAACCTGTACATCACCTCCAAAATATTATTTGTGCATACCCCTTTGTGATCCTTTCTTACTGCCCCTTCTCTCCAGGAAACCACTGATCTGCTTTCTGTGAATATAGATTAGACTGCATTTTGTGGAGTTTTATATGAATGGGATCAGACAGTACTTTTTTTTTTCCTTATTTTGATCTGGCTTCTTTTGGCATAATTATTTTGAGATTAATCTATATTTTTTTGTGTTCCTTCCCTTTTATAGCTGAGTAGTAGGTATATACCATAATTTATCCAATCATCCATTTAAAGCATTTGGGTTTTTCCAGTTTTTGTCTATTACACCCAAAGCTGTTATAAACATTTATGTACAAGTCTTTGTATGGGCATACATGCCTGCATCTTTTTAAGTGATTCTATTTATTTTTTAAAAATGTAGAAGTTCTGGGATCTAGTCCTAGGTTTTTCTCTGACCACTTGCGTGATCTTAGGAGAGGCATTTAACTTTGCCTTCAGCATCCTCAAGGTCTTTGCTGTGATTTTGAGTCATCACTGCCAGAAACCAAGATGGTCTTTGTTGATTTGATGGTTAGAGAATTTCAGAAGGAGAGAGACGGGTCAAATTTTTCCTTTCTGTTTCTTTTGAAAGCTCTATTTTCTTTCATTTCACTTTTTTCCCATGAATGACAAATTTAAATGCTGACGTATAATTTGGGGCAAGAACAGAAGTGGTTAGATAAGTAGGAGGAAGAGCTAATAGTGGTTAGATAAGTAGGAGGAAGAGCTAATAGTGGCTGAACTTAAACATGTCTAAATCATAGGTGGAAGGCAAGAGGTGGGAAATAAGCAAGCTCAGAAATTTTGTGTCTCTTTCTTTTTCTCAAACTATCCTCTTCTAAGTCTTGCCTTTTGTTATTTCTCCATGACCAATTTGTTTTTAACTTTGGGGTTAGGAGGTGAATGGGTATGCTGGACTCCAAAGGTCATATATCAACTGGAGGTGGTGGGTGGGAGGTTTCTTAGTTAAAAGTAATTCCTTTGGGCCGGGCGCGGTGGCTCACGCCTGTCATCCCAGCACTTTGGGAGGCCGAGGCGTGATCACGAGGTTAGGAGATCGAGACCATCCTGGCTAACACAGTGAAACCCCGTCTCTACTAAAAAAAAAAAAATACAAAAAAATTTGCCGGGCGTGGTGGCGGGCGCCTGTAGTCCCAGCTACCTGGGAGTCTGAGGCAGGAGAATGGCCTGAACCTGGGAGGCGGAGCTTGCAGTGAGCCAAGATTGCGCCACTGCACTCCAGCCTGGGCGACAGAGCGAGACTCAGCCTCAAAATAAATAAATAAATAAATAAATAAATAAATAAATAAATAAATAAATATAAAATAATAATAATAATAATTCCTTTGGGAGGCGGAGGCGGGCAGGTCACGAAGTCATCTGAGACCAGCCTTGCCAATATAGTGAAACCCTGTCTCTACTAAAAATACAAAAATTAGCCGGGCATGGTGGCCTGCACCTGTAGTCCCAGCTACTCTGGAGGCTGAGGCAGGAGAACCGCTTGAACCTGGGAGGCGGAGGTTGTGGTGAGCCGAGATTGTGCCACTGCACTCCAGCCTGGGCAACAGAGCGAGACTCCGAAAAAAAAAAAAAATTCCTGGGCAGGCGCGGTGGCTCACGCCTGTAATCCCAGCACTTTGAGAGGCCGAGGTGGGCGAATCACGAAGCCAGGAGTTCGAGACCAGCCTAGCCAATATGGTGAAAGCCCATCGCTACAAAAATACAAAAATTAGCCAGGCGTGGTGGTGCGTGCCTGTTGTCCCAGCTACTTGGGAGGCTGAGGCAGAAGAATTGCTTGAACCAGGAGGCAGAGGTTGCAGTGAGCTGAGATTGCACCACTGCACTCCAGCCTGGGTGACAGAGCAAGACTCCATCTCAACATAAATAAATAAATAAATAAATAAATAAATAAATAAAATAAAAATAAATAAATAAAATTTAAAAATTCCTTATTCTCCTTTCAGATATGGCTGGAGTCATTTGTTTCATATTTTCCTTTCACCTTTTACTTGCCCTAAATCTGGTTCAGAACTTTTTGTGGGAGCATTAAGTTACCAGAATATTTTTGTGTAGTAAAATTCAAGCAAATAATAATAGACTGTTTTATTATACAGAATGAAAATGCGGTTCTTGGGGTTGGTGGTCTGTTTGGTTCTCTGGACCCTGCATTCTGAGGGGTCTGGAGGGAAACTGACAGCTGTGGATCCTGAAACAAACATGAATGTGGTAAGTTTCTCAAAGTTATGTACTTTTAAAATGCATCTATTTCCCCGATCCAGTTATGTGAGCTACATGAAGCCATACCCATACATTCATCTCTTTATAACTCCTTTGCTTTTCAATTTCTCTGAATTTTTTTTTTTTTTTTTTTTTTTTTTTTTTTTGAGGCAGAGTCTTACTCTGTCACCTGCCCGCCCAGGCTGGAGTGCAGTGGTGTGATCTCGGCTCATTGCGACCTCCGCCTCAGGGGCTCAAGTGATTCTCGAGCCTCAGCCTCCCAAGTAGCTGGGACTACAGGCATGCACCACCATGCCTGGCTAATTTTTTTTGTATTTAGTAGATACAGGGTTTCACCATGTTGCCCAGGGTGGTCTTGAACTCCTGAGCTCAGGTGATCTGTCCACCTCAGCCTCCCAAAGTCCTGGGATTACAGGCGTGAGCCACCGTGCCCAGCCCAATTTCTCTGAATCTTAGATTCAATTTGCTAGGCTTTTCTCACCAGGTAATATGTAGCCAACAAACCTCAGTTTAATGTTATATATACTTCTTAATAAGATAAATTATGATTTTTTATTAATTCATTTCATTTTTAAGTCTCACTAAGTTTGTTTAAACTATAAAAAAGTATTTAAACTTTGCAAGAACATTACCGCTATTGAGAGCTGGTTTTAGAATACATTGAACAAAGGTTGTGATTAAGAATGTCCAGGGAACATATTTCTATACAGAAGTCAAAGTATCTGAGCTAAATTTTGTTAGAAAAAATATGCAAAAATAACCACTCGACTAATTAAAACATCTGAAAGTTATTAATCGTAAGTAAACAATAAAATCTGGAAATACCTCATTTAGGCACAAAATATCAGTAAAGTACAAATTATTAAAGAAAACAGCAACTTTAAAATAGATGTTGCAGTGACCCAGCTGAAGAATCAGGCAAGCTTAGGGACTCGCAGAGAAATTCACAGTGAGCCAGGAGAGTATGACCTGATAACAGGGTCTTAAAGTTAAGTTTTACTTCTTAGCTCAAAGCTTTTCTTTTGCCTCCCAATTTTTCCAACTTTTAAAATAATTTTTTAAATAAGAATGATAAAATTAAATTCTTTCAAGTACTTATGGTAGAGAGGGTATGTGCACTTATTTACATTAAATCCCCTGGATAATTGAATTATCCATATCCCACTGAGCTCCTGATTAACAATTGTCCCATGAATCCTTCCTTATAGAAAAGTGAATGTGACCATAATTCCCTATTTTGTTCAACTTTTCTTCCATCCCACCTTGACATTCTATGTAATTATTTTAGTCCATTGATAAAAACAAGTTAATATTTTTTATACTTTATTGGCCAGCAGGGGATCTCTCAAAACAAAGAAAGTGTTTTATACATTGACAGTTCTAGCTGGGATATTTAGAAAAGAAAGAAATGAGCATTTATTTGTGCCCGGTAGGCAGGATGGAAACAAAGAGGCCCAAGATGTGGTAAAGTTAGGCAAATTTGGTATAAAACATGCTAGAATGATGAAACTGAAGTTTAACCAGACACCGGTAGGTGGAACACAAGCGTGAAACAAGGGAGGATTTACTCTTGTGATGAGAAGTTGGCTACTAGATTTAGCAGACTAAAATTTCAATGACAAATGCTTTCTTAAAGCCTGGAGAACATAGTTTATCTGCTCCTTTGCTTGTTAATGTGGGAGACTGTTTCAGATTCTGTCCACCCAATTTCCATCGTCCTTTTTCTCTACAGAGTGAAATTATCTCTTACTGGGGATTCCCTAGTGAGGAATACCTAGTTGAGACAGAAGATGGATATATTCTGTGCCTTAACCGAATTCCTCATGGGAGGAAGAACCATTCTGACAAAGGTATGGGAAGGCTCTTAAAAGTAAAAACCAGAATTCTTCTGGGTTTTGTGTTAGTAACCAAGTTCAGATTTAACTTAAAAACATTGAAATGGGATTATTTTTAGACGAAAGCACTAACTGTGTTGAGGTTTGCAAGGCAAAGAAAAATAATTTTCTTTTAAAGAAGTAAGGACAAGAGTCATCTAATTTTTTGTTCAAAGGCCAGATTCATTTGAGGATATGCTAAAATCTCTGAGGCTTTGTTTTTTTAAGGAAGTGTATTTAATGAAATGTTTTGAGCATTAAATAGATGGCTTTTGCTATTTAAAAATTATTTAATTTTTTTGAATTCACATAATCTAAAAATCAGAGAATTAGAAGACATACAGTGAAATGCCTCCCTTCTCTCTCACTCCCTACTTCCTGCTTTTTTGTGTATCTTTTTGAAATAACTTCATTTTAAAATCTTTTTATTTCCAAAAATCTCATTAGAAACAAATACACACACAGATTCTTATTTTTCCCTTGCCTCCATTTGAATGCAAAAGATGGCACTATTTTGTTCTTTGAATTTTTTACTTAATATCTTGGAGATCTTTCCATACAATACATAAAGCACATCTTCCAGAAGTGCATGATATTTCACTATATGACTGTATCATTATTTATTTACCAAGTGTCCTATTAATGCATATTTGTGCTATTTCAGTCTTCTGTTAACAAATATTGCTGCTGTAAATAAGCTTTTGTGTGTGCAAGTTTATTTACATGATACATGTCCAGAAGTAGAATTTTTGGATCACAGGATATATGCATTTGTGATTTTGATATATATTGCCAAGCTGATTTTCATGTGCATGTGTCCTGATAATTACTATCACTATGAATATATGAAAGTTCTTGTAGCTTTGGCTTAAAAAGTATATATATACATATATATGTATATCTTTTTTCTCTCTCTCATTTTATAACTCAAGCAAAACTGCAGTTTCCAGTGCAGATAAAGGAATTTCTAGACAGACTGATTGAAATTATTAAGCAGTTATCAGAAGAAGGATCTAATCTTTATTCAATTATCTCTCCAGATGTAGCTTATTTATTTATTTATTTTTTTGAGACGGATTTTCGGTCTTGTTGCCCAGGCTGGAATGCAATGGTGCAATCTTGGCTCACTGCAACCTCCGCCTCCCAGGTTCAAGTAAGATGTAGCTTATTCTCTAACATTTTTTTGTTTCTGGAGACTTTTCTTGGGGAAATTAAGGTTTAGATTAAGGTAGTTAGATAGCTATTTATTCTTCAATTTAAGTGTTATACGGGCAAAAGAGCCACCTTTGCCTCAATTCCTGCCCAAATTGTTATTCAAAGCAAACTTAAACACCCTTTGTGTTAATGTGAGCATTGTATTATTATTTGCTTTGTTTTTTCTTAATTTATCCTAGTTTAACTTTTTTCTTCCATGTGTTCTAGCTGTAATAAGATTTTAATAATGTTTAGGTGGCCACGACAACCATTTTTTTTGAAATTTGATTTCTAACTCTTGAGATTTTTATGCTTTACAGATATATGCCATTAAGCTTCCTTTTTATAAATATGTTATAAAATGAGTGATGAGTTATAGTGAGAGCTTTTAGTTTTTCCTGTGCTCAAAACACTCAAAACATATATTTTATGCTAGAGCGAGCATATGATCTTGGTTTCCTTCCTTTTTTTTCCCCCAAAGAATAACCCCTGTATACTGATTTCAGACACTGTATAAAGAAAAATGCTTTATATTATTTTTCTTAAAATTATAGTTGATTAATTAGTAACGTGAATCACTGTTAAATGATGGTAAGCATCTCAGTAAAACTTGCTGAGAGCTCTCCTCCTATATCCAGCTTCAGACTTCTCTCTCCATACAGTGGTTAAAACACTCAGAGTCACATGCCCTACCTGTGTGTATCACACTGTTGCAGGGGAAGGTGCAGTGCCCTGGAATATGAAGAAAGTGAGCATGAGTCTTGATATGCTCCCAGGTAATAGAAAGGAGACTTATGGGACCTTGGTGCTACACCTGGGTTTGCCCCTGACTTCTTGTGTGCTTTGTTTTTTCTTTTTTTTTTTTAACCTCTGTGGGATATATTATATATACTTTATTTTATTTTTGGCAAGAGGGTTGGGGATTGGGAGAGTGGAGAGTCTAGGTCTTTAGAATGGGGGAATATAGACTGAAAGTATTTACTCTAAGCTAAATCTGTTCATAGCATTTGGTCCTCATGTTCTTTCTCTATTCTGAGAGGCCCTCCCTGTAGGGGATCACTGATGTGTATGTCATACCTGCTATGAGCTAACCTCAGTGGGGAGTCTTCAAGGAAGTCTACAGTGAACAACTCAGTTCTCTAAAGGAATTGTGATTTTCCTAAGAACTGCATAGGCGCTTTCCTGATGGTTTGCATTTCCACATTCTAAAACAGAGCATGGACAGAGGCTCTTTACTGTCCTTCACTCCTATTCAAGAGCAAGGTTGTTGCCACTGGTGTTATTTCCGGTGTTTAAAGGCAAATAGATAAAAAGAATGGAGAAGGCCTTTCACACCCAAAGTGAAACGCGTCCTCTTCTCATGCATCCCGCTTCCCCTCCTGACTTCCTCCTCTATTATTAATAGCACCAGCATCCTCCTAATGACCTAGCCTGGAATCTGCAGAATCATTCTTGACCACGGGTCCTCTCTAGGCCACCCACGTTAAATTGCTTCAGTTCATCTTTTTCTTCTGTTTCCCTGACCACCAGCCTACATTAGGCTCTTGTTACCACTTAACTGGGCGCCTGAAATAAGCTCAGCAGCTGAGAGAGTCTTGAGCCATTTCCATTTTCAAGGCTCCTCGTATACTAACAGAAAGAAAGAATTTCAAGACAGGATTATGGAAATTCAGTTTGCTTATATAGTTTAAGAAATTAATGCTTTTAATACACACAAAAATACTGCTATACATTCATACTATTTACAAGTAATTACAAAATGTATTAAAACATTATTCATTTTTTGGTACCACATTCCTTGTGGAACCTGAGTCTACAGCTGAATGGTGAGCATCTTTCAGTCCTGTTGCCATGGGCCTCTTTGACTGACTGTGTAGCCTCACTTGGAGATCAGGTTTTTTTTATGAACACAGGGCTTGGCCACATGGCTTCTCTGCTCATGTTTGCTTAAAGGCTTTACCTAACTGCTCTTTTCTCTGCCAGGCTTCCTGTTCTCATTCATCCTATGTGGTTTTGCAGGATTAAGTTTCTTAAAGCTTAGCTATAATGATGTGAAATTGCCATTCAGCAATCTTTAGGGGTCTCAGAAATGAAGATACACACTGTTCCTTAAATATTCTGTCCAGCTGGTATTTGTACCTTTCACCTCCATTCTGCACAGTAGTAGCCCTTGGCTACTCGTGCAGTATGTGCATGCTGTTTCCCACCATTAAGCAACCTTCTTAGGAAGTGTTGAGCAATGCTTTGCTCCTGAAGGGAATTGAAATTCAGAAATTACACTTCATAGGGAAGTGGCTCTGTTTTCATCTGCTCAGCCTTATTTCAGAAAGTCATGGGGAGTTAGCACTGGAGGGATCTCAGATTCCTGCCTGGGCTAGGGATTTTTGTTTTTTTTTAAACACACTTCACTGGTGGATTCCAAGGTAGAATTCTTGGTTTTGGCAACCTGTGTTCTAGACTAACATCCTCATTTTGTTGGATAAGACAGCCAGGTTCAAATAGGGAAATGAATTTGTCTCAGGGCAGAGGGTCATGTCCTGACCTGTCTGACTACAGATTCAGTGATCTTTGAACTGGAGAATGTGGCCTTACATAATAAATATTAACCAAGTTGATGCCATGATAGGCACAATATATATTTTATATATATATACACACACCAAGAGTGGCACATTTGTATCTGAAAGTTATGCATCTGATTGCCGAGTGGGTGAAGTGGCACTCTAGACTGTGAAAGCCTGGAATGACTGCCTTCAGCATGCAGAAACAGGCTTTTCAACTGTGGCCTCAGCAAAGATTCCCCAGGGGTTGTCCATTGAGCTATTAGAGTCATAGCTGAAAATTCACAGCGTGGCTTGTGAGTTAAGTCTTTAGAAGGAGACCATCAGCTTGTATTTTGCTTTGATTGTTTATTTTAGAATTCTGGTTGATTTCTAGATTTTTCTTTCCTTATAGAAAAATCCTTCACTTCTAAAGAAACTATTTTTTGAATCACTGCAGTGCTCTAACGGGCTACACATAGGCGTTGGTAATCTGGGATGTAATTCCTCACCCCTGGTGGTGCCGAACAGACATGGTTTCATTAATCAATGCCTGAGCTTGGTGACTTGGGCTGAGCTCAGGCTCATGTAGCACTCTGATGGCGCATTGGGTAGGGGATTGCATTCAGAACCTTTGCCTAATGGAGCAGCATAAGTGAGGTCAGCTGTACAGCTTATCTCATAGACCCAGGTTGGGATCAGAGCAGAAAGCCAAGTGGAAAGGAAGATAGTGCTCTGCCCTGTCCCCTTCCCTCCTCTTCCTCCTGGTTAACCGCTCTGACCTGTCCTCTGTTCTCAACCTAATTTTCACATCTTCAGGGAGGATTTCCTCAGCCTCTCACACCAGGTCAGGCCCCTGGCTACATATTCTTATAGTCCTCTGTGTTTTTCTCCATCGCAATTAAGACAATAAACAATATATTATTATGTAGGTGATGATGTGTGTGACCTCTGTCATCCCCACCAGACTCTGCGGGGATGAAGACTTTTCTGATTCTCTTTACTTGGTAAATTGCTTTAGCTCCAGGCTGCAGTCTACCCAAGCATGCTCCTGCAGCCCTCCTGTGACATTGCGATTTAATAGTGTCCCCTGCTCAAGGGCACACTGCATGAAGGATTTCCTACTCCTGGGCTCCTAGGAGTCCACGAACACAACTTAAATGCTTCCTGTGGTGGGTAAAACTTGAAGCTGTATTGCCTCATGATTAAGCTGAGCATGTGAAGAGCCACCAGTCATGGGTGTAAGTTCTGGCTCTACTATTTAACTGGCTGTGTGACCTTGGCAATTTTCTTTACCTCTTGAAGTTTTGACTTATTCAATTATTAAACAGGAAGAATAATACTGGCTACTTCGTAGGCTGTTGTGAAAATTTGATAAGGCCTGTGAAATATATGCAGTATAGTAAGTGCAGGTGATACAATTTCTTTTACAACATTTATTTATTTAAAATATTAATGAATAAATACATAAATATTTTAAAAGTCTCACCGTGTCTCCCAGGCTAGAATGCAGTGGTACAATCATAGCTTACTACAGCTTCAAATGATCCTCCCTCAGCCTCCCAAAGGGCTGGGATAACAGGCATGAACCATGGTGCCCAGCCTCTGTTTTTAATTTTGAAATGTCAACATGGATTTGATGGTGGTCTCTGATATTGACTTCTTCAGGATTAAGCCCTCCATGACAGGGATGTATTCTAAACTGTGTGGACAGGAGGAAGATGCATTTGTTTACAATGGACAGAAGTAAGAAAAGTAAGAAATGTCATAGAACTATGTCTGGGGGTCAGGTGACAAGCACTGTGTCATTTCTAGCCCTGTGTCCCCTGCAGGTGCTTTCTTCTGTGGACCCTCTGCTCCTTCTGTTGAGGGAGAATTTTGGATGAGAGCTGGATAATTTCCCAAAATTCGCTCAACTGTGAAGCTCTGGAACTCAAGTTGCTGTGCTGCAAAGCTGTCTGAGGACAGGCCGTGGTGGCAGAGAGGGGCAGGGAAGACAGGCAATTTGGCATGGAGATGATGGGCACATTTGTCACATGACCTGGGTTTGATTCCCAGCTGCATCGTATACTAATTGTGTGTCCTAGGGCAAATGATTTAGTCTCTCTAAGCCTCAGAGGCCCCAAAGGAGGAAGAATGATGTAAATGGCCCAGCACCATCCTGGGTGCGTGGAAAACTCTAATTATGATAATGTCCTGGAACGTTCTGCAGTGAACAAGACAGACCACATTACTGCCTTCGTGTTGCCTGGTGATCAGAGTGATTATTGCTGGTTTTGGGGAAAACAGCATTCTGAGGCATGGAACGGTTTTCTTCCCTGCTCTGTGATGCAGGGTGCTCTTGTTGTGTTCACTCCTGCAGGTCACCTGCTCCCCAGCAGGGTGACAGTGAAGTGTGAGTGCAGTGGACTGCACAGTGGCAAAGGCCACATGACTCCTGAATGCATCCTGTGGACAGGCCAAGCGCTGTGCCCTGTGTGAATCATCAGGTGAACTCTCATACAATTCTAGGGTGTAAGAACTCCTATTACCTCCTGTTTTACAGATGAGGAAACCAAGGTTTATAGGGTTAATTAACTTGCCCAAGATAAAGCAGCTGATGGGTAGTGAAGGCAGGAGTCACACAGCCCGTGACTGTTTCTGCCCACTTGGCCCTCTTCTCAGGCTAGAGAACAGCTATGATGTCCCTGATAAAGTCACACTGTGGAAAGTGGAAAGTATCTGACTTAGATGTCCTGCATCTGCTAGATGTCCTGCTTGTGCCTACTACAGCAACTCAGAGAGCTGTTAGGTGACTTATCTGAGATAATGCGTGTAAAGTGCTTAAGTGCTTAGCATGGTGCCTGTCACATTGTCAACACTTAGTATGCGCTTGCTGTTACTATGATTATATTACCTGGGCCAAAGAATGCCACTTCACTCTATCCTTCTTCATAGTGGTTATGTTCTAATAATATTTTATTACATTTACAGTTAACTCTTTAACAACATGGGGGTTAGGGGTGCTGTCCCCCAGAGTTATTGAAAACTGCATATAACTTTTGCATTCCCCAAAATTTAACTAATAGCCTACTGTTGACCAGAGGGCTTACCTGTAACGTACATAGCCAATTAACAAATATTTTATATGTTATATGTATTATATTCCATATATACAATAAGTAAGCTAGAGAAAAGAAAATGTTATAAGGAAATCATAAGGAAAATAGGATGTATTTACTATTCATTAAGTGGAAGTGGATCATCATAAAGGTCTTCATTCTTATGTTGGAACAGGCTAAGGAAGAGGAGGAAGAGGAGGAGTTGGTCTTGCTGTTGTAGGAGTAGCAGAGGTGGAAGAGGGGGAGGAAGTGGAAGGGGAGACAGGAGAAGTGGGCACATTCAGGGTAACTTTATGAAAATACATTGTAATTTCTGTCCTTTTTTCATTTCCCTAGAAATGTTTCTATAGAATAGCAATTCTTCCATCATTTGCTTTAGTTTCAGTGCCTGTGTCATAGAAGCGTCAGTGTTGTAAAGGAAGTCTTGAATAATTGCAATTGCCACCCTTCTCCTGAATTGTCTAATATCAGTTTGTTTTCTAGCACTGCATCTCCCATGTCTTCTTTCCCATCGTCTGGTGCTGTTTTAGAAGCACTCGTCTCCATCAAATCATCTTCTGTTAATTCCTCTGGTGTGTCTATTAGCTCTTGACTTTATTTAAGATGCATATATTGAAACTATTTACCTGCTCCCACCCTCCACCTTTTTGCCATATCCACAATCTTTTTCTTGATTTCCTTGATTGGCTAAGTCATGGATATGGATACTGTGAAGTCATGCACAACATCTGGATACACTTTTCTCCAGCAGGAATTTATTGTTTCAGGCTTGATAACTTTCACAGCTTTTTCTGTAACAACAATGGCATCTTCAGTGGTGTAATTCTTCCAGACCTTCATGATGTTCTCTCTGTTGGGGTTCTCTTCCAATTCAATCCTTTCCATAGTGTATGTGTGTAATGAGCCTTAAAGGTCCTTATGACCTCCTGATTTAGAGACTGAATTAAAGATGTGTTTGGGGGCAAGTAGACCACTTCGATGCCTTTGGTATTGAATTCATGGGGTTCTGGGTGGCCAGAGGCATTTTCCTATATCAAAAGAACTTTGAAAGGCAGTCCCTTACTGGCAAAGCACTTCCTGACTTCAGGAAAAAAGCATCAATGGAACCAATCTGGAAAAATAGTTCTCATTGTCCAGTCCTTCTTATTGTACAGCCAAAAGACTGACAGCTGATGTCTATATTTTCCCTTTAAGGCTCAGGGATTAGCAGATTTATAGGTAAGGGCAGACCTGACCATCAACCCTACTGCATTTGCACAGAACAGTAGAGTTAGCCTATCCCTTCTTGCCTTAAATCCTGGTGCTTGTTTCTCTTCCTTACTAATAAACGTCCTTTGTGGGATATATATATATATTTTTTTTTGTTAGAATGGAACACTTTCATCTGCATTAAAAACCTGTTCAGGCAGATACATTTTCCTCTAGGAATTTATATGCAGCCTCTTGGTTGGCAGGAGCTGCTTCTTCTGTTATCTTGACATATTTTTAAAGTTTTTAAAATTTTTAATTCTTAAAATTAATTAATTTTTGGTTTTTTAGAGACAGCATCTTGCTCTGTCACCAAGCTGGAGTACAGTGGCACCATTATAGCTCACTGTAACCTCAAACTCCTTGGCTCAACCAGTCTTCTCACCTCAGCCTTCTAAGTAGCTAGGACTACAGACATGTGCCAACCATACTCGGCTAATTTTTAAAACAATTTTTGATAGAGATGGGGATCTCACTGTGTTTTTCAGACTGGTTTCGAACACCTGGCCTCAAGAGGTCCTCCCACTTTGGCCTCCCAAAATGCTGGGATTACAAACATAAGCCACCGTGCCTGGTCTATATTGGCATTTTAAAAGCCAAACCTCTTTGTAAAATTATCAAAGCATCTTTTATTGGCATTAAATTCTCCAACTTTAGATTCTTCACCTTCTTTTTTCTTTAAGTTGTCATATAATGACTTTGCTTTTTCTTGAATCTTAGAGTCTAGAATCTATTCTTGCTTTATCTTGAATATTAGAGTCTAGAATCATATTAGAGCAATCCTGCACCCACATAAAAGCTGCATTTTCAATATGAGATAAAAGGTATTTCGGAAAAAGTGCAAGGTTTTGGCACTTGCTGTCATAGCTGCAATGACAAATGGCTTCACAAATTTTCTTTCCCTTTTTTTTTAACAGTCATCTTTATGTGTCATTTATCTTGAAATGAAGATAATTGAAGCTGCAGACCTCAATCTATGACACATATCAAGCAATTCAACTTTTTCTTGTCTGGACTTTTCTCTGCTTTTTGGGAGCACTCCCAGATCACTATTAGTTCTTTGTATGGGTCCAATGGTGTTATTCAAGGTTTATGATATCGTGCTAAACATGATGAAAAACATATGAGAACTGCAAGAGATCACTTTTTACTGCAATGTGCAATTTACTGGAGAAACTGCTTACGTGGAGATGATTAGTGTCATGAGAAATTTAAGCAGATATTTACAATACTTGAGCAACAGGAGGCGGCTACAAAATTATTACAGTAGTACACAATAAACTCTAGTTAATTTTATGCAGTTATGATTTAATACCACATCTTTACATTTGTTTACATTTCTCTTAACTGTCAATGGCACCATGTTTGGTCTGTAAGTGTGTGTCTAAGTTTTGAAAATGTTAACTTTTTATACTTTGTGTATATTTATGGTAATAAATAAAAAAGGCCAATATCTAAATATATTTTATGCATTCATGACATACTTAACCTTTTAGTAACTTTTTATTATTTCCAGACTACAGAGTTGGTCTGTTAGTTTTTCTCAAATTGTTGCAAATCTCCAACAAATTTTTCAATGTTTATTGAAAAAAAATCCATGTATGAGTGGACCTGTGCAGTTCAAACCTGTGTTGTTTAAGGACCAACTGTATAGATTTATTATTGTTACTATCAGGGACCATTATTTATTCAGCTTTACTATGTATTAACTACTTCGTCATTCTCACTTTAGAAAAGGACACCTATACTTCAGAGAGAGTTGAGCAAATCCTACAAAGTTTTGTAGCCAGTAAGAACTGAGGTCTGCTTCATGCTAACGCCCTGGTGTCTGACCACCTCCTTGTTCTCTGTTTTGGTTCTGCCCTGGCCCTCAGCTGATTTCTCACATGTGTTTTGGAGTGTGACGGAGTCCTGTCCGGACTCAGCATCCTGGCAGAGAAGGCCAGTGCCTTGGGAGGCAGGAGGAACTTCCCCACCTACCCGGTCATCTTCCTCCTGCGGGACTGTGGGCTCAGCACATTCAGTTTCGGAGCTTGAGTAATCGCCTCCTGGCTTCCACCCACACTGGGAAGGCAGCGTTGTCGTGGACTGCCACTGGGCTGCTTCTTTGTCAGCTTTGTCCTATTTAGGGCCATAATGAAATCACTTGCCATCTCCAGGCTGAGAAATGGTCCTTTAGTCTTTTCCCTTAATCCCCAGCCCTCCTAGGGCTTCTTTTTCTTCAAGTTGCATTTGCACAGAACTCCCAGAGCCACCCGTAGGGCATAGCTGGGGAAGGCAGCCCTTGACCTGTCATGCTGGTTTGTCACTCTGACAAACAGGGCTTCAGGGTGCCTGAGTGCATTGAGCAGGCTGGGCCTTGGAGGAGCTGCCTGACCAGGCGAGGCTGAGTGGGTGCCCCTCCTTTCATTCCCTATCCCCCTCCATCTACTAGAGATTACTTTCTTCAAGCACTTTGTCCACATCCTTTCAAAAATAGCTTTCTGCCTTCAGCCGGAAGGCCTCAGTGTGTTCTAGAGACTTCTCTCTTGTTAACCTTCTTTCCCTAGCAAAGCACTGAAAAGCATGGCCTGTGGTGTCAGACACACCTGGTTAGACTCCAACCCTCACGCTTCCTAGCTCTCGTTCAGCCTTGGGCAAGTTACTTGACTTCTTTACCACAATTCCCTGTTCTGTTAAATGGCAGTAGTGCCAACTTCAAAGGATTTTCAGTACAGTACCTACAGCATACAAGCGTGCAATCGGCGCTAGCTATCATTTCAATCAGCTGTTCTCAGCAAGGTGAAGTGAAATCTGAAATAGTTCACTGGAAGATGTGAACAGCAATAGGTTTTACCTTCCCAGAGAGAAACATCCTTTGCCAGTCAATCCTTAAATCCTTCTTTGGTGGTGGGATGGGAAAGAACCACATTGTACCTTCCTTTCTTCCCCCTGGTGGGAGCAGGTGAGAGAAGCTGGCAACAGTTGGCTGGGCCTGCTTCCAGCGTCCAGTCTTTTCCATTCCCTTTTGTATTCACCCAATGCCAGAGGGAAGGGGCAAGAGGTTTGGAAGCCATTTTTAAAGGTTTTTCACCCGAGGATTCGATACTATTTTCTTTGCTGAGGATCCGTCATGCCTAATGGAACTGCCATCTCTAGAAGTTCAGTAAGTTATATCCTCTGCATCTCCCTCCTCAGAAGAGACTTTTTTGTTCTGGGATGAAAGGAAACTGGCCCAGCCTGGAAAGATGTGCACCCCATGAAGTCCTTCCTATTCCCTGTGTCCCCAGGTCAGACAAGGCACTGGACTTTTCCTAGTGGTTCCCCAGCCTGGCTGCGCGTCAGAATCAGGCAGGGAGGCTTTCATGTGCACACTGGTCCCATCTGGCCAAGGCCTGGGTGCAGTGTCAGCTCTTTATTCATCTGGCTCCTATGTTTTCTCCAGAACCCTTTGTGGAAACATCTGTCTCTTACTTAGAATCCAGGTCAAATGTTTGTCCCACTGGCCAAGTAACTTTCTCCTTCTTCTGGGACTTCCTGAGTGGTGTTCTAGCCTTCTTCTTGCTGGGTTAGACAGTCATCGTGTGTCTGACTCCCTCGAGGATGGAGCTCCCTGTGGGAGGGAGTGTGGGTTACCCATCTTTGCATTCCTAGCATCTATTAGTTTGGGGCAAAAGTAATTGTGGTTTTTGCCATTGCTTTTTTATTTTGTGGGGGGTGGGGGTAAATGGAATCCCTCTCTGTCACCCAGGCTAGAGTCCAGTGGTGCGATCTTGGCTGACCACAACTTCTACCTCTTGGGTTCAAACAATTCTCCTGCCTCAGCCTCCTGAGTAACTGGGATTACAGGCACCCACCACGAGGGTTTCACCATGCTGGCCAGGCTGGCCTCAAACTCTTGACCTCAGGTGATCCACCCGCCTCGGCCTCCCAAAATGCTGGGATTACAGGCGTGAGCCACCGTGCCCGGCCTGCCATTGCTTTTTAAGGGCAAAAACCACAATGACTTTTGCAACAACCTAATAGCAGTGGCTGGTACTCAGTAGGCACCACTAAAGGTTTGCACGAAACGTAATGTATGTTTTCAAATCACTTCTTGATATTTTACCTTCTAGTGCACTGCTTAAGATACAGCAGATTTCCATTAAAAACTTTTCACCTGAATGTGGAGGACACAGCTGAGTGGCCTCCATTCTCTAAAGCCATGCCATTTGTCAGACGTTTACCTTTCTTCATCAGCCCTTTTCCTCATCTGCCAGCATTTCCCATGAGAAAACAGTGTGGTCTGCAGTACCCTTTGCAGTGCTTGGCCCAGATTCTCCAGATTTGAAAACATTTAGCTTGTAAAGAATAGATTCACTGTTTCCTTCCCATCTGCTGCATCTTTTGTGCCTGTTGTTCATTGAGCTTTTGTATTCAGCTTGAAGTAGGGGATGGAAGAACCCTAACAAACAAAAAAGGACAATTAGAAAAATAGTGTCTTTGACTTATTCTCTGGAAGCCTCCTTCAAAGGATAAAGTAATTCCCTGAGAAAAGCGTTGTGCAGGTGTGAATTCGGTCTGGGTGGAACAAGGGTATTTACCGATGTTCTTAGAAGCTGCACAGCCACCTTAGGCGTGGTCTCCTGGGTAGCACATGCTCCAGCTGTCCACAGGCCATTCCTTTCTTCACACTCACCTCCCAGGAAAACTGCAGCAGCTCCTCATTGCCCTTGGGAATCCAGGAGTTATTTATTGGGGATGTTTAAAGACTTTCCTGATGTATCTTCAACTTGTCAGCTTCCACATTTCCCCATTCAAAGCTCTAGAGGTTACAGAGGGAAGTACAGAGACTTTAGGGAAATTTTAAACATTCTCCATCGAGAGAAGGTGGGGAGCTGAGTCCTGGTCCCATGTGCTGGCCAACATCTCCCCTTCCAGCCTCTGTCCTGGCCTGGCTGCCACATATCACCCTCCTTCTCCTCTCTCAATTATCCTTGCCCCAGGGCCCTCTTTGGTTTCAAACCATTCCTGCCTTTCTCTGGACACTCTCCCCTGAGGAGTAGACTAGGCAGTCCCATGTTTTCCGTGTTAACTACAGAGGCACAGATTGGAACAAGTGCCAAGGAATTAGGCCACCTACCGAGCCTTCCTCTTGCCTCTCTCTGACTCTCCATCCTGAGGGAAGACGATTGCAGTCGTTTTTGTTGGAAATGACCTGACCTGTGGGAGCAGCCCGTTCCTGGCCTTTCAAAGTCAAGTCACCTTACTCATGGCCTAGCTCCTGATCACTCCTGGTGGGTGAAAAGTGCCTCAACATACCTAAAGAGCTGTGACATGAGCAGGAAAGCCCCTCTTTCTAGAAAGTGTTGGGCACCATCAGTACAGCAGAGCCACTGCATCGTACAGCGCCCGGTCACCATTCTCACGTACAGTTACCATGAGATGATGATGGTGCCTGTAGTTACACATTTTTCAACTATAATTTAATGATAAATTAATTTTGGTAATTATAATTGTCACTTACACTGCAGTTTATAATTTTGGATTTTTAATGATCAATTTTCATATTTTCCCAGCTGGATTATCATCCTCTTCATTGAAGCCAAGAAGCCTGTGCATAAGACGCTGTATCTACCACAATGCCTTCCACTTACATTTTTCGTAGTAAATTTAGTCTTGTTAATATTGCATTAAAATGAACCTTTGAAGGCAAAGATGAGCACATAAAGCAGCCCTAATCTTGTCCAGTTTGCTTTCTATTTTCTCCCCATGGGTAGAAGTTCACCTGCATGGCCCTGGCATTTCTATTTTGTGATTAGAAAATCACACCAGCCATACATGATGTTTCACTTCTGTAATCCCCGCACTTTGAGAGGCCAAGGCGAGAGAATCACTTGAGGCCAGGAGTTTGAGACCAGCCTGGGCAACATAGTAAGACCTCATCTCTATGAAAAGTTTTTTAAAAAATTGGCTGGATGTTGTGGTACACACCTGTAATCCCAGTTCTTCAGGGGCCTGAGGTGGGAGGATCACTTGAGTCCAGGAGTTTGAGGCTGCAGTGAGCAGTCATGCCACTGCACTCCAGTCTAGGTGATAGAATGAGACCTTTTCTCTCTTAAAAAAAAAAAAGTTATGGGAATCATTTTATACTCTTGGCCTGGGGTCCTGCTATTTTAACAACACGAGGGTATAGCACCCCCAGGTTGTACAACTCCAGGGAGTACCATGTATATTTTCATGTATGTGAGCAGTGCCTTCCGGAGTAGTCTACGGAAGCTACCTTGCAGCAGAACTGTCATTTAAAAACAATTTGCTAGTTATCAAATCTATATTAGGACATTAGCAGAAATGAACATTTGTCAATTCACTTATAGTCTTATCATCTGGACAAATCATTCTTCTCATTTTTCCTTGGTATTTTACACTCCTCTTTGGTGTACATTAATTTTGCACAGCTGTAATTTAGAGTAGTCTATAATTTTGTATTTTGCTTTTTTTTCCTTTGCAAGGTATAAGCTTTTCTATGCTGTCACTGTCCTTGTCATGGTTGATGGATAATTATTATACCAAGTGGATTTCAATGAATTATTTGACCACTTGACAATTAGCTTATTTCCAGTTTTTCACTGTTATAAAGAATGAGCAGAGGGCAAAGGAAGCTCTCATTTGTTCACTGTGACCCGTGTGTCAGTCACTATACTGGATACTTACCTCACTTATTCCTCTTAACAATTATTTTTGGAACTGAGACGCAGACTGGTTAAGCAACTTAATAGTATGAGTTGATATATAGTGAACTCTTACTGTGTGTCAGACTCTTTGCTACCTACTTTTCATATAATATCTCATATCTCACTGTGTCCTATAAAATGTGTATTATCATTTCTACTCTTCAGGGAATTATATTAATTTTAGGAGATGTTTCCCCAAGGTGTCATGTTAGAACTTGGAGAGGACAGAGTTGAGCCTAGGTTTGTTTGAGCTGTCTAAAACTCATGATCGGGCTGGGCGTGGTGGCTCACACCTGTAAACCCCGCACTTTGGGAAGCCGAGGTGGGTGGATCGCTTGAGTCCAGGAGTTTGAGACCAGCCTGGGAACATGGTGAAACACTGTCTCTACAAAAAACACAAAAATTAGCTGGGTGTGTTGGTGCACGCCTGAA
The DNA here is from genome assembly GCF_000001405.40 of Homo sapiens. Classification (NCBI taxonomy): domain Eukaryota; kingdom Metazoa; phylum Chordata; class Mammalia; order Primates; family Hominidae; genus Homo; species Homo sapiens. The sequence goes on along the minus strand of NC_000010.11, from coordinate 89,230,444 downwards.
ATCCCAACTACTCAGGAGGTTGAGATGGAAGGATCACTTGAGCCCAGAAGGTGGAGGTTGCTGTGAGCAGAGATCACGCCACTGCACTCCATCCTGGGTCACAGAGCAACATCCTATCTCAATCAATCAATCAATCAAATAAGTGGATAAAACTCATGGTCAGTATAATGTCAGCTCCATGGAGGTACTTTTTTTCCTCTTGTTTTTGTTCTCTGCTGTGTTCTCAGTGCTGAGAAGAAGGCCTGGCACATAGTTGGTACTCAATAAAGGCTTGTTTCATGAATAACTGAATGGTCTCAGCGTTAGGTAAGCAGCTTGAGGTCAGGTTTCTTTGGCTCCCACATCTTTGTTTTTTCTGCTATATCACTGTCTCGGGTACAGGTGAGTAGAAAATAAATTCTCACAGGCAGACACAGACACATATATTTATGAATTTGTGTGTGTGAGCCTTTTTATCTATTTAACTTTTATTCAGCTTTAAAAATTTTTATTAAATTTTATTTTTTAAAGCAGTTTTAAGTTCATAGCAAAATTGAGTGGAAGGTACAGAGATTTCCCATACACCCTCTGCCCCCACACTCCCCTGTTATGAACATCCCTCACAGAGTGGAATTGTAATTGTTACAGCTGATGAACCTACATTCACACAAAGTCCGTAGTTTACATTAGGGTTCCCTTTTTTTTTTTTTTTTGAGACTGAGTCTCCCTCTGTCCCCTAGGCTGGAGTGCAGCAGTGCAATCTTGGCTCACTGCAACCTCTGCCTCCCGGGTTCAAGCAATTCTCCTGCCTCAGCTTCCTGAATAGCTGGGATTACAGGTGTGGGGCACCACACCCAGCTACCTTTTTTGTATTTTTAGTAGAGACAGGGTTTCGCCATGTTGGCCAGGCTAGTCTCGAACTACTGACCTCAAGTGATCCACTCGCCTCAGCCTCCCAAAGTGCTGGGATTGCAGGCATGAACCACCACACCCGGCCACTACAGTTCACTCTTGATGTTGTATATTCTATAGTTTTGGACAAATGTATGATGGCATGTGTCTACCTCTATAGTATCATGCAGAGTAGTCTTACTGCCCTGAAAAATCCTCTTTACTCTGTCTATGAATTCCTTCCTCCCTCCTAACCCCTGGCAACCAGGATCTTTTTTACTCTCTCTATAGTTTTGTCTTTTCCAGCATGTCATATAGAATGCAGCCTTTACAGATCTTGGTAATATGTATTTAAGGTTCCTCTACATCTTTTTGTGGCTTGATAGCTCATTTCCTTTTAGGGCTGAGTAATACTCCATTGTCTGGATGTAGCACAGTTTAGTTATGCATTCATTTACTGGAGCACATCTTGGTTGCTTCTAAATTTTGGCAATTATGAGTAAAACTACTATAGACATCTGTATGCAGGTTTTTGTGTAGATGTAAGTTTTCAACTCCTTTGGGTAAAATACCAAGGAATGTGATTGCTGGATTATATGGTAAGAGTATGTTTAGTTTTGTAAGAAACTGCCAAACTTTTCCAGTGTGGTGCTACCAGTTTGCATTTCCACCAGCAATGAATGAGAGTTCCTGTTCCTCCACATCCTCTTCAGCAGTTGGTGTTTTCAGCGTTTTTGGATGTTGCTCATTCTGATACGTGTATAGTGATGTCTCATTATGTGTGATCTTTTTCTTTCCTTTTGTTTATTTTGTTAGGAATTATTGTGAGAAATGCAATTACGAAAGCAAATTGTAAAAACATTTTATAAGAAAAAAATTGTAAAAACATTTTATAATTTCTTAAAAATATATTGATTTTTGTTTTTGCTGCTTACATAAGTGTGTCTTGTTAGTGGACATGCAAAAAATGGTCCAGTTTCACTGCTACCTTGCCAGTGCTGTTTTAAAAAAATTCTTTACTAACATTATATGTGAGTACATCACTATGTCAATCTTTCAATTTATTTCTAGTTCATTATTTGCTTATGGATCTTTTACGAATGTTCTATTTAGCAAGATATCATATTTGTTTTGAAGCTTGGTGCTACTGCCTCCTAAACAATGAATGTTTTTCAGGTCCCAAACCAGTTGTCTTCCTGCAACATGGCTTGCTGGCAGATTCTAGTAACTGGGTCACAAACCTTGCCAACAGCAGCCTGGGCTTCATTCTTGCTGATGCTGGTTTTGACGTGTGGATGGGCAACAGCAGAGGAAATACCTGGTCTCGGAAACATAAGACACTCTCAGTTTCTCAGGATGAATTCTGGGCTTTCAGGTATATATGAATTGATAATGGCATGGATGTATTTCCTTAGTACTCTTAAAGCAGACAACAGGCTTCCAGCAGAAGAGGTAGATAGGTGGTAACTCTGAAGTTGTATGAGAGGGGAAGTTAGTGTCTTTTGAAAGGTTTTAAATGTTGCTAGGAATTTAATGACTAGCAGTAAGGTAAATTATAAGTAAATGATTACATTAAGATTTACATTTAGTTAGGAATTCTTAAGTTACTTCGGCATTTCTGGTGGTGTGGGTGCTGCTGGGTAAACGTTATTCCATAACTTTCCTCCTTTCTCCATAAATATGTAATCCAGATGTTCACTTTTCTTCTTTCCAGAAATTATCCTTTCCTCCCTCTTCCTTCTGGCTCCACCAGTTAATTGCTGTATGACATTGGACATCTTACATAAGCCTCCTGTGTCTCGGTTTCCTTATTTGTAAAATGGAGCGTAATAAACACCTACCTCATAAGGTCACTGGGGGCTTAAAGGAGAGGGTGCAGAGAAGGAACCTCCACAGAACCTGGCACCTTGTATGAACTGGCTAGGGGTTGGCTCTTCTCCTGCCAGTGGCAACATGCGCATGCATATACCCATACGCACACTTGGGTTTTGGTCTATGTTTTGGTACCAGGTATTAGAGAAAGTCAGCAGCACTATAGCAGCCTCCGGGCTTGCTTCCCATTTTTAAAACCAGAGGCACCTCTAAGGACATGAAACACAAGAATGAGAGCTTTTAACAAAAGGCATATACAAGAATTGGTTTATTGTCACGCTATTTGTAACAACGGAAAACAGGAAACTACCCAAATGCATGTCAGCAGTGAATGGATAAAGTGTTGTATATTTATATAGTAGAATAAGAATGAACAACTTACAATTATATGCAGCAAAAAATGGATTAAGCCAGATACAGGAGAATACACATTGTATAATTCTACTTACAGAAATATTTAAAAACAGGCGAAACTAATTTCTGGTGTGAAAAATGAGGACAATAGTTACTTTTGGGAGACACAACTGGAAGAGAGCCCAAGGGGGCTTCTGCAGTCCTGCTGGTGTTGTTTCCTGGACTCACTGCTGGTTTTCCCAGCTGTGTTTAGTTTGTGATAACTCATCAAACTGCATACTCAGTATGTGTGTGCTCTATTTTATGTACTATTTCAATGAAAGAGTTCCTTTCTTGGATTACAGTTATGATGAGATGGCAAAATATGACCTACCAGCTTCCATTAACTTCATTCTGAATAAAACTGGCCAAGAACAAGTGTATTATGTGGGTCATTCTCAAGGCACCACTATAGGTATGTATGTAAATAAGATCAGAAGTTGATATAAATTCTTCATTACAGAGTTTGTACTTTTCTTAAAAGTGAAATATAAAAAGATGTTAGTTCAAATTCCATTTATTTTTAAATGCCAAACAGAAATAATGAATAAGATAAGGAATGTTGGTAACATTTAGTCTTCTATGAAAATTCATGTATATGGTTGAAATTGAAGAAATTAATGTAAGCCACAATATATTACATGTTTTCCTAGATGAAGCAAGATAGGGATGTGAGAGAGTAGAAAACAAGTAGTTTCTAAGTTCAGAGACTTACATAAAGAAAACAAGAAAATATACTGCCTTCTGAAGTTAAGTGGAATATAACTAACTACAGGTACATTTGGTTTACAAAAAATTTTGAAAAGTTATATGCATTTTAATTTATGCTGATTATATAAGTAATGCATGTTCACTGTAGAAAAACAGAAGAACAGAAGATTTAGCAAAATTAAAGAAAATAAAAATTGCCCATAATTCTAGTCAGCAAGAGTTTTTGTAATTAGGGACTAGGAACCTGTCCTATAATTTATTTAATTCTCCCTTTTAATGTTTACTATGACTAACACCTTAGTGTTCCCATCACATGCTTTCCTTACAATATATTCCTAGAAGGAGCCTTACTATATGAAAGGTATGAATGTTTTGAAGGGTCTCAAAACATGTGGTTATATTGCCAGGAAAAAAATGGAGTTAGGCATTTTTCTTTATTTATATTTCTTCTTTCATGACTTGCCTGCTTGGGACCTTTGCCCCACTGCTTCCTAAAGTGACATTCTGGGGCCAGGTGGCAAGACGTCAGAGAGGGTTGTATTAATTCGTTTTCATGCCACTACTAAAGACATACCCGAGACTGGGCAATTTATAAAGAAAAAGAGGTTTAATGGACTCACAGTTTAATGGATTGTGAGCTAGGGAGGCCTTACAATAATGACGGAAGAGCAAGGAACATCTTACATGGTGGCAGACAAGAGAGAGTGAGAGCCAAGTGAGGGAGTTTCCCCTTATAAAACCATCAAATCTCAAGAGACTTACTCACTACCACAAGAACAGTATGGGGGGAACCGCCTCCGTGATTCAATTATCTCCCACCAGGTCCCTCCCACAACACATGGGAATTATGGGAACTACAATTAAAGATGAGATTTGGGTGGGAACACACCCAAACCATATCAAGGGTTAAAATATATTTTAAAGCTAGGGGATTCTAAATGTGTGAGTTCCTTTGAAATCATTGGTGGTTTATTTCAACGTGGTGTCTGTAAATTGTTCTTTGGGGGAGGGGCATGGGGGAGATAAAGGTGATGGGGTGAGGCTCTTGGAAATAGTCTGTTATTTACATTGTAAAAGGAACTGGGAAGATTTTCTGATTCTCCCAGACTGGATTTCTTCCAGTGCTTATCTAGGTTGAGATTTGGAGCAAGCATTAACAAATGCTTGATTTACTAGTTTAACCAAATTCAGTGTTAGGGCACACGGAAGTTCAGAGTGCCCCATGTCAAGTGTTTTGGCTCCTGCTGGTGGTATTGTTTGCGTGGGTCTCAGGCCTCCGCGAGAGGGCGTCGCGAGTGACGGCCTTTGTGTTTTCTGAGAAGGAAATCCCAGATGATGGAATTCCTGTTTTCTGTCCTTTGTTCTCACAGGTTTTATAGCATTTTCACAGATCCCTGAGCTGGCTAAAAGGATTAAAATGTTTTTTGCCCTGGGTCCTGTGGCTTCCGTCGCCTTCTGTACTAGCCCTATGGCCAAATTAGGACGATTACCAGATCATCTCATTAAGGTACTTGGACCCCTCCCATCCCTCTCCTCTCCCCGCAGATTTCCTCCTGAGATCTGAAGAAATGGCAAGGGGAGGGATAATCTGTGCCTTCCTCCCCTGCGTTTTGATATCAGTGGAGCAGTGGGCTTTTCTTTTTCCGTTTACCCCTCCTTCCAGACCCAGGGGTGGCCGGGGACGCCTGTCGTTTCCTGCACACTGGTGCCACGTGTACTCATGGTTAGCATGTGTCAGTACAGCTCTGCCCACCTCACAGGGAGAGCAAGGAGAGTCTGGGAGAAAATAATTTAAGCATTTGTGGAGTTGCCCTTTATCCCATGAGGTGAGCCTGTGCACAGAGGATGTAGGAGATGGGAGATAGGAAATGTTCCCAAAAGCCCATCCCTAGCTACACTGAGGGTGACCTAACAACGCTATCATTATTGTATTTTATAATATGGCTCCTAAACACAGCCAGTAGCTTCATCAGGGCTCTGCCCTAAAGCTGTGGCACCCGAACCTCTGTTCAGGGAGGAAATAGATTTCATGAAAAAGAGTTTTAAGCTAGGTAAGACCAGATGTTCTATTATGCATGCATTATATGTCTTTTATGAAATATATGTTCACACACACACATATGAAATCCTGTATAGAAATATATACATGAAATGAGGTATAACGTCTCTCATGGGCCATTTAGAAGACTTAAATAGGAAAGATGGAATCTCCTAGGCTTAGGCAGTCCTTCTGCCTTGGCCTCTCAAAGTGCTGGGATTACAGGCATGAGCTACCATGCCTGGCCAATAAAAAAAATTTTAAAAAACAAAATAAAAAAGCAAGCGATGGGCTGGATTTGGCCTGCTGGCCAGTAGCATTGAATTAGATGGGCACACCTCTGGCAGACATTACTGATCAATCACAGCCTTGACTGTTTCTTAGAAGTAACCACCGATCCATCAGAGTCAGATGAAAATTACTTGGGGATGGCCCTGGGAGGGGTGATCATTAAGGCCCTTTCCCACTGTAGAAGTCCGCTGAAAACTTATTTGATTTTCTGCCTCCTTCTCTTCATTTGGAGAATTTAAATACACCTCTGTAGTGTGTGATTTTTGCTTTGGTAAACTTGTGCAAAAGCATCCTGATTTGATGTCCACTGGTTGCCATTCTCTCCTGAGGCCATTCGTGGAGACATTGGGTACTTGTCTCTGCTTCTGAGGTGAGTCACGGAGACTTATGCACCAGAGTGAAATGCTGAGATGTTCTTGGGTTTCTTTTTATTTTGTAGGACTTATTTGGAGACAAAGAATTTCTTCCCCAGAGTGCGTTTTTGAAGTGGCTGGGTACCCACGTTTGCACTCATGTCATACTGAAGGAGCTCTGTGGAAATCTCTGTTTTCTTCTGTGTGGATTTAATGAGAGAAATTTAAATATGGTATGCATGTTTATAGTAAGATTTGATTTTTTTTTTTATCTGTGAATGTGCTTATTTGTGTTGAATGATATGGGAGAGGTGGGAATGACCTCATCAGAACTCTAAAGAGTCTTTCATTTGAGAGGCACAAGCATGAACTTTGGCCAATGCCTAGAATACGGTACCACCTGCTGCCATCCTCAGGCTGACTGTGGTCACCTTCTTATGTTGTACCTAGATGGAGATTATTGAATGAGGAGATCTGTCACAAATTAAGCTGTAATATTTATAATTACTCTAGTGATTTGTTTCTTTTAGAAATCATTATAAGTATAAACATAAAGATGGGAACAATAGACAGTGGGGACTCCAAAAGGAAGGAGGGAGAGGGACAAGGGCTGAAGCCTGTTGAGTACTATAGCCAATATTGAGTACTGTGGTTATGGGATCAATAGAAGCCCGCATCTCAGCATCATGCAATCCACCCTTGTAACAAACCTGCACATGGACCCCCCGAATCTAAAATACACAAATTTTCAAAAATTACTATAAGTATTTAAATTTGGAACGGCCATTTACATACACATAAGTGTATGCTTGCAGTGTGTGTGTATTTATAAAAGTACATTTTATAAAATGTAAACCCATTTTATTTTATAAAATATAAACCCTTGGCCAATACTATGCCCGTGTTTCTAAATATGTTTGTTAGTTTGTCATGTGGCATTTTGAAAAAAAGGGTTAAAATCCTGGAATAAAGGCCCTAAGGAATTTCAGTGCCATTTTTCTTTTGTCTGATAATTAAAGCAAGGTGTGATTGTTATATGAAATTTGGGAAATTCAGGAAAGCATGAAGAACAAAATGAAAATGCCCTGTAAACGAAACCCACACAGTCCCGTGCTTACCATGTTGTTGCACCTCCTTCATATGGACTTTGTATGTGGTTGTATGTATTTTTATAGGGCAGATTTTTAGTCAAATAATTTTTTTCTACCTCTCATCTCACATACTTGAGATTATGGCTCTAGTTTTTAGTGCTTTGAAGGGCAAAATACAATGTTTATTATCAATGCCACCTTAATGCTGTTTTCATTCTTCATTTCAATGTATTTATTTTGCAGTCTAGAGTGGATGTATATACAACACATTCTCCTGCTGGAACTTCTGTGCAAAACATGTTACACTGGAGCCAGGTAGGCATTCCAGGAGTGCATTTGGGGTTCATGTAAAATCAACATCAGAAAGGTCTGGGCATGCAAACCCTTTCCAAATAGAAAGACAACCTGCTTACAAATCTGATCTGGTTTTCTTCCCCAGAGTCCTGGGTTTTTGTCATCGTGCTTGTGTTGCTTTTGATACCTGTGGTGGGGCACACTGTGTTATACGTGGGTTCACAAACAGCTACTGGGGTTGACATTTTTCTTTTCCCTCCTCTCCCTTCCTCAAGTCTCAGGTTAATATATTCTCTCCCTTTCCTTCTCCCCCAGCTTTCTTTTCCTCCTCCTGTTTCCTCCCCTCCATCTGCTTCTCATTGAGTCCTAGATTTTTTTTATTTCTGTGTTGCTTCATAAAGAGTGATTTTAAGTCCGTTTTGGAGATAGAAACCGCTGTTTCAACACTAACCCCTGATCACAATATGCTTGGAATAGCAGTGAATAAACTGGAGCTAAACCAATGATAGATGTGAATGGGGGCCCCTGACTTTTGAAATACAGTTTTGATTATTTTATCATGTAAATAAGTCATGTTCATTCTAGAAAATTTAGAAACTACATCTAGAAAAAAATTATCTTAAAATGAAAATAAAATCATTCTATAACCCTAGACAGAGAGGAAATGCATATCCATAGATATTGAATGTCTCTGCATTCTATTCTATACCTCTTTTCAAAAAGATGCTGTTAAAGACATGGATAGAAATAGTAGATGTAGAAATAGATTGATTTTTCTCCTGCTTACTGTTTTACAGCTTGCTTTTCTTTTTTCACCTGACAATATGTCAGGGACTTCTTTCTACCTCAGGACATAATTTTGTGCCATTTATTTTTCAGCTAACTTCATTTTTAATATGAAACAACTCACCATTTAAGCCCTAAACCAAGACACTGTAGGTGTCTTGAATAGTAATTTCCAAACACCTGGCAGTCACTGCTTGCATCAGAATCACCAAATTGCTTTAAAAAGTACACTATTTAATAAATCATTGCATTAAAAAAGTAATGAGAGTTGGAATTATAGTGGAATTCTTGGATTGGCTACCATCCAGGCTTATAAAACAAATACTCCTGTGTCCCAATCATTTGGACTAGAGAATCTGTACTTTTATTTTTTCGTTTTATTTTATTTTTTTGAGATGGACTCTCACTCTGTTGCCAGGCTGGAGTGTAGTGGTGCGATCTTGGCTCACTGCAACCTCCGCCTCCCAGCTTCATGTGATTCTCCTGCCTCAGCCTCCCGAGTCGTTTTATTATTTTAAAAAAAAATTTTTTATTGAGGTATAAGTGACATAGAATATTTAAAGTATACAATTTGATATATTTCAGTGTTTGTATACACCTGTGAAACCATCACCATAATCGACACAGCAAATATATCATCATCCTAAAAGGTCCCTGCTGCCCCTTTGTGATACCTCCCCCCATCCCTCCCCTCAATCCCACTGATCTGCTTCCTGTCATTGTAGCTTAGTTTGCATTTTCTAGAGCTTGCATGAGAACAGTCATGCAGTTTATACTTGTTTTTGTCTGGCTTCTTCCACTCAGAATACTTGTTTTGAAATTTTCCTATGTTGTGTATGTCAGTAGTTCATTCCTTTTTATTTCTGAGGATCTGCATTTTTAAAAAATCTGCCTGGTAGATTCTTTTGCTCCACCAGGTTTGGGAGCAGACCTGTTCGGGACATCCTGATACTTTCATCTCCTTCTTCAGTTGCCCCAGGAACTCTAACAGTGCTATAGTTCTCCTTTCCCTGGGGCTCGTCTCTAAGGAACTAGGAAGAGCCTGGCCTGAGGCTCCTGGTCCTTTATAGTAACTAGAAGGCTGAGAGTTAAATGTCAGTTCCTCAGGGGCAGAGTTTGTTGTGGCCTAAAAGAGGGGCATCTGGAATGCAAATAGTTCATGACGTGCTGAACAGCACATGCTTACCACTTAAGGAATGCCCCCAAACCTTCAAAAATCCTCAAATTCACAAAGATTGAGGATTTTCGTTCTTGGTTCAGGTCTCTGCTTTTCTCCTTGGTCACATTTATGCTTATAGTCACTTGTTTTCTTCATATACCCTGTCACTAGAATTCCCCTACATTTTTGAGGATGCCTAGGACCTCTTACCTAATGGACATTTTCCTAAAAGGCCCAATGTCTGTCACCTCATCAGTTATTGCACCCCCAGAGATGATGGAGGGTGACTGAGCTGGCTGGAGGCAGATCCTGAGCTTTCCCACCAGCTTAGTGACTGCCAGCAGCCCACACACAGTACACGCCAGGCCTCAGCAAAGTACAAATGGCCACCAGACCTGGGATGTCAGAGGCCCTTGGGAATGTTGAAACCAAGGCTGTCCTAGGCCAACTCTATTTTATATTACAGACCTGTGTTGCTTCACCCTTCTGTGTCTTGGGCCTCCACTGGGCATGGGGTTTGCAGTAGAGACATTGGATCGGCTATCATCTAGGCTACTGGTCTTGTTCCAGCCCTCTTATCCAGCAGCTTGCCAGGGTCAAAGGCTGCAGGGTGAGGGCCAGAGCACTGCTCTGTGCCCCATTTGTGACCTGGTGACTTTAGATTCTAACTACCCTGGAATATACCTCCAGAATATTTGCAAAGCCCAGATTTGCTGTACAAGGCAGCCTGGGCCTTTGCTCTTCTACCCGCTGTACCATCTTTTGTCAGTAAAATGGTTGGTTGCTTTGTGCAGCCATTGTATCGGATCTTCCCTTTGGCTTTCCCTCCTCTGGGCTGTTGGCCAGGGGCTGCCACTGGTGCAGGCTGCAGGCTCCAAGAGGCAGTGCAGGAAAAGGCTTCTGTGGAAGCTGGGCAGGCCTGGATGCCGGGCAGGCTGGGGCTAGAATTCAGGTGTGGCATTAGAGGGCTCTTATGGTATGAGTTTGGGGTTGACCTTAAAGGCCATTTTGTTTACAGTCCATTCAGAAGTTTACTTTTTGTTTAAATAATTAGGATTAACTTGTTAATAAATTCCATACCTTGTTCTTTAGCGGGATTTTAAATATAGCATACTCATCTTTCCATTCTCCTTATAAACCTGATGAATTTCGGAGCTCCCCAGAGCCAAGACTTGATATTACTTCTCACTTTCTCACTGGCCCTGCCCAGAGCCCAGGTACTCTCACCTGTTTGAAGAAGGCCATCCCAGTGTAGTTTTCCAGTGTTGTTCTGACCTACCTAAGGTGCTATTAAAAATACTGGTTCTTGGGCCTGTCTGAGACCTGTGGAGACTCTGAATTCCTAGGGCTGTGACCCTGGGATCTATGTTTGAGTTAAGTGCCTTAGATGATTACGATGTGCTCTTTTTTTTTTCTTTAAAGGAAAAAACATACTTTTGGTAGGCTTTTAAAGAACACTGTAAAAAGGATATTCAGTATAATTTTTGTTAAACATGTAATATGTTTTATGAAATTTTAGAAAATACATGAGTGAAAGAAAAATGACTTGTATGTCTAGCACCCAGCAATAGCCACTATTAATATTTTGGTATAATCTTACAGTTTTGTAATATAATCATTTCCATTACAAAAGTCAGATCATACTACATCTGCTTTTATGTAAATTTTCATTTAAAGAAATGCCATTATATTTGTTAGATACAAGTTAAGCTGTTGTATTAGAGACCCCAAAATACAGCTGCTAAATAAAGAGTTTATTTCTTTCTCATAATAAAGTTCAGAGAGAGGTGGCCCAGACTGATGATAGAGGGGGTTTTGGCTGTGTTCCATGAGGCCATGCAGGGACCCAGTTCCCTCCATACTATAGCTCTGCCATCCTCGGGGTGTTGTCCTCTTCTGCCTGGTTGCAGCCCGGTCACCTCCATGTCTCTTCCAACTCACAGGAAGGCAGGGGAGAGGGAGCTCAGGGCAAGTGACTTTGTGCGAAGGAGATAGCTTAGAAGTGAGCGGTATGGCCATAGCCTGGCTGCTCGCAGGAGGATGAGGATGTGGTTTCTATCTTGGCAGCCATGTACTTAGGGAAAGCTTTAGGGATTCTGTTACTGAAAGGAAGAAGGCAAGAATGGGAATGGGTGGCAGTCTCTGCCATAATTAAAAATGCCTTTCCGGGTCAGTAACTAAAGTTTTAAAATATTTGTCATAAAGGGCAGTTTCTGTTGCTTGAATTTTATTATCATTTTGTTTTTTGCAGTGATAGTTGTTTTGCAGTCATAAATCATCTGTCCTTATATGTTAGAGTGTTTTCTTAGGATGATACATTTATAGCAGTAGACTTAGTAAGGGAGAGGGTAGGCATAGCTTTAAGACTTCTAATACATATTGTACTTTAGAAAAGTTGAACCCGTTTACATTTTTATTACCATTCAAGACCTAAATATAATTTTTAAATGTCATTTTAAAACGGTTTATCCTAATACTATAGGCATTTCCTCCTGATCATTATCTACATATACTCTGTGATATGATTATCACAGAAGTATAACCTTAGTGTATATTTGGTTTCATTTTTTTCCACTTAGTATTATTTATGAGATTATCTGTAAGCCATTTTCTGTTTGTATTTTATTTATATTTATGACAGTGGCATACCCCTTGTGTATATTTATGTAACATATTTACCCAAATATCTATTATTTGAAATGGTAAGTTTTGGCCACAAGGTGGCGCCCGGTAAAAAGAAATGCCCAGACATTCTCTTCAAAACTGCTTTTGGTTTATGTGAAGTCTGTTCTTATCAACTGCATACAATTCTACTGTTTGATGTAATAAAACACAGAGCGAGATGATATACTACAAGGGATTGTTACTTATTAAAATTGGGCTTTAGCTTATTTCCAGGTTTTTGTTACTGGAAATCATCTTAATACTTTTCTTTTGAAATATCCTTTCAAGTGGATAGCTTGAAGTCCTAAGTGACTTAGCACAAAGTCAAATTTAGAACTTCAGTCTGAGCTATAGGCAAGTTTCACCTTTGTATTCTGTGCTCACGCTGGTGCTTCATATGAATGCTGAAGGACATGTGACAAAGTGATGAACTGCTGTCTGTGTTCAGTGGCAGAATAGTTTGCATCAATATATTTTCACTGACAAAGATGGGGAACAGATGTACCAACAGGTGCTGTGAATCCAAATTTTGTTTTGCTTGTTAAATATGCCACAGGTATTTAATATCAGTCATTTGCAACGGCAAAAACAGATGCCAAATATTTCTCCTGTAACAATCCCCTATAGTATATCATCTCACTCTGTCTTTTATTACATCAAACAGTAGAATTGTATGCAGTTGATTAGAACAGACTTCACATAAATCAAAAGCAGTTTTGACAAAGAATGTCTGAGCATTTCTTTTTACCAGGCGCCACCTTGTGGCCAAAACTTACCATTTCAAATTCATTTGGCTTGCCAATTTTGTGTTTAATTTTTGACATACATTTAATTTGAGAGTGTAGAGGAAATATGGATTTGCACTATTTTGAATTTTAAAAATAAGTGACATTTTGCTAATATTTTATATTATACTATTTTAAATATGAATAAATGTAAATTTCAATACAATTTCAATTTCATGGCTCTAGTATCCCTAACTAGTTAGAATTGTGCTGGCATGCAGTACTACTTGGTGATTATACTGATACCAGTACTCAAGAAAAAGTGTTTAATCAATACCATCATTAAAATTTGACTAATATAACTAGACAAGTAGAATGGGTAAATAGAAAATATACAGTCATCCCTCAAGTATCTTTGGGGACTGGCTGCAGACATCATCCCCAAACCAAAATTCACAGATACTCAAGTCCCTTATATAAAATGATGTAGTATTTGCATATAGCCTATGCATATCCTTTCATATGCTTTAAATCATCTCTAGATTACTTATGATGCTTAATACAATGTAAACGCTATGTAAGTAGGTGTTACACTGTTTTAAAATTTGTATTTTTTATTGTTTTATTATCTTTTATTGTTTTTTTCCAAATATTTTCCATCTGCAAAATATCACTTGGCTGAATCCACAGATACAAAACTGGATATGGAGGGCCAATTGTATATTATAATTATTTTATCTATATATATCCATCTCTCTCTCTCTCTCTCTATTATATATATATATATGTATATATATATGTAGCTACCTATCTGTCTACCTTTATTTCCCAAGTAAAATGACTAACTCTTTGAAAAAGCTTAGGATGCAAATTTCAGCAGAAAATGTCAGCATAAAGTTCCGCTAGCAGGAGCAACTGTTGATCTAGTATAATTGACAGCATATGTGCATAGCTGCTTTCTTGTGTCAGGTGGTAGCTGCTTAACAATCATACAATGAGAAATTGAGTCATTCAGTAAAGCAGGACAAAACCATGCCATCTCATTTAAAATAATGCCTTGGAAATGAAGAGTAAATCTGGATATTGGTATAAAGTTGATTTCCGAGGTTGTGGCTAGCTCCAGCAACCTATGATGTTATCTCTAACTTTGGTGTCAGATAACTCTTTTCCAAATTATCTTCTTTTTAGGCTGTTAAATTCCAAAAGTTTCAAGCCTTTGACTGGGGAAGCAGTGCCAAGAATTATTTTCATTACAACCAGGTAAAGTTTTTAGTCTTTTCATTAAAGGGGGCCCTGAAAACTCATCAAGAAAGCCAGCCTGGCCTATCAGGATTCTGGCCAGGCTCAGGTGCTGTGGGAAATGTTTGCAGGAGTTGACTAGTGTTTGTTTTCCATCAGTCCATTCAGAACAATCCAAGCTTTGTAGCTGGTGTTGTGGACTGGGCCTCCTCTCTTTGTCCTTTCCCCAGCTCTAAATAAGAATCATCACTGTTATGCATTACTCAGAGTAATCACGAACATAGCCTGTAGAGTCAGACAGTCCTATGTCTGTTATCTGGTAGCTATGGGGCCTTGGCCAGATTACATTGCTTAAGCCTCTTCCCTGCACTAATAAAATTAGCATTTTTGAGCATGCTAAATGCACTGAAGTGTGAGGCACTTTGCTCTGTTTTTTAAATTTAATTCCCAGAGCATCTCTGTGATGTAAACGTGATTATCTCTGACTTAAACATGAGGACAGTGAGGCTTAGAGAATTTCTGTGACTTGTCTTACACCCAAAGGGAAGAAGTAGGAGGGCATGACCCCAAACTCTTTCCAGCCACTATTGCCTTGAGTGTACTACCTATGGAGTACAACACCTTCCTTGCCGGGGATTAAACATTCATTTTGGTGCCCAGCCTACGGCAGCAGCTCCACAGCTAGTGGCGATTATAATTAGCATTCTCTCATTTGGGGTTAGATTTCTTTTTTTGTGCCGGTAATGGCAACTTGAAAAGATACTCAAAGAGATTTTAAAAATTTAGTCTGTTAGTCAAACTTACTAGACAATGTTTAATGGAGATTGCGCTTATTGTGATTTTGAAAATTAAAACAACAACAACAACGAGGCTTTCTCTGGTTCCTTTTCATTGTAGAGTTATCCTCCCACATACAATGTGAAGGACATGCTTGTGCCGACTGCAGTCTGGAGCGGGGGTCACGACTGGCTTGCAGATGTCTACGACGTCAATATCTTACTGACTCAGATCACCAACTTGGTGTTCCATGAGAGCATTCCGGAATGGGAGCATCTTGACTTCATTTGGGGCCTGGATGCCCCTTGGAGGCTTTATAATAAAATTATTAATCTAATGAGGAAATATCAGTGAAAGCTGGACTTGAGCTGTGTACCACCAAGTCAATGATTATGTCATGTGAAAATGTGTTTGCTTCATTTCTGTAAAACACTTGTTTTTCTTTCCCAGGTCTTTTGTTTTTTTATATCCAAGAAAATGATAACTTTGAAGATGCCCAGTTCACTCTAGTTTCAATTAGAAACATACTAGCTATTTTTTCTTTAATTAGGGCTGGAATAGGAAGCCAGTGTCTCAACCATAGTATTGTCTCTTTAAGTCTTTTAAATATCACTGATGTGTAAAAAGGTCATTATATCCATTCTGTTTTTAAAATTTAAAATATATTGACTTTTTGCCCTTCATAGGACAAAGTAATATATGTGTTGGAATTTTAAAATTGTGTTGTCATTGGTAAATCTGTCACTGACTTAAGCGAGGTATAAAAGTACGCAGTTTTCATGTCCTTGCCTTAAAGAGCTCTCTAGTCTAACGGTCTTGTAGTTAGAGATCTAAATGACATTTTATCATGTTTTCCTGCAGCAGGTGCATAGTCAAATCCAGAAATATCACAGCTGTGCCAGTAATAAGGATGCTAACAATTAATTTTATCAAACCTAACTGTGACAGCTGTGATTTGACACGTTTTAATTGCTCAGGTTAAATGAAATAGTTTTCCGGCGTCTTCAAAAACAAATTGCACTGATAAAACAAAAACAAAAGTATGTTTTAAATGCTTTGAAGACTGATACACTCAACCATCTATATTCATGAGCTCTCAATTTCATGGCAGGCCATAGTTCTACTTATCTGAGAAGCAAATCCCTGTGGAGACTATACCACTATTTTTTCTGAGATTAATGTACTCTTGGAGCCCGCTACTGTCGTTATTGATCACATCTGTGTGAAGCCAAAGCCCCGTGGTTGCCCATGAGAAGTGTCCTTGTTCATTTTCACCCAAATGAAGTGTGAACGTGATGTTTTCGGATGCAAACTCAGCTCAGGGATTCATTTTGTGTCTTAGTTTTATATGCATCCTTATTTTTAATACACCTGCTTCACGTCCCTATGTTGGGAAGTCCATATTTGTCTGCTTTTCTTGCAGCATCATTTCCTTACAATACTGTCCGGTGGACAAAATGACAATTGATATGTTTTTCTGATATAATTACTTTAGCTGCACTAACAGTACAATGCTTGTTAATGGTTAATATAGGCAGGGCGAATACTACTTTGTAACTTTTAAAGTCTTAAACTTTTCAATAAAATTGAGTGAGACTTATAGGCCCAAAGAATTGTGTGTATGTTTTTTCTCTTTTATTTAACAGTCATCCGGTTCTTCCCTTTCTCTCTTGGCAGTACTTGGAACTCTTCTCAAGGTTAATGTGTTTACTCCGGGAAATGAAGGGCTACCAAGTAACGAGTGATTTTTAAAAATCATTTTTTTGTATGCCACAAGAGGGCACTCTTGGCTTTGCTTGCAAATCTTCCCACGCTCTCTTCCCTCACTACTTTTTCTTTTCTTTTCTTTTCTTTTCTTTTCTTTTCTTTTCTTTTCTTTTCTTTTCTTTATTATTATTATACTTTAAGTTTTAGGGTACATGTGCACAATGTGCAGGTTAGTTACATATGTATACATGTGCCATGCTGGTGTGCTGCACCCATTAACTCGTCATTTAGCATTATCTCCTAAAGCTATCCCTCCTACCTCCCCCCACCCCACAACAGTCCCCAGAGTGTGATGTTCCCCTTCCTGTGTCCATGTGTTCTCATTGTTCAATTCCCACCTATGAGTGAGAATATGCGGTGTTTGGTTTTTTTTTCTTGGGATAGTTTACTGAGATTGATGATTTCCAATTTCATCCACGTCCCTACAAAGGACATGAACTCATCATTTTTTATGGCTGCATAGCATTCCATGGTGTATATGTGCCACATTTTCTTAATCCAGTCTATCATTGTTGGACATTTGGGTTGGTTCCAAGTCTTTGCTATTGTGAATAGTGCCGCAATAAACATACGTGTGCATGTGTCTTTATAGCAGCATGATTTATAGTCCTTTGGGTATATACCCAGTAATGGGATGGCTGGGTCAAATGGTATTTCTAGTTCTAGATCCCTGAGGAATCGCCACACTGACTTCCACAATGGTTGAACTAGTTTACAGTCCCACCAACAGTGTAAAAGTGTTCCTATTTCTCCACATCCTCTCCAGCACCCGTTGTTTCCTGACTTTGTAATGATTTCCATTCTAACTGGTGTGAGATGGTATCTCATTGTGGTTTTGATTTTCATTCCTCTGATGGCCAGTGATGGTGAGCATTTTTTCATGTGTTTTTTGGCTGCATAAATGCCTTCTTTTGAGAAGTGTCTGTTCATGTCCTCACTACTTTTTCTAAGATTTTCTCCAGCATCTACCAGGGAAGGTAGAGAACTTTGTTGCTTTCTGAGCCAGTTGGAATTTGATGGCCAGCCATGGTAGTATTATTTCTGTTCAGGAGTATAATTAATTCTTGCCTAGTGGATAACATCTGGAAAACGTTCTCAAGGAATACCTGCCCCTCAAATGTAAACTGAAAATAAAAATTTGCCTAATAGGTAAATGAGTGATCAGAACTTCAGATGTGGTTGGGGGATGGGTGGCAGGAGGAAAAGGTTTTAACTCAGGCCTCACACATATATAGGACTGAAATTTAGACTAGTGACATCCCCAAATAATGATTATTTTGTGTTTGTGGGTATTAAAGGTGTTAATTTTTTAAATATAAACATTAAAAATACACTGTAATGTGATTTCTTGTCATTAATTTTTCAATGTATTAAGAGATTTTCAAAAGATAAGTCACTCTGATCTGTTGTGACACTGAAAGGCAACTTTGAATAGTAATTATTCTGATTTTTAAAAAGTTACCCAATCAGTATTTCATTATGTTGCGCTAGGTGCAGATTTGAACTTCAATTCCAAATTAAGCAAGCAAAACTCTTTGTCAAATTGTCTTAGCATTACTGAAAATAATACTTCACATTTTGTGTTGTGCCTTACGGGGTTTCAAAGCCTTTTCATAAAGCTTTAATATTTGCAATAATCCCTTTGACAGGTGAGGCGAGCATTTGTTTCTCTACAGGCAAGGGAATGCCTTTTTAATGGGGATGATTTTATATGCCTTAAAAGTTTCAGAGAGGTTGATGAGAGTTTCAACAGTATAAGTGAGTAGAAGCGCCCACTTAAATGCGACATGTAAGTGGATCAGAATAGAAAGTGTTTAAAACCAAATATGCACCAGTATTTGGACTAATAGGAGCATCAGGAGAGTGTCTGGAGGAAGCTAACATCCCCATGTTCTTTATCAGCATCTCCTATTGTTTTTGGCACGGCTAATTAATGTTTTCTGAGTCTTTTGTAAAGTGTCACATAAAAGCAGCTTCAATGACCCCTTCCAATACCAAACTCCTCCTGAAGAGATACTTACCTTGGAACCAACCCTGGCCCTTTTCTGCTCAGTTTGGCTGTAACTTGCTTTTTATCCCTAGCTAGCCTTGTCTTGACTTTTCTGAGACTGAATTTTTAATCTTCAGTCTTTAAAATGAAGGATTAGATTTTGATATTCGAGATCATTCCACCTCTATGAGTCTTCCCTGTTACACAACACTACACATCTCTAATAGCCAGGAACAGTTTTGATTAAACAGATGCCCAAATGGCCTTACCTAATTTGAGAAAGAAAAAGAAATTCATAAAGGTCATTTAAAAAAGGGATTATGTGATTGATGGCAGGCTTTGCTAACTACATGTTCTATTTGCTGGGGGAAGGGGAGCAGCATCCACAGTCTTTTGGTAAGTTGGTGCCACATAACTTTGAGATTGTGATGAGTGTGCACAAACTTGACTGTTGTACTCTCAGAAAAGTGATTTGACCCCTGTGATAAGCAGAAAATAAAAGATTCCTGTCCTCCAACTCCGCCAGAAAAACCATACTAAGATAAAAACCATATGCAGGAAGCCATGATCAACTGGAGAAGAGATGGCGTGGCCAAAGTTCTAATGCTACCTGTCAGAAAACACCCCCTTTTGCGGAAAACCATCAATTGGACAAGAAATGGTGTGGCCAAAGTTCTAATCAGAAAACACCCCGTTTTAGGGAAAACCATCTTTACAGGTGGGTAGATCCAAACTACATCAAGCAGTACTCCAGAAAAAAAAAAAAGATTTGTTTTTTAGCCTCAATTTAGAGCTAATGTCCTTTAAAATGAATCTTGAGTCCACAAATATCTTTTGAACACTCATTACATACAAGATGCAATGCTTGGCACTGTGAGAAGAAGTCCTAGAAGATACACCCTGTGCTCTAAAAAGACCTATTCATCTAGCAAGCTATTACATTTTTGTGCAAATAAAAACTGTTTAAAGGTGCGCATGTGCCAAATTCAAGAAATGATACCACCTTAGTCAGCACTTGATAGTGTTCAATTTTATTTTGGTCCATTAAGTGATGCTGTTTTTGGTTACCTGACATATTGTTCAGCATTCCACATGATATAGAGTGGAGAACTAACAGGACTGTAATTCATCAATTTCCCTGGGATGGTTGCATTTGTATGTTAGACAAAAACTTCTGTCCTGGTCAGCTGCAAGTGCAGAGATGGCAGAGAAGCTAGTTGCTATCCTTCAAAGTGCCACAAAGTCACGGGGGAGAGTATGGACAAAGCAGGCTGAAGCCAGCGCTCTCAAGTTTTGCTGCCCACGGCCTTCTGTAATTGGCACATGGACATTATTCTAACAGCGATAGACGGTGGATACACCAAAGCAGAAAATGAATGGGTTGGTTGGGGCTGGGGACTCAAAGGAGACAGTCTTGACAGCAAATCTAGCAGCTAAATCCAAATTAAGCAAACCTGCTAATGCCACTCACTTAAAAAAAAAATCTTTCTTGCTCTCGCAACCAGAGCACCCAAGCATGATAACTGAGACCACAAGAAAAGGACAATGTGTGCTGAAAGGAAATTTGAGGGCTAACTTCTGTTGAGGGTAAATTTGAGTGATATTTTACTTATGAGCAGAAATCCAATTTTAATGTTGAGAAAGTGAGCTCTAATGGTCCGTTTGGAGCAGTGAGAAGGACGCTCTTCTCTGAAACACTGCATCAAGGACAAGACCACGTCTAGCCGGAATGAGAAGAAAAGTTTCTGGTTTACCCTAAAAGTGAAGTGAAAACAACACTGGGGAAGGGAGGAGATGTTGTGGGGGGTGGGGGCGCATGGGCGGTAGAGGTGGAGAGCCTTGGAAGGACAGGTTGTTTAACTGGAAGCAACTAGGGGCCTACATTATACCTATTTTCTGCTATCATCTAGAAATCAAAGCAGCAGCATTAGAAAAATTCACCCTTGTTCCCTTTTTGTATTGGCTGTCAAGAAACTCAACACTGCTTCTGAACCTTTATCTCATCAACAGCAAATATGTCAGCAGAATATAATAATGTTTTCATAGTACCCTGGGTTAAATAAAAAGGCTGCTGTAGGGCTAGAGGCTACTGCTGAGGGCTCCTGGGAATGAGCATCTAAGGAATGTCAGTATTCCATCAGTGGCAGTTAGTGGACACACACCAGTTAGGAGATTCTGAATTACAAATTGGCCTATTATATGTATCTATATCTTATATATTACATATTATGAATTGGCATATTATATATATCATATGTATGCATATATACCATATATGATCTTAGTTTTAGGCCCATATATTGGTCCATATTTTTGTAGTACTTGTTCTTTCCTCATAATAGATGGCGTTATATCTTTTATTTCTCTTTACATAATCTTACTTGATTTTAATTTCAAATTTCTCAGTTATTCTTTAGGTAACGTGTGGAGTACAAATTTAAAATACCATGCATATTACTTGGTGTGTTTGCTGTGTGCTAGGACCTATGATTTTACTGCTGTAAACCCACAGCAATAATAATAATCCTACTTCTTGGCAGGGTGAGGAAGCCAGCTTTTTTGAGGATTGGATAAAATCAATTCAGATAAAACATTTAGCCAATGCGTGGCACCTAGTAGGTGGGCTTTACACGGTAGACTTATTATTTTTCCATTTAATACTCCAATTTCCCTTTGTGGGGAATCGGGGGGATAAGAAAATGCAAGCTTCAAGGAGTAAAGGGCTGGACACAACCACATAGATACAAGACACTAAGCAAGAATTAGGAGTGCTCCCTGGCTTCAAAGCTGGTGTCTAAAACGTCTATCCCCTAAGGGGCCCTTGTATCGTGTCATGTGTCAGACCCCGGGTTGAACGCGAGGATTTTTGTGCTGTTCCCAGGGTCTCTCAAGAGCTCTCCTAGTACCGACCTCCTTGTGCTCGGTGGCCCCTGGCCCGAGGACCCCAGATGGGTGGCGGAGAAACGCAGGGGATAGAGACTAGCCCCCTAGCCGGGCTCCGTGGGCCCGGAGTGGATTCAAGGACCGGTGGCAGAGGGCGACTGCAAGTTGGCCCCGCAAAGCCAACAAGGGGAAGGGTAGGGTAGTGACGACATCACCTGGTCCTTCAATAGCCTCCCGGGAGGCTTCAGGAACTCACATCTCTTTCCCTTGACGAACAACGCAGGTGGTTTGCTGAATTAAGTGTTCCCGCCCCAAATTGAGATACAACGGGCTTTTTAGCCAGATTGGCGCAGACTGGGAGTTAAATCCAGCATTTTCCCGGCAAAGCTGAGCCTGGCCGCCGCGGAGCCCTCTTTCCGCTGTGCGGTGCCTCCGGCTCCGATCGCGGGCCCGGCGCCCCGGGACGCGCCGCCGAGGGTAGCTACGCGGCCGGGCTGCGGCCTCTCCCGGAGAGCCTGCGTGCGTGGTCTCTCTAGCTTGCTGCCCGCCGGCCAGGAAAACTCTGGGGACAAGCTGGAGCTGGCGGAGGTTCCCATCCGGCCACCCTTCCCGTCTGATTTCCTGAGCTGACGGTCACCGCCGGCGTTCGGGGACCAGCGGTTCCCTGTGCAAAGGGCTCGTTTCTCGATCGCCGCTGGATAGACCGCAACCGGGTTCTCAGAAAACACCCGAGCTACAGACCGCATGTAGCTTTAAACAGTTTTTAAAATGCGATTATGCTTGCGTCTTTATGAAAGCACATGGATGCAGTTATACGTATGCATTAAAAAACACAAACAATTCTGCATTGATTGCAAAGGAGCGCTTTCTGGTGGCAATGTAAACGGTCTAGTTTGAGACCCGTGATGACACACGTGAACTGAGTTGCCAAACTCATAGAAACTCCACACGGTAGATCTGTACATTGTGTCCCGTGTTAATTGTACGTCAACTGAAAAATCAGAACTTACATGAAAAGTACGAAGTGCCACTGCATACACGCATATCTAAAAGCCGGTAAGATGCGGCTATAGATGAGCACATTTACAGCAATGAAGGGCCACTCTGCCGGGTTGCTAGCTTATTCAAGCTTCGCATCGCCGGGAAAGGGATGGAAAGGCAGCTGACATCACTCGGGGCGGGGCCGTGAGTCCTGTGAAAAGTCGATGGGACTCGAGCAGCAGCCTCAGCTGCCTTGCACAGCCTCGCAATGAGCTGCCACAACTGCTCCGACCCCCAGGTCCTTTGCAGCTCCGGGCAGCTGTTCCTGCAGCCCCTCTGGGACCACCTGAGGAGCTGGGAGGCCCTCCTACAGTCGCCCTTCTTCCCGGTCATCTTCTCCATCACCACATACGTGGGCTTTTGCCTGCCCTTCGTGGTCCTGGATATCCTGTGCTCCTGGGTGCCCGCCCTGCGGCGCTACAAGATCCACCCTGACTTCTCGCCATCCGCGCAGCAGCTGCTACCTTGCCTGGGGCAGACCCTCTACCAGCATGTGATGTTTGTGTTCCCCGTGACGCTGCTGCATTGGGCCCGCAGCCCGGCCCTCCTGCCCCACGAAGCTCCCGAGCTGCTCCTGCTGCTGCACCACATCCTGTTCTGCCTGCTACTCTTCGACATGGAGTTCTTCGTGTGGCACCTGCTGCACCACAAGGTGCCCTGGCTGTACCGCACCTTCCACAAGGTGCACCACCAGAACTCGTCCTCGTTCGCGCTGGCAACGCAGTATATGAGCGTCTGGGAACTGTTTTCTTTGGGCTTCTTCGACATGATGAACGTCACACTGCTCGGGTGCCACCCGCTCACCACCCTGACCTTCCACGTGGTCAACATCTGGCTTTCCGTGGAGGACCACTCCGGCTACAACTTCCCTTGGTCCACTCACAGACTGGTGCCCTTCGGGTGGTACGGGGGTGTGGTGCACCACGACCTGCATCACTCTCACTTTAACTGCAACTTCGCTCCGTACTTTACACACTGGGACAAAATACTGGGAACGCTGCGGACTGCATCTGTCCCAGCGCGGTGATGTGGCTGCGGTGGGTGCCCCTAAGACTCGGGACTGCTGTGCCTTTCACACTTGAATGAAGAGAAACACCTGAGCTATATATTTTTTTAAAGCAACTAACTTATTGCTTTATGTTTATCTATGAAAACCATAGATAAAATCTGATGCATTTTTGTAATCTGACAAAGTAATTTACATACTGTTTGTGTATCAATACAATTTTGTGTTCTTGGTATTCTTAGTCTAGCTCACCTCAATAGCCTTGAATCCTGCATATGAATTAGACATTCATCACTGGCATATTTAGAATATCTCTAAAAGGACTTGTTTGTAGAATAAGGAATTTTCTATGTTTCAAAGTGTTCTAAAACCTGGCTAAAAGAATGTATTTTTGTGGATGGTGTTGACTTCTGACTCTAAAAGCAATCAAACATGTTTCTGCTGGACAGTGACCAAGAATTATAGTACCTTCTTATATTTTTTTATAGAACTGTATATTTATTTTGAAAGAAATGTTATTCGTGCTTTAAAAAGGAAAAAAAACCATGAATCAAATAAGTATTGACTTCCGTTTCACTGGTATTTTGACTGATAAAAAAGGGAAGAGGGAGCGGGCATACCAAGTGTCCTTCTAAGCCTCCATCAGCCTCACCATGGAAAGAGAGGAATCTGGGTGTAGGGTGTTCTGTTGGGGGTTGTTAGAGAAAAGGAGGCAGGAGAAGGGGCTCTGTTTGTTGTGCTCTAGCAATTTCATGGAGGAAAAACACGCTAATATTCTTAATGCTTTTCAGCTGATTTCTGTATAACAGGCAAATGATAGGATTACTCTGTAAAGTTTCATAGAAAGATTAACGCTGAGCAGTCAATCATTTTATTATTTGTGGGAATGGATTAGGGGAAGAACAGAATTGGAGGCGTGCCTTGCTTTGCAAAACTGGTGAGTCAATAGTATACACTAGAGTGGCTGATAGATGTGCAAGGGGATTCTGAGGAAGCCCCTGTTTTCATGAATCCATCCATAGCTACTGCAAATGAACATCAAAGCATTGCTTCTGAAATCTGGAATTTCTGTATATTCAGTTTTCTTAATTAAAACATACATGCAGCAGGTACAGCCCTTTCTAAAAGAAAGATAAAGTGAAATTTGGCCCTGGATCCCTGATTCCTCATGTGGAAAAGGAGGAGGTGTCCCAGATGTTCTTGCAGATGACAGTAAATATTCCTATTATTAACCACACACCCATCACCCATCACTCACCCCATCTAACTCCTGCCTATTCATTTTAGTTTTGTTTTTGGAATATATATAGTGTAGAGTTAAAAATCAAGACAATTTAGACACAATATAAAGAATGGCAGCTTTGTGTGTAATTCTTGGCTCATTATATTTGAACCAAACTGTCATGTTTAAAGGTAAAGCATCCATTTAGAGACCTGGTCTCCACGGTCTGCCAAATGAGACTCCCAAGAAATATGGTTAGGCCCTCCAAATGTTTGGCAGAATGCCCCAGAATGTGGAAGCTCACAGCCAGTTTTCCCATGTTCCCTTCAACGTGTGTGTTCCTTTAGCTTCTTGACTGAAGTTACCTCCTCCTCTGTCTGTATCAGGACCAGGCTGGGATTTAAAGATGATATTGATTTATAAAAGTGAAATCCATGAAAAGAGGAAGTGAGATGTGAGGAGAAAATGCTACATTGACGGTAGTATATTATTATCATGATGCACGTGGCACCTGGAGTAAGAAGAGACGGATAAACAGGCAGGTGTGGAATCTATGGTGCAACTATGAGTTGTAAGCAGCTGTAGGCACTCCAAAGCTGCCCTGTAAATCATGGATAATAACAATTTATCACAGCGTATCCTCAGAGAATTGTAAAAATGTATCATGTTGCATCACTGCATAAGGTAATTTTAGATTTTGGGCAAATTATACACATGGAAAGTGCACAATTTGGATTTAGAAATACTTTCTTACAATCGAATGTCTTAACAGTTTTTAATGCCTTGGGAGGTAGAACCGCGGAAGTGGAAAGGATGAGCAATTTTTCAGATAGCTTGAGAACCTGTTAATAAAAATAGTAAAGAAAAAGTTCATATGCGCATGCGCTGTCACACAATTTCTCACTTGCTCCTTACAACAACACCATAGGGATGTAGAATAGTTACTATTATCATCATCACCTCTGTTATGGATAGAGGATTGGTACCCACACAGGTTAAGTACTTTTTTCCAGATTACAAAATAGGAGGAGTGGGAGCCAGTTCTACTAAACTTAGGTCTGGTGGTGTATACTGTGCTTCTCTTCTGATAACTGCCAGAGAGCTGCAAACCCTGCAACACCAACAAATGGCCTCCCTCTGTTGTTCCTCCTTTGTTACTACCCCTAAAACAGTGTTACCCTGGCCCACTACTTCACTTCCACATGGCTGCCAAAGCCTCTGCCTGGGTAGGGGAGAAAGCCAGGGGAGGTAGAGCAAGGCCAGTCTAAGCAAGCCCTGGGAGAGCAGGAGGCAGGTCAAGGACTGTTTTCTGCATCCTTCATTGCACCTGTGCTACAAACGCAACTATTGCAGCCAGATTACCTGGGTGGGAATCTGGGTTCTGGGACTTACTAGCTGAGTGGCTTTGGATAAGGTACTTAACCTCTCTGCCTTAGCTTCCTTATCTGTTGATCATAGACTGTTCCTTGCTGAGTTGTTGTGAGGGATTTTTGAGTTACTAGACGCAAAGTGCTAGATGAATCCGAAATCCTGGCTGTAGTCGTGTTTGCTGTGACTGATGCTTCCCAGTGTGAGTGCTAGGACTGCAGTTCAGAATGGTCAAAGCTTTTTGTTCACAAACATGCTTGTGCTCGCTCATATTCCGGGGAATCAAATAAAGCCAAGTTGTTGGTTCTGCTTCCATCACAAGCTACTTCTCCCACCATCCTTTCAAGGCAAAAGTTTTATAAAGAGAAAGAAGTCTATGTTTGTTTGATTCTACTTCTTTACCTCTGAGTCATTCTACTCCCATTCCTCTGGAAACTTTTGCTCTGGGTTGCCTACTAATTTCCTAATTCTCAAATCCAGTGACTTTTCCCTGCTTGGTGTTCCATTTCCTTGGCTTTCTTTTCTTCTTCTTCTTTTTTTTTTTTAGAGGAATTTTATTTACAAACCAGCTCATCTTGGAATGTGGTTCTTGCTTTGCTTTAGTGAGGTTTCTCTCAACTCCTTTCCATCCTCATTCTCCAGCTGTTCCTTCTCTCTTCAATGGCTCTTCTTTCACCACAATAGGGAGGCAAGCCTCAAGGTGCTCCTCATTTTACTAAAAAATACCTGTATTGTTTATAATTAATATCCTCCCTACCATCTCCTAATGTAGTCTATAAATGTCCTACTGCATTGCATTCTAGTAAATAAGCACAATGTGTATACGCATGTATATTCACATACACCATGTATATGTGCATATGCATGTAACATGTAGACACGCTATATATGTACACACTATACACACAAACTCTATGACTACATGCTATTATATGTACACATAGATGTATTTAAACACTATATACATATGCTGTATATATGCACACATATATAAGCACACTGTATAGTATATATGTGTACACATTATATGTACACACACTATATATGTAAACATGTACAAACCTGCTATATTTGTACTAGATGTGTATACACACACTATGCCTCCTCTTCTCTCTCTCTTCACATACATAAACATAAACACACAACTATTTTTTTCCTATCTACCATTTATTTCTGCCTGTAGTACTATGCCTAGTTCTTAATAAACATTGGTTCAGTGTTGCATGAATCCTGGAAGAACTAGAAACACACCTTAGCCATTAATCATGCATTTCTCAAACATTCCTTCTTGTTCTTCTCCATCTTCCATCACTAGTCAGTTCCAGATTTCTAACTCAGGCCATGATCACCACTCATAAATCTCTGTTCTAGAGGAAGTCACACTCTACTGGGAAAGAGAGTCAGGCAAGCAAATGCATTTAATCTAATGTGGCCAGTGCTGTAATGGAGGATGTTAACAGGTTGTTAAGGGAGTTCAAAAAGAGATGGGACATTTGAGCTAAATCATGAAGGATTTGTGTCTTCACTAAGCAGGGTACAGGGCATACCTGGCAGAAGAAACAGCAGTTGCAAAATTAGAGAGAGATCAAAGAACTTGACATTCCTGAAACATGGCAGGAAGCTCTGAGCACTGAATAAGCAAGGAAGAAATGTGTCCGACACTCAAGGTATTCAAGGTACATGTCTAACAAGGCAGTTACAGCCTGGAATTGGGTCCCAGCAACAAACATTTGCTGTCTTGCCTCTTCACAAGCTATTGAAACTTTTTAGAACTGTTGACTCACCTGCTTATGTCCCAGGGTTTTTGAGAGATTGTATGTAAAATTGCTTTGAAACAAATGTTAGAGCTTCTTGTTATTTGTCGATTTATAATGAATAGACGGATAAATGCATTGAAACCTGGACTTGGGCTATTGAGGGAGTGGGGAGGGTGGTCCACAGATTTCAAGCAAGGGAGTGACATTAGATCTGGTTCAAGAAGGTAACTGGCAGCAGTGAACAGTGACAGTGATTCCAGTTAGGCGACCGTGGCAAGTTCTGCCTGGATTCCAATCCTGGCTCCACTGCTTATAAACTCTGTGACCCTGAACAAGTTACATACTGTCTCTTGCTGAGTGAGTATCAAGAAGGCAGTTATGGGACACTACTTAGAAATTGCTGCTATCAATATTCTTTGCTAATCATTTGCCTAAACCCAACATAAATAGCTCCGCCGACTTGTAGCAACTTGAGTGAAGTGTTTATTTCAAATTTTGCTAAGATCCACCCTGCCACATACTTTTGTGGGTTCATAGTGTGAACATTTTTTTTTATTTCTGCGAACTCTGAAAAGCTTTGTTTAAAAAATGTTTAAAAAAGCATTCACACAACGGACTATGACTCAGCAATAAACAGAAAAAGATGATTAATACATGCAGCAATAAGGTTGTGTCCTAATTATGCTGAGTAAAAGAAGCCAGACAAAAAAGATTATTTACCATATAGTTCAATATAGTTCAATCCTATAAAACTCCAGAAAATGCAAATGAATTCATGGGGACAGAAAGTAGATCAGTAGTTTGATGAAGGGAGGGGCAGCAAACATAAATTACCAAACGGGTATGAGAAAACATTTAGTAATGAGGGATATGTTCACTATCTTGATTGTGGGGATGGTTTCACAGGTGTATACAAATACCAACAATTATCAAATCGTATACTTTAAATATGTGTAGTATATAGTACGTCAATTAGACCAAATGTTGATGGTGATGATAAATTAATCTAGGACCTCATGTTCTGAGTTTTAGCTTTGAAGTCAATTTACCATGAAAACACACACACACACACACACACACACACACACACATACACACACCAGTCTATAATCCATCCTTTGCTCATCCATTCTCCTGACCTACCAGAGAAAGCCTCTGGTAGGAAGGCATGTCTGGGAGCCTGCAAAACCCATACCCCTTTCTTTAAGAACTTCCTCAACTCCCACTATGTACACACACAAACACAGATTGGGTCCCTGTATCTATTGTTATACTATATGATCCCTACATCATGGCCACAGCTTTCTGTACCAAAGTTGGAAATCTGATCCACCTGGGAAGAATTAGGCTATTTTCCAGGAATTTAGGATATGTAAACCAGCAGATCCAGGTGACCATTTTGGGGCTGCCATTCGTACTGTGTGAATAATGATGCCAAGAAAGCCCATCTGTACATAGAATGAAAGGAGGATGAGCAGATTTTCAGGGAGTGGGAAATGAGAGACACATACCCCTAGAAGGAGTGGAAAGGGCAATGGCAGTTCTGGGAGCAGACCACTGACCTGGTTTCTGGAAGCTCTATAGGCCCAGGTTCTCGACCCTAAACCTGCTACACTTTTTGCCTTTGGGTTCCATGACTTTCTAATAGATTCCTCTTCTTGGGCTGGTTAAATACCTTTCTGGTTCTTGTATGTAAAGAGGACATTGGTTAAAACCTGAGGGTTCTGTGGTGTCCTTTTGCATTTAGGTTGTAGGAGGAAGCCCCTTAGCACAAACCTCTATAGGAGGTTTTTTGTGGTTGTCATCAGTGGACAATGAATAGCCACATCCTAATTGACAGCCAGAGGCTGTGGTGCCCCACAGGCCAGGAAGGCAAACTGACTATGTGTGGTTGTTAGGGGCCAATGTGGAGAACAAAATGAGCATTCTGACATTATTTAGTACCAGCCAACCCCATCTTGACCTCCTATTACCCAAGGTGAGCAAGTGCTGTTTTATAGCAATTCAAATACAGACTTTATTCCAAATGTTTGCTAAAGACATCTCAAGTCTCATAAAAAAGACTTTGAACCAAAGCCTAATTGGAAGCCCAAACTTTATCTCAATCCCATCCTTCCCATGGAGGGTATATCCTTATTTCCTAACAGACCTCTTATGGGTAATGGGTCCTATAGTGCCACATTGTGTTCTCCATGGGTTTGAGGTCCCGGCGGATGCTAGCAGCTTTCTAATACACACCTTGACTTCCTCTGTTGGGCTAACTTTCCATTTGTCACATCTTGACACCTCTTGGTATTTTTCCTGTCTCAGTGTTTGTTTCCAGCTGTGTCTCTTTTCTGCCTTGTTCTTTTGTTTTGTTCTTGGCTGACATTTATCAAATGCTTACTAGGTACGAGATTCTCTCAACTCATTTTACATCCAGTAACTCATTTAATTCCTAACAGCAACCCATGAATGACACAGAGACATTCAGAAACTCATCTCATATCTTTTAGCTAGTAAGTGGCAGAACCATGGTACACACCAGGCACACCCTTTTGGAACCTGCCCTTATCAGTTGTCATCACTGGACTCTGCCATCCCCTCAGGAGCTCAGTTTTTCTTTGTCACATCTTCTTCTCATGATCTCATAGAAAAATGAATCAAAGTTTGCTTAGAAGAGTTTTGTCTTTGAGAACTTGTTCCATTTTCTGCAAGGAAAAGGTGAGTTGCTACAAGCACAGATTATATTTTCATAACAAGAAGCTAGACTGTGAATCAACCCATTCAAAGGGATATGACCATAGGCAGCTTTTCCCATATAACCCACTACTAGACTTGCTCACGGGGATGGTATGAGATTGGATAGAAGGACTAGTATTCATCGATGAAAGAAAAAAGTGGACCATAAATGAAAAAAGTTTGCAAAAAAAAAATTTGTATACAGTGCAGGTATAACATACATTATTCTGGTCAGATGGGGAGGAGACCTCCTGAAGGGCAATGAAGAGGGACGAGAAAGGGACTGCAGAGGTGGGTTTCAGACCTGGTAGCTGTGCAGCCAGCCAGCTGTGCATCTAGCCAGGAGCTGTGGTCTGGTTGTCCAAGGTTGGGACTTTTTTCTGGTTTGACCCTCCTAGTGGGCTGCTCTGGTTGAGGGCTTTGACCGTGTTACCAGCACAGAGCCCAGCACATCAGGCCATTCAAAACTACTCTATGTTGCCTCCCTGGCCTAATGCTCAGCACTTCAATTCAACCAACACCTTAATGAGCACCTACAGTGTGATAATAAATAATCATGGTAACAGTGACAAGAATAATGATAATAATGGCTATTATAGAACAATTACTGACTATAGCTCATAGGTATTGTGCTAAATGCTTTGCACATATGATTCCTTTTCATCCTTAAAACAACCTTCTTTTCTTTTCTTTTTTTTTTTTTTTTTTTTTTTTTTTTTGAGATGGAGTCTTACTCCGTCAACCAGGCTGGAGTGCAGTGTCGCGATCTTGGCTCACTGCAACCTCTGCCTTCTGGGTTCAAGCAATTCTCCTGCCTAGCCTCCCAAGTAGCTGGGATTACAGACATGGACCACCATGCCCTACTAATTTCTGTATTTTTAGTAAAGATGGGGTTTCACCATGTTGGCCAGGTTGGTCTTGAACTCCTGATCTCAGGTGATCTGCCTGCCTTGGCCTCCCAAAGTGCTGGGATTACAGGCGTGAGCCACTGCGCCCGGCCAAAACAATCCTATTTTCAAAGCCAACAATCTGCTTGGTTAAGTAATACCTTTATTAACTCACCTCAAAGATCCACCCCAGATGATAAACAAATACATAAACAAATTAATTTCAGATTATGTTAATGCTATGAAAAACAGTGAACTGATTTGATATGATGGAGAGGATCTGAGAGGTGGGGAGGCTTCCTGCAGAAGGGGGATAAGGGAAGGCCTCTTTGAGAAAGTGATGTTTAAGAGGAGACCTGAATGACAAGAGGGAGCCAGCCAGGTGAAGTAGGTTGTGTGTTCATTCCTATTTCTCAGACAAGAAGGAAAGTTTAAAGTAATTGCCTAAGATCAAATAGCTCTATGGTAAAAGCCAGAGCTGGGGCCCAGGGTGGTCCTATCATTTTGCTCCAGTCTCTTCCAATGTGTTCACTCAGCATGTCATGCCCTCTTTCAGCTGCCATTGCTTCACCTGTCCAAGGGTTCTTCCTTGTTTCCGGCTATTGCCATTCAAATTCCTTTCCTGTTATCCATTTCTCTCTTACCTCTGATTTTCCAGGTTCAAGCTCATTAGCCAGTTGTTAAGGCAGGTTTTATCCTTAGATAAAGATTATCTTCTAAAGCGGTATCCGGCCTCCGTAGTAACTGTGGCCTAGGGTTGTACATGCCTTGTGCAGAGGCACTGTGTCTGTAGGATGCCCTTGGGGCTGAAGAGCTTCCATTCCATCCCAGATCCCAGCCTGCAGAATAAAGATAACTAAACTCTGACAGGTTGGGATATGGAATGGAATGGACGTATGCAAATAAATTATGTATGCAAATAATGACATTCTACCTCTTCCTTTTCTGTCTAGATGCCTTTTTTTTTTTTTTTTTTCCTTTTTCTAGCTTTCTTGCTCTGGCTAGAAGGC
This sequence comes from Homo sapiens, assembly GCF_000001405.40. NCBI lineage: Eukaryota > Metazoa > Chordata > Mammalia > Primates > Hominidae > Homo > Homo sapiens. Next base: position 89,197,529 of record NC_000010.11, on the reverse strand, counting down.
TATAACCTCCAGTAAAAATGGACTAGAAGTAATATAAGAGAGGATATCCTTGCCTTGTTCTTAATCTTAGAGAAAAAACACTCATTGTTTCACTGTTATGTCTGAAATTATCTCTAAATGTTTTGTACATGACCTCCATCAGATTGAAGAATTCCCTTTTATTCCTAGCTTTCTGAGAGTTTTAAATAAAAAATGGATATAATGTTAAAAATGAAATTTTCTTATTATCCTCGTAGTATCTGTAGAATGTATATTTATCTCACATACCCATACCTAACATAGATAAGTTGTGTCTTTTTTCCCTCATCACTTTAAATAGAGGTTTATCAATTTTACTGGTCTTCTGAAAGAATGTGCTTTTGCTTTCATTTGTTTTTTATATTGTTTTCTTTTTATATTTCACTTATTTCTATTTTCATCTATATTAATTCTTGTAGTCAGCTTACTTTGATTTGAATTTGCTCTTCTTTCTGTAGGTTCCTAAAACATGAACTGGGTTGATGTATGGAGAAGAACTGGAGGTGAGGGAGAGTTCCTGCCCAAAGGGTATAAGGGAAGGCCTCTTCCAGGAAGTGCTATTTAAGAGGAGAAAGTTGATGTCATTGCTTTAATATTTTCTTTTCTAATGATATAGATATTTTGACACTATAAAGTTCCCTACAAGCACTGCTTTGGCTGTAACCTAAAAATTTTGTTATGTTGTGTTTTCATTTTAATATAATTCAAAATAATTTCCGATTTCACTTTTGATTTATTTTTTTGTCCCATAACCATGTCAAGTATGTTATTTAGTTTCAAACATTTGGAGAGCTTCCAAATATCTCTCTGTTACTGATTTCTAATTTAATTCCATTTTGTTCAGAGACCATAGTTTGTATGTTTTTTAAAAAAATTGAGATAAAATTTACATAACATAAAATTCACCATTTAAATTACTTTAAAGTGCCCAACTCAGTAGATGTCAGTATATTCACAAAGTTGTCTGTCACCACTATCAAATTCCAGAGGATTTTCATCACTCCCACCCAAAAATCCATACTCCTTACCAGTTACTCCTCATTCACTGCTCCTGCTAGTTTCTAGTAGGGAACATTAATCTTTCTATCTCTATGGCTTTATTTATTCTGCCATTTTATTAAAAATAGTATAATTTAAATATTATAGCTATTTTGATGGGACAATAGTATCTCACTGTGATTTTGATTTGCATTTTCTAATGACTAATGATGTTGAGCATCTATTTATGTTTTTTTTTTTTTGAGACGGAGTCTGTCTCTGTCGCCCAGACTGGAGTGCAGTGGTGCGATTTTGGCTCACTGCAACCTCCGCCTCACAGGTTCAAGTGAGTCTCATGCCTCAGCCTCCCAAGTATTGGGATTACAGGTGCCCGAAACCATGCTTGGCTAATTTTTGTATTTTTAGTAAAGACAGGGTTTCACCAGGTTGGCCAGCCTGATATCAAACTCCTGACCTCAGATGATCCACCTGCCTAGGCCTTCCAAAGTGCTGAGATTACAGGCATGAACCATTGCACCCGGCCTATTTATGTTCTTACTGATAAAATAGTGTGGAACTTCAAATATAATGTTGAATAGAAGTGATGAGATTAGACCTCCTTGTCTCATTATTAGGGAGAGCACTTACAGTCTTTCACCATGAAGTGTGATGTTATCTGTGGGGTTTTTATGCTCCTTATCATGGTCCCTCTGTTCCTAATTTGTTGTGTGTTTTTGACAAGAAAGGGTGTTTGATTTTTGTCAAATGCTTTCTCTGTATATATTGAGATGATCGTGTAGGATTTTCCCCCTTTATTCTATTAATTTAATCTGATTGACGTTGAAGCACACTGGAATAAATCCACTTTGTTATGATGCATAATCATCCTTTTAATATGCTGCTGGATTTGGTTACTTAGCATTTTGTTGTGTATGTTTACATCTATGCTTATAAGGGATTTTGACTTGCAGTTTTCTTTTCTGTATTGACTTTGGCATCAGGGTAATTATGCTGCCTTTCTAGATTGAGTTAGAACATGTTCTCTCCTCATCTATGTTTTGGAATAGTTTGAGAAGGTTTGGTGTTAATTATTCTCTGAATGTTTGATAGAATTCACAAGTGAAGCAATTCGAACCTGCACTTTTCTTTATTGGAATATTTTGATTACTAACTCATTATCTTTACTTGTTAAAGTTTTATTCAGATTTTCTATTTCTTCCTGAGTTAGTTTTGGTAGTTTGTATGATTCTAGAAATTTGTTCATTTCATCTAGGTCATCTAATTTGTTGTCATAAAATTGTTCATTGTATTCTCTTATAATCATTTTTATTTCTGTAAAGTTGGCTGTAATATCTTCATTTTTATTTCTTATTTTACTTATTTTAGTCTTCTCTTTTTTATTGATCAACATAGCTCAAGATTTTTCAATTTCATTAATATTTTCAAAGAATCATCTTTTGGCTTCATCAGTTTCCTTTTTTTGTTCTTTTTTAATTCTCTATTTCATTTATCTCTATTCTAATTTTTATTACTTCTTGTCTTCTGCTGGCTTTGGGTTTTGTTTGCTCCTCTTTTTCCTGTTCTTGAAGGTGTAAAGTTCTTGATTTGAAGTCTTTCTCCTTTTATTTTTGATTTTTTTATTTTTGGAGATGGAGTCTTGTTCTGTCACCCAGGCTGGAGTACAGTGGCATGATCTTGGCTCACTGCAACCTCCACCTCCTGGGTTCAAGCAATTCTCCTGCCTCAGCCTCCCAAGTAGCTGGGACTACAGGTGCACACTGCCATGCCCGGCTATTCTTTCTCCTTTTAAAATGTAGAAACTTACAGGTATAATTTTCCCTATGAGCACTCTTGCTGCGTATGATAACTTTGGCATGTCATGCTTCCATTTTTTTTCATCTCAAATAATTTTCTGGTTCCCATGTGGTTTCTTCTTTGACCTATTGGTAATTAACAAACATTATTTAATTTGCACATATTTGTGAATTTTTAAATTTTTTTGTTATTGGTTTCTAATTTAATTCTTTTGTGGGCAGAAAATATATTTCACATAACTTTAATCTTTGGAAGGTAAAGGGAGGGAAAAAGACATTCTATATGAATGGACACCAAAAGCAAACAGGAGTAGCTATTCTTATATCAGACATAACAAACTTTAAAGCAACAGCAGTTAAAAAAGACAAAGAGAGACATTATATAATGACAGAAGGCCTTGTCCAACACGAAAATATCACAATCCTAAATTCCTAAATGTATATGCACCTAACACTGGAGTTCCCAAATTTATAAAACAGTTACTACTAGACCTAAGAAATGAGACAGACAGCAACCTAATAATAGCGGGGGGCTTTAATACTCTACTGAGAGCACTAGACAGGTCATCAATACAAAAAGTCAACAAAGAAACAATGGATTTAAACTACACCCTGAAACAAATGGACTTAACAGATATTTACAGAACATTCTACCCAACAACTGAAGAATATACATTCTATTCTTCAGTGCATAGAACTTTCTCCAAGATAGACCATATGATAGGCCACAAAACAAGTCTCAATAAATTTAAGAAAATTGAAATTACATCAAATACTCTCTCAGACCACAGTGGAATAAAACTGAAAATCAACTCCAAAAGGAACCTCCAAAACCATGCTAATACATGGAAATTAAATAACCTGTTCCTGAATGATCATTGGGTCAACAATGAAATCAAGATGGAAATTAAAAAATTCTTCCAACTGAACAATAATAGTGACAAAACCTATCAAAACCTCTGGGATACAGCAAAGCAGTGCTAAGACGAATGTTCATAGCCTTAAATGCCTACATCAAAAAGTCTGAAAGGGCACAAATAGACAATCTAAGGTCACACCACAAGGAACTAGAGAAACAAGAACAAAACAAACTGAAACCCAGCAGAAGAAAGGAAATAACCAACATCAGAACAGAACTAAATGAAACTGAAGCAAACAAAAAAATACAAAAGATAAATGAAACAAAAAGCTGGTTCTTTGAAAAGATAAATAAAATTGATATACCATTAGCAAGATTAACCAAGAAAAGAAGAGAGAAGATCCAAATAAGCTCAATTAGAAATGAAATGGGAGATATTACAATTGACACCACAGAAATACAAAAGATCATTTAAGGCTACTACGAACAACTTTATGCACATAAACTAAAAAACTTAGAGGTGATGGATAAATTCTTGGAAAGATACAATCCTCCTAGCTTAAATCAGGAAGAGTTAGAAACCCTGAACATACCAACAACTCGCAGCGAGATTGAAATGGTAATAAAAAAATTACCAACAAAAAAATTCAGGACCAGATAGATTCACAGCTAAATTCTACCAGACATTCAAAGATGAATCGTTACCAATCCTATTGACACTATTCCACAAGATAAAGAAAGAGGGAATTCTCCCTAAATTATTCTATGAAGCCAGTATCACCCTAATACCAAAACCAGGAAAGGACATAACAAAAAAAGAAAACTACAGACCAATATCCCTGATGAACAAACATGCAAAAATTCTTAACAAAATACTAGCTAACTGAATCCAACAGCATATCAAAAAGATAATCCACCATGATCAAGTGGGTTTCATACCAGAGATGCAGGGATGGTTTAACGTACACAAGTCAATCATTGTGATATACCACATAAAAAGAATTAAAAACAAAAATCACATGATCATCTTAATGGATGCAGAAAAAGCATTAGACAAAATCTAGCATCACTTTATGTATCAGTCAGGGTTCTCTAGAGGGACACAACTAATATATATATTAGTTTATATATAAACTCCCCTTTATATATATATATATGCACACAATAATATATATATGTACACTACATATATATAATATACCCCTTTATGTATATATACACAAACTAATATATATATTAGTTTATATATATTAGTTTATATATAAACTCCCCTTTATATATATATACACACATATATACATACACACATATATATGTACTTTATATACACATATATAAAAATAAATAAAATGGATAGACCATTAGCAAGATTAACCAAGAAAAGAAGAGAGAAGATCCAAATAAGCTCAATTAGAAATGAAACAGGAGACATTACAAGATATTACAATGGGAGAAAGATGTAGGCTGAGAGGCTAAGCCAGTCTCGTCTTTTCACGTTCTTCTGCCTGCTTTTTATTCTGGCTGTGCTGGCAGATGATTAGATTTCGACCACCCAGATTAAGGGTGAATCTGCTTTTCCCAGCCCACTGACTCAAATGTTAATCTCCTGTGGCAACACCCTCAAAGACACACCCAGGATCAATACTTTGCATCCTTCAATCCAATCAAGTTGACACTCAGTATTAACCATCACAGTTTATGACTAAAATCCTCAGCAATATCAGCATACAAGGGACATCCCTCAATGTAATAAATGCCATCTATGACAAACCAACAGCCAACATAATACTGAATGGGAAAAAGTTAAAATCATTCCTTCTGAGAACTGGAACAAGACAAGGATGCCCACTGTCACCACTTCTATTCAACATCACGCTGGAAGTCCTAGCCAGAGCAATCAGACAAGAGAAAGAAATCAGGGGTATCCAAATCAGTAAAGAGGAAGTCAAACTGTAGCTGTTTGCTGATTATATGATCGTACACCTAGAAAACCCTGAAGACTCCTCCAAAAAGCTCCTTGAACTAATAAATTCAGTAAAGTTTCAGGATACAAAATTAATATACAAATCAGTACAAATCAGTAGCTCTGCTATACACCAACAGCAATCAAGCTGAGAATCAAATCAAGAACTCAACCCCTTTTACAATAGCTACAAAAAAATAAAGTACTTAGAAATATACCTAACCAAGGAGGTGGAAGACCTCTGCAAGGAAAACTACAAAACACTGCTTAAAGAAATCATAGATGACACAAACAAATGGAAACACATCCCATACTCATGGATGGGTAGAATCGATATTGCGAAAATGATCATGCTGCCAAAAGCAAGCTACAAATTCAAGGCAATTCCCACCAAAATACCACTACCATTCTTCACAGAACTAGAAAAAACAATCCTAAAATTCATATGGAAGCAATAAAGATCTCTCGTAGCCAAAGTAAGATTTAGCAAAAAGAACAAATCTGGAGGCATCATATTACCCAACTTCAAATTACACTATAAGGCCATAGTCACCAAATACCATAGTGCTGGCATAAAAATGGGCACATAGGTGAATGGAACAAAATAGAGAACCCAGAAATAGACCCAGATATTACAGCCAACAAATCTTCGACAAAGCAAGCAAAAACATAAAGTGGGGAAAGGACACCCTATTCAACAAATAGTGCTGAGATAATTGGCCAGCCACATGTAGGGAATGAAACTGGATCCTCATCTCTCATCTTAAAAAAAAATCAACTCAAGATGGATCAAGGACTTAAATCTGAGGCCTGAAACTATAAACATTCTAGAAGATAACATGGAAAAACCGTTTTAGATATTGGCTTAGGCAAAGATTTCATGACGAAGAACCCAAAAACAAATGCAATAAAAACAAAGATAAATAGGTGCAACTTAATTAAACTGAAGAGCTTCTGCATGGCCAAAGGAATAGTCATCAGAGTCAATAGACAACCCAAAAAGTGGGAGAAAATATTCATAATCTATACATCTGACAAAGGACTAATACCCAGAATCTACAAGGAGTTCAAACTAATTAGCAAGATAAAAACAAACAATCCCATCAAAAAGTGGGCTAAGGGCATAAATAGATAATTCTCAAAAGAAGATATACAAATGGCCAACAAACATATGAAAACATGCTCAACATCAGGAATGATGAGGGAAAAGCAAGTCAAAACCATAATGCAATACCACCTTACTCCTGCAAAGATAGCCATAATCAAAAAATAAAAAAATAATAGATGCTGGCGTGGATAAGGTGAAAAGGGAACACTTCTACATTGTTGGTGGTAATGTAGACTAGTACAACAAAGAACTAAAAGTAGAACTACCATTTGTTTCAGCAACCCCACTACTGGGTATCTGCCCAGAGGACAAGAAGTCATACAGAAAAGATACTTGCACACGCAAGTTTATAGCAGCACAATTCGTAATTGCAAAAATGTGGAACAAACCCAAATGCCCATCAATCAATTAGTGGATAAAGAAACTGTGGTATATACATATATGATGGAACATTACTCTGCCAGAAAAAGGAATGAGTTAATGACATTCACAGCAACTTGGATGGAATTGGAGACTATTATTCTAAGTGAAGTAACTCAGGAATGGAAAACCCAACATTGCATGTTCTCACTCATAAGTGGGTGCTAAGCTATGAGGATGCAGAGGCATAAGAATGATACAATGGACTTTGGGGACTCTGGAGGTGGGGGGGAAAGGGTGGGAAGGGGGTGAGGGATAAAAGACTACAAATTGGGTTCAGTGTATACTGTTCAGGTGATAGGTGCACCAAAATCTCATAAATCACCACTAAATAACTTAGTCATGTAACCAAATACCACCTTTTCCTCAAAAAACATATGGAAATAATTTTTTAAAAGGTAAAAAGTCTTGTATTTCCCTGCTGATCTTCCATCTAATTATTCTGTCCATTATTTAAAGTGGGGTTTTGAAGTTATTGTTAAACTGTTTCTCCCTTCAATTCTGTCAGTTTTTGCTTCACACGTTTTGGGGATCTGTGCTAGGTGCATATGTGTGTTGAATAGCTATATCTTCTTGAAGAATTGAATCTTTTATCATAATCCAATCATTTTTGTCTCTTATAAAAATATTTGTCTTTTTTTTTTTGAGACAGCTTCTCCTAAGCTTTTCCTTTCAAGTCTTTCCTCCCAAGGTTTCGGTTAGTTAATTGCTTGCCCAATTGCTATCTATTGCCCAAGCAGCAGCACTGGGTGAATCCAAATTAGGTTAGATAAAGGCAGGCTTTTTGGGCTTATCCTCCAAGCAGACACCAAACTGGTCATAACAAATGACCAAAGTTCTTTGGGAACAAAGTGCATTCTGCTCCTGCCATTACCAGTACCTGTAATAGGAATGCAGAATGTTATCTTTAAGGCAACTGTTGAGATGGGAAATGGGGCATGAAGCCAGGGTAAATTAAAAGGACAAAAAGTTATCTGTTCTTATTGAGAGTCAGCCAATTTTTATTCATTAAGCATTTTCCTGGTTCTTGCAAGCTTTTGTTTAGTTTCCAAAGTTCCAATAAAAGTTGATTCTGATAGTTTTTGATAGTTTTTCCGTTACCTTTAAGAAGGGATAATTTTTTGAGTTTCTTACCCTCCATTTCAACTCCTACTTTGTATGTTTTGAATAATTTAAAATTTCTGAAGGCTGTTTGTGGTTGAGAATATGATCTATCTTGGAAAATGTTTCACGTGTGCCTGTATGAGTCAGCTTGGGCTGCTATAACAAAATACTATAGATTGGCTGGCTTAAACAATAGATATTTATTTCTCATAGTTCTGGAGGCTATGAGGTGCTGGCCAATTCAGTTTCTGGTGAGGGTCCCCTTCCTGGCTTGCAGACAACCACCTTCTCACATGATGCTGAGAGGGCAAGCGATGGTCACTCTTCCTCTTCTTAGAAGAACACAAATTCCATCATGGGAGCCCCACTCTCATGACCTCATCTAAACTTAATTGTCTCCCAAAGGCTCCACCTCCAAATACTATCACATTGGGGGTTAGAGCTTCAATACTTAGGGCTCCAAAATAATTTTTTTTTTTGTTTTTGGAGTGGAAACAAACATTCAATCTATAACAATACTTGCAAAGAATATGTATTCTCTTCTTGGATGAAGTATTCTGTAGTTGTTTAGTACATCAAGTTGATTGAAGTGTATTCCATGTTTCTTATATCCGTATTTTCTTTCTACTTGTTCTCTCAATTATTGAAAGTGGGTTTTGGAAATCTCCGATTATAATTGTAGATGTGTCTGTTTCTTCTTTTAGTTTTATCAATTTTTGCTTCATTTATTTTGAACTCTGTGAGGTATATTTTTACATGAGGTATACAAAAACTTAGGATCATAATGCACTCCTGATTTACCAAGCAACTACTGTGTGACAACCATTCTTCTACTTGCTTTTTTACATGTAAACTCCTTCACTGTTAAAAGCTTATTCAGTAAATGCCATCTTATTTTTAAAGAGGAGAAAAAAATGGAGGCACAAAGTGGTGAAGAACCTCACACAAAGTTTTATATAGCAGAATAAAAACCCAAACATGAGGCTGCAGTGCTCTCAATTTTAACTAGTATGTTATTTTAGGTGTGGAGGGGGGATTTGAACTTAGAGTAAGGTCACACAGAGGAATATGATTAAATTGCAAGCTCCCTTGGAAACTGAGCCTTTGTCGTAGCAGTTGTTGAACTGGTTCAAATCATAGCATATCAAGTATATCTATTATTAGACGAAAGCACAAAACATATTTTCTTGCAAAACAAAAGTAATTTAGCTTGGAGGCATCATTTAAATTTCACATGTTTCTGTTTCCATCTTGGTAGTCATGTGTGGTCTTAGAGCTGATTTCTCTTTTCCTATCCCTGGATTATACAAAAGCAGTCCCAAGGTGGCTGATGAGAAGAAAGGATATATCTTAAAAAGATTTTAGTTAGTCCTGTAAAAGCCATTGCCAAGGAAGCTCAGTAGTCAACCCCAGTTGGCCAATAGAGCTTTATTCAAATGCCTTCTGCAACCTCCTCTGTTTCTTGCTAAATCATTTAGAGATAGAACACTGGACTTCTAATGAAAAGAAGGGATTTGAGTTTTAGCTTTTTCACCTACTAACTTTGTGACTATGAAAAAGTGACATAACTAATCTGCACCATCAAACTACTATAGTACCTACTAAAAAGGTTATTTTGAGGGTAATACATAAAGCACCATTTAAATATGGGGTATTTTCCTTATTCTTATTTTTCTTCTTTTAAATAAAGGATGCCTGCCTCCTCCAGTATCTGCTTGGCAGCCTGCAAGTCATTACAAATAAATATTATTTAATAAGTTCCTTCCATTTATCAGGCACTTTTGTCTACACCATCTCATTTAGCCCTCATTAACCCAGCAACCTTATAGAATCTTTTTCACAATTGCCAAAGGAGGAAATTGAGGTTCAGAGAGATTACATGACTTACCCATAACTACCCAGAGTGTATGTGGAAAACCAGGGTACAAATTCAGTTTGTAAGTAAAGCGTTTTTTCCCCACCCATCACCTCCTCTCTCCTCTCTCCAATAATATGCTCTCTAAGTCAGCCATGTACAGCCATGCAGGTTGTACACTGAACAACTCCAGGGAGTGTCATTTTTGTAGGCGGTAATGTGAATGGCACCCCCTAGAGATGTGGAGTGCTCAACTTGCAGAGCTATATGAGGAGGCCCTGGATCCTGTAATGTGTTTTGTTCAGAGTCAAGAAGATTTTACTGATAACCATATCCTCACCTCAGCCTTCTTTCAATCATTCTGGAGTTGCTTTCAATGCTTTTATAAATCTGAGTAAATGACCTAAAGGAATCTGTCTGATCACACCACCTCTCACCATGTGGTGGGACTTTCTCAATGTCATGGTAATTCATATGCCTGCATTTGTTCTATTAGTTGAGTATTTGCTTTCCACATGCTTCTACCTGCCTGCCAGCTTCCAAAAATTACCGTGAAAGAAATTGGCTGGATTTGGCAGGAAGAGGCCAAAACAGGCAAAAAGTGAACTACTGCCTTTGAGTTTGTCTTGACAAATTGCCTTAATGCACTTGTGAGTGTTTAAACCATTTAAAGACTTAGAGGCAGTGTTCAAAGAAAGAAGCCCTTTCATGTCTTATTTTCCAGAAAATGCAGATTAGCACCACTCTGTGCTTTTGGCTGTGAGATATGACTTCATCCATATATGGGAGGAAGTAAAATTAAGAGATAAATTAGAGAACATGAATACTTTTCATTTAGGCTTATTTCTTTCTTCGCTAGGACAGCTCCCTAAATGCTGTGGTATAGAGGCCCTTCCTACCAGCTAGGTTTTAATAAAGGTGTTTGTACTCAAGGGAGTGCAAGCAGTAGAAACACTTTTGGTGCAACTGAGAAGGTCTAGGGCCTGGGTTGGGCCCAGTTAATGATTTGATTTAGTTACCTCAGTTTTATAGAATGCTTTCCAGTCAGGAATGTTTATATATATTATAACCTTGTGAGTTTGGATTGATAGACAATTTTTCATCTAGCAAACAAGTCATCTGGAGCCTGAAGCTGAAAATGTCAAACAAGATGTCCAAGTTCACAAAACATTTTCACTTTCAATTCAGGATCCCCATAGCAACTTCTGTATCCATTTGGAGGTCATGGAGATTTAAATCCTTTGCTTTCTCTAGTCCTAAACCCAAAGATGGATAACATTTAAAACCTCTCCAAATTATTATAGTGTTTCTAGACTAATTATAGTTGAGTGACCATTCCAGTAGAGTAAATTCATAACAATGTAAGCAGCCTTATCCAGAAACAGCCCTTTCTATATTAACAGCCCTTTATCTCAACTGCAAGTGCCAACATAAACAGTAAGTGGGAGGAACTTCAATCATTGTCTATTAAGAATTGCTTCAACAAGGACTACCTCAAGACCAAGCAGATATTCACACCCCAATGTAAACATGGGGTGTTTACATTGTTACCCTGGGATATAAATAGAAATGTGATAGGAGCCTAATGTAAACTTTACATTGCACTCCTGTAAACTTTACATTGGCCTTCTATTGACCTATGGAGTTATAGGTGGCTAGAGTGAAGACAGCCCAGCCTATTGGTTGTCATGCAGCCAGATTATGATGCTATTTTCATCCACTGGGATTTGGAAATAACCATCCTCTCCAGGAAACCTGTGTTTACAACCCCGAATGGTCTCCTTTCCTACTCCTATCTTAAAATGTGGTCTCCCAGGAAGCACGGGTCTTCTGTGTCTAAATGTGTATGTTGATAGAAGCATACATATTTATACATGATTCACTGATGCCAAAGAGTCTCTTGTTCTTTTTCAACATCTAGGTTCCTGTGAACAATTGAACGAACTTGAAGCTAGGCTCTTGATGTGAAAGGCAAACATTATTTTGGAAAATGGAATTTGGTGTTGATTCACAGTTCAACACAGAGTTAAGCAAAGAGATTGGCCTAGACCAAGAAAAATTGGAGCAGGTTGGAAGGAGAGGGATAATTCAGGACATCAGAAAATTAACATTGGTAGCTTCAAATATCACCTGTGTGGCTTGACACGGTCCCAAAAACTTCTTCTTCCAAGTAATATAATAGGGCAGTCTTTTCCCTGAAAGTTAAGATTTCTATTGCTTCCAGCTCACTTGAGGGCAAATACCTTTATAAAGCTTAGCTGGTGGGGAAAGAGGTTTTGCACGTAAGCACCAATTTGAGGCATATTTTCTCTGATTTGCCAGAAACACTGAAAGAAGTCAAGAAGGGGAGAGTTGAATATAGAGTTGGAAACTTTGTTGGAGATAAATATTTGGAAATGTGTCAATTCTACACTGTTGTTTTATAAACTTTTTATCTTGTCTTAGCTGAAATCTTGTGTGGAAATGTAATAAAAATAAATATAGAAAAACGGAGCTGTTATGGTTGAAGGGGAAGTAGTTGTACAGAGCCAACTTGACCTGCCACCCACACATCCCCAGGGGAACATTGAGGCACCTCAGAACTCTAAGAAACACAGTGTAAAACCAGTGAACTAGGAGATTTCTAGAATTTCTTTGTTTGGAATAGGGTGTTTGTTCTCCAGCCATTGCTGGGGGGCACCAGGAAGAAAGGATTCGATTCTAAACTCTTTGATGTGAAGCATCCAATTTCATTAATCTCCATGCTGTTGTTGACAAGCACGAGATCCAGGTCTTGCCAGGGGCTGATTAATAGTTGTCGAATAAATGAATTCATCTTTAAAGCTATGTATTTGAGTGACCAAAGGTATCTAGAACCAAGGGAACACAGGAAAGTGAGTATATTAAGAAGAAAGAATGTGGGTTTGATGTTGCCTTGATGTCCTCATGATTTCCTTCCTACTTGATCCTAACGAAGAATGAAACACATGACATAAATGCACCTTCCAGCTCAACACAACTTTACATTGACAAATTATCAGGTCTAGTTCCTATGGTGCCCTAGAAGTCAGGCTTAAAGAATCCATCACACTATGATTCTCCAATTTTAGAATGCATAAGAATCACTAGGAGAAACTGCAAAAACAAAAACAAAACCAAAACAGCACACACACAGTAACATTCATGGTCTATAATTCCAGAGATTCTGATGTAGTGGGTCTGAGGTAAGGACAAAGAGTTCTTATGTAAATGGTTCACGGGCCACAATTCAAGAAACCTTGACTGCACTCAATGAAACATGCAGGAGATGAAAAGTAACTGCTTGTTCTTTGAGGTGACAACTGTATTTCCAGATTGTGTGAATTCTCAGCAAACCAAAAACCCCAACATTAATCGTGAAGGCAGCCCTAGAAGTATCCCCATTCCCCAAGAGTTTCTCAGAATGGTAGCTTCCACCTTGCAGGTTCCCAGCTCACATGATGTGGTAGGGCTTGCAAGGATGGAGTCCTGGGAAGATGACTCCAATTGTAGCTGAAGCCTAGAGTTGACACATTTCTTTCCAAAGCTTGGAACAGCCTCCAAAAATATCAGGTAGTAGTCAGAATGAAGCCAAAATAATGTGGAAAGAGTATCAGAGCAATTTTCTCTGTAACCACATTCTTACAGAGAAAGCCATTCTTACAGAGAGTATATTCAAATCCATGAGTAGGACAGAATGGCAAAATGAAATTCCTTTGTGATTACAGTATTTTCTGGTTTCTAAATATTATGACTGTAAAGGCATACATGGTAAAAAACAACCTACATTTGTATACAGTGTGTTAACAAAGGACTATTTAAATCAGTCTACAAAGAAGCCTTGAGAAGGGAGGTAAAGGCAGATTTGACTTTAGATTATCAAGTATATTTTTAAACAAAGAAATCTCATTTTAAATGATTTTGGTTTTATAGTCAGTTCCAATGTCAAAAAGTTTTTTAATACTTTGGAAAATGGTTAAAATACTATATAGCAGACAAAATCCTCTGAAGGTACTTTCAAGAGAAAGAGAGAGAGAGAGATCTCTCCCAGAATATTCTGAGCAACAGTGGCATCAGTATACGAGGTGTAAATTAGTCCCTTGAATTAGTCTTTGAAATGGATCAGTTATGGTATGCTTGTTTGAACAAAATAGGGAATAATCAGCTTGTTAGCCAAAATATTTGTAGATTATTGCTGAAGTCTACCATCTCATCTATCCCTCAATACTGTCAGTTTGTACTCAGAGATAGCTGCATGTGAAACTGGCACATAGGTTGTAGCAGGTTGCAGCAGTACTCTTCGCAGGCAGTGGGGGTGTGAGTGTGTGCACACTCTGATGAGGCCTGAGTGATTTTTGCCCTTTTGGAAATGCTGACTAGACTGTCATCCTGCAGCTGAGTATGAGCCTCCTGATATGATGAAAAGCAACTAACGAATAGGCTGATAGATCCATGGGAACTGGAAAATGGCAGGGAAGAGTCACAGGACAAGTTCTTTCTAAACAATTCTTGGTGTTTGTATGAAATTTGGCGTTTACCGACACCTGTCTTCCAATTCTTATAATAAATATGCTACAGATGAACAGCACATTGAACAAATCATTACGTTAAGGAGTCACTAGGAAATCAATAATTTTTCTCATCAAAGAATTGCATTATGTACTTTGCCCATTAAAATTACATTCAAATGCTTACAACATTTGTAGATACTTAAAAAAAGTAGAGAGTTGTAATATAGTCTAAAAAATATACACCAAAATTTTAAAAGAGGTAGTCTCTGGATAATAAAGTTATAATGGTTTCTTTATATGTTCTTTCCTTATATTTTCAATTTTTCAAAAAACACAAGCATATATTACTTATATATTAAAGGAAATATAAATGTTGCATAAAAACAATTTAATAATAACTGCTAATAATTGTCAACTTTATCTGCATCAAGCTCTGTGCTCAGTACTCTACACATTGTCTATTTTTAACCCCCTCCAAAGACCCTTTGAGAGTAGAACTTGGTCTGTCCACAAGGTTAATTGTCCTTAACCAATTAAGGAACAGGTTTATCTAGGTTCAGTGACTTACCTAAGTTTGAATATGTGAAATATATGGCAAAGCTGAGATTTAAAATGTGAGACAAAGCAGCAAACCTATGTTTGCTCACTTCTGCTCTCCAGCATAATTTCACACAGCCCCTGACTCTATGAGCAGCTCTATGGAAGAATGCTCTGAAGACAAAGCAGGATAGAGCACCTGGCCCCTCATGTCTCTTTCCCAAGTCACTACATCCTTAAAAGATATATAATCCTAGTCCTTGCCTTTTCCTACTCATAAGATAATGTCTGACAGAGTTAGTGACTATGCCTCTGTAATCTATAACCAGATGTACTCTTGCACCTAAACTTTAGGTGATTCTGCTTTAATGTAACTTCTGAACAAATTTGATGTAACTTCTGAACACATACTGAACTTCCACTACCTTTGTGTAAGCTGTGAGCTGGAATACTGTGTCAGAGCCGTCTGACAGAACCTCTCTGATGGGCGCTTCCAGGGCTGTAGTTCTCAACTGATAGCCCTCAAGGCTTCTGAAAACAAGCTTTAATGAATAAACACATTAATTAATTAATTAATTAATTAATAAAACATATGTTAATTTTTTAAAACATTGCTATTTTCTTTAGTCAACAGAATTCAGGTTTCTTGTGACCCTAGGGCTTTTGTCCTTGATTCTATTAATAGAATCAGAACACTTCTTCAACTCTTATTGTTGTCAAATCCTAATACCCTTTATGGGATATCTCTAAAATATCTCTCCAACATGGCAAATTCTGAATTATTTCAAGCATCAGATATTTCCTTCACATTTTACCATCTTACTCCTCTTTTTTTAAACCTAGAATATCAGGAAATTAATCTTTTGAGCAAATGACAAGAAAAATGATTCTCAGGTTCATTCTCATTTGTCAGGACTTTTTAGATAGCCTAAGAGCCTGGCTGAGAATTAATGAATGTCAGAAAATTAGGTATTTTCACAAATTTTTTATTTTGATTTTTCTTGTGAATTACGTCTCCCTTTCTAAAAGGACAGAACTCACATACTTTTGATTGAATAACAGTTCTTTGGACAAGTTCTGTTTAATGGAAGACTTATTATGTTCCCTATGGGAGAGAAGTCAATGAGATATTTATACACAAAGGTGATATTAAAAATATCTAACATCAAACACAGCACAGGTACTAAGCAATCAGAATGGTGGTCTTCCGCATTTTAGAGGCCGCTCCTAGACCTTCAGCTGATAGACAATGGAGAGTTCTAGGAGGGTGCGTGGCTAGAGGCAGAGGACAGGGCAGCCAAGGCAATGGGAAGACACTCATCGTGGGTAGGACTAGTAGTTACTTACTAAGGAGTGTGGAAGTACATTTGATTCTTGTTATTCATAATGGTATGTTCTATAAAGTTGCTATAAGCACTGAATTAGTAAATCCTGAACCATTGCTCCTAGGGGAAATATAGGGTTGGGTTCCTGAGAGCTTCTGATCACAAGATTTTTTGTCAACTGACCAATAGATAACCTTGTTTTATGTGTGTTTCTGTTTAAAACCACCTTATTTAAGACATATTATTGATTCATTAACATTAAACATGGCCAATAGCACTATAACTCATGTCTGAAGTAAGCTTTTCTAATACATGTATTTTCTCCATAAGGCACAGCATAGCCTCCTTTTATTTAGGATCACTAGAAAGCACTTTGGCATTATGCTTGGGGCGATTTTAAACAGCAAAATCACCAACAAAAACACAAAAGTGTGAAAAACGTGGCACTAAATAGACCATAGCAAGGACATGTGTTTACAGAAAGAGAGCTAATGCAAGAAGATAGAACATTGCCTTGTTTGACCTCAGCTGGGAATGTGCCCAATGGGTGACTCAAATATTTTGCTGCTCTGAGCATGTCCACAAATGACAATGAAAGTGCCATGATTATTGATTTTTGAGGTTACATATACATTTTAGCAAGTAGGAATCTGTGAAGAATGAGGATGACTGATTTCAATATTTTAAAATCCAATAAAGCCATACTTGTGTACGGAGCTAAAGATCAGCAATGGCATAGGATTCCATGGCCTTGGACAGCTTAGCTGTGCTCTGTGAAGCTGACCTTCTCCCTCGGACCTTAGACCACCATCTATGCCTCCAGTCTGGCAAATTACTCCTTCCTTTTCCCCATTTAAACTCATCTTAAAAGCCTGTCAAAAATTAAACTTCCTCCATAAGGTCACCCTTGATAATTTTATATTAACCCCCTAACTCCCATCATAAATACCACTCTAATGATATCTTGCTTCTCAGCAATGGAACTCCTTCTTCTACACCTACTCAAGGGTTACAGTAGAGTTAATTTTTGGGGACTGTGGCCTCTCATTTCATGTCTCCCTTACCCCCACCAAAATGCTCCCTTCTTCCACAGAGTTCAGTAAAATAAATTTTTAGGCAGCCATAAAATGCAAAAGCTTTTATGGGCTGCTGGGTTAAAACTTACATTCATAGATTAAAGCTTCATTGAGTTCATTTAGCCTAAAACTTTAACCCATAAATCTCTTTCTTTTCTTTTTCTTTCTTGCTTTCTTTCTTTTTTTTTTTGAGATGGAGTTTCCCTCTTGTTGCCCAGGCTGGAGTGCAATGGTGCAATCTCAGCTCACTGCAACCTCCACCTCCTGGGTTCAAGTGATTATCCTGCCTCAGCCTCCCAAGTAGCTGGGATTACAGGCATGAGCCGCCATGCCCGGCTAATTTTGGATTTTTAATAGAGACGGGGTTTCTCTATGTTGGTCAGGCTGGTCTCGAACTCTCAACCTCAGGTGATCCGCCTGCCTCGGTATCCCAAAGTGCTGGGATTACAGGCGTAAGCCACCACACCCGGTCCCATAAATCTCTTTCTTAACAGATCTAATTGAATTCTACTGCAGACTTCACAGTTCCTTAAGCTCTGAATTTTGATTTGGGTGCTTACATTGACATCTCTAATCCAGTTCAAAACCACTTTTCTCTCCAACTTGGCTGTAAACCTCATTGTGGGGGAAGGACCATGTGTGCCATGTTTACCATGGAATCTCCAGTGACCTGTACAAAATAAATGAATATAGTCACTTAAACTTCAGTGTACAGATTCTATTCTCAGGTTGTTCTGAACCTGGTTAAGCAAATCTGAGTCTGCCTTCCTTGACACAAAGTGGTTACTTGTCACACATTCTGAGTCTTCTCAACACAACCCGCTTTGAGATTTTTATTACTCCCTGCCCGCCCCTTGTCATAGCACTTAATACACAATGTTTTGTGTTATTGTGATTTGTGTTCACTTAGCATCTCCTCTTCAGCACTATTAACACCTCAAAGGCAGGAATTGTGTTTCAGTGGCCTTCCACTCTCACGATAGTCCTCAATGCCTAGCATGTATGTAGGTATATTTTCACTAATTTATTAATTCATTCACCAAATGCGCACCTACCATGGGCCAGACACTGTTCTAAACACTAGAATATAGTTGTGAGTTAAAAAACATTCCAGCCTTCCTAGAACTTACATCATAGTGGGGGAGACAGGCAATAACCAAGATGAATGTGTACATTTCACACTATGTTACAGACTACCTAGTGCTAAGGGGAGTAAATAGCAAGGGAGGAGTAGAGGAGAGTTTGGCCAAGGTGGTGGGGTTGTCATGCAATTTCATGTAAGGAGCGAGGGAGGGAAAGCTTCCCCAAGGAGGTAACATTTAAATAATACCTAAAGGAAATGAGGGAAACATGAAATTAACAGGAGGGAATCCTAGGTAGAGGGATCCCAAGGGTAATAGTTTCTGAGGTGAACACATGCTCAGTGCCGTGAGGAACAGAAAGGCTGAAGTGTATAGTAGGGGTGTATAGAAGAAGAGTTCAGAGAGGCCAGATCATGTAGATCCTTGTAGATATTATGAGGACTTTAAGGTTCATCCTTCCATGAAAAGCCACGGAAGGATTTGTGCAAAGTCATGTCATATTCTGACTCTTTAACATGCTCACTCTGGCTGCTGGGTGGAGAATAGACTATAGCAGCAAGTTTGGAATTAAGTAGAGAGTTGGGAGATGGCTTGCACCAGGGTATAGCTGTGAAGCTGGTGAGAAATGCTGGGATTCTAGATAAAATTTGAAGGTAGAGAAAACAGAATTACAGAGTAGACTGAATGTTAGGTATGAGGGAAATTGACGGGTTTGTCATGAGAAGGTAGAAGAATGGGATTTTTGGATTACTAAGATGGGAACATCTACTGAAGGAACAGAATTTGGGATAGGTGAAGATGTAGAAGCTCAGCTTTTGATATATTAGGTTTAAGATGTCTGTAGAAATCTAGATGGAGATTTCATTTAGGCAGATGAATACATATATCTAGGGATCAAGGGAGAAGTGTGGACACAGAAATACACATTTGAGAATAATTAGCATACAGAAAGTATTAGAATCTGTGAAACTCAATGTGATTCACAAAGGAAAGAGCATGAATAGAAAAGAGAAGACTTCATTTTAATATTTACTGTGAAGAATGAACAAAAGAAACTGAAAAGGAATAGATGGAGAGGTGGGAAGAAAACCAGGCATGAGTGGTATCTTCAAAGCCAAGTGAAGAGAAAGTTGCCAGAAGGAGTAGGGGAGCTGCCAGCCAAATGCTACTGATAGTTTGAGAAGGAAGGCAACTGAGCACTGACTGCTGGATTTCATGATATTGAGACTCTGGTGATCAGCAAGAGCCATTTTGGCTGAGTGGTCAGAGTGAAATTCTGATTGGAGTGAGTCCAAAATATAATACGAGGAGATAAATTACAGATAAGTTTCACAGATTTTTTTCCTATAAAAGGAGAGAAATGAGAAAAGTGAAGTGACAATTTTTAAAAAGGTAGGTAAATTAACAGCAGATGGCATGGTTATGGGCATTGTTGGTGGAGGAAAGTGGAGAGTTGTCAGAGCTATATCTGTGAGGAAATGGGACGAGGTGGGACCCAGTGCACTAATGGATGTGCTGGCCTTTGCTAGAAGCATGGGAAATTCTTCCCACAATGATGGGGAGAAGGAAGCAGTATGAGCATCTGTGCAGATAGGTGGGTAGAGGTGGTAGTGGGTACTTGTGGAAGTTTATGATTGCTCCTATTTTCTCAGTGAAATAGCAATCAAAATTACTAGCTGAAGGAGAACATAAGGGAAAAGGGACTGGGAGTTCAAGGAAAAAGGAGAGGGAATAAAATAATCATCTAAGAGAGTGGGAAAATGAATGAACTACGGGAAAAAAAGAGTGTGAGTGCCAAGCAACATTACAGTCCCACCTAGAGTGAGTGGCCATGAGTTTAAAGCATAGTCAGTCAGCATGATTGTGTTTTTTCTCCATTTCAAGCAGTTGTGTGGGGGCAGGTACAAAACAGGTGGAGAGCTGGATTTAACAAGGCTTAGGGTTTTGCCAAGCAGCTATATCAAACAACAGAGGTAATAAAGATGGGGGGAAAGATTAGAACAACTAACCATGACATTTAACCTTGGGAAGGAGGAAAGTGAGAATACAACTGGTGAGGCTACTGAAAAGTGAGAAGAATCTATGAGTTATAGGTTCTGGTGGGGATGAGAAGATTGATGAAGCTGGAATATTAGGGAAAATGAGGTGCAAAGACAGGTAGTGGGGTGGTCAAAAATGGCAGGGATAAAATAATATTCTGGTTGGAAAGCAGTTATTGATAATGACAATATCTTGGCTACGACTATGAGAGTGAGTGACTTAGATTGATCTTGTGGTGGACAAGATCATTGGAGCACAGGAAGTAATAAAATTCAAAGATCAGGGAATTGGAAAGATCTTTTTTTGGCGAATATTAAAATCATCAAGAATTTTGGAGAGAATGACAGTAGGCCAGGAGCTAAAATCTTCAAGGAATGACAGGAAGTAACTCAGGCATCTTTAGAAGACTGAAACAAGGATGGATGGAGAATGTTACAATTTGATGCCATGAGAATCAAAGCTAGGTGATTTTAGGGAGGAGGAAGGGAAAATGGTTGGAAGAAGCATTAAAGAGCAGGAAAGACACCTACTTACTCATCTTCAGATCCAGTATACAGTATGGGTGAGAGAGGATGGTATTTAAGAGGCCTATGGGGGAAGTAGTATCCTCAGTGGGGAGCCAGGTTTCAGGTAGGACATGGAGTTGAAAGGAATCCTCACAAAAATGTTGCAGATAGGGGAGATTTTGCTGATCTGTCTTGGACAATGAGCCTGGGAGCTGATTTTCATTTTGGTTACAGGAGATGGAGGGAGGTAGGAGATGGGATCAGAATAGGCAGTGGGGATTAGAGCACAGCATTTTTAAGGCATGAGTAACTTGCTTCTTTTTGGATTATCCCTAAAGTTCTCCATCTTGCAACATACCATTTGGTCCTGTTTTGATCAAAGTCTCCTGCTGCCTATTCAGCACACAAAGCTAGAATTTCAATCTCTACATTAATAAGGTAGTCATCAGAAAGAGCATGAGGGATTTGTGGCTGCAACACTCTTCCTCTACCCTGAATCTATGTTCTAAATTTCCCCTCTGTGGGACGAGACTTCTGCCTTCTGAGGTGATAAGATACTCACTCAATTCAAATATTAATATGTATTGACTACCACCAAGTGTCAGGCACTCAGCTAGACACCGTGTGGAATGCACACCAGCCAAGGACACTTATATTTCATACTTAAATGATAAGTTTTCTAGAAAATTATCCATTTTTTATTTTCTTAGAATTCCACTAATTTTGGCCAGAGTTGCAAATTTACTTGCACAAAATTTAGCAAAATAGTCTCTTATGATTGCTTTAATTTATTGTTTCTGAGTTTATTTTCTCTTATTTTATATTCTGTCTATTAAATATGAAATTTGTCTATTAAACATTCCCCTTTTCCCCATGCCCATACTTTTTGTAGAGTAGATTTGTTGGTGGTTTATTTTATTTATTTTTCTATTTTCCTAAAATAACTAGCTTATATATTTATTATTTCTATCTTTTTTTGGTTTTCTAATTTATAGATTTCTGGATTTATCTTTATTAATTCCTCCTGCTTTCCTTTGATTTATTATGTTGTTTTTTTTCTAAATTTTTATGGTAGAGACTTTATTTGATTTGATTTTTTGCTATTTTTGTGTTTTTGGAAATTTGGGGGTTTTGGCAAGAGTCAGTTTTGTGACTATCCTAAGGACTCTTGAAAATAAAGAATGTTCTCTAATTTTAGAGTGTAAGTACGTACAATCAACATTATTGGTTGTTATTTAGATCTTGTATATGTTGTCTTACTTTTTATCCACTTATTTTTCATGTACTGAAAGAGATGAATTA
Source organism: Homo sapiens (assembly GCF_000001405.40). Classification (NCBI taxonomy): domain Eukaryota; kingdom Metazoa; phylum Chordata; class Mammalia; order Primates; family Hominidae; genus Homo; species Homo sapiens. Next base: position 89,175,034 of record NC_000010.11, on the reverse strand, counting down.
ATGTTTCTCACATCTATCAAATTCCTATTTCTTATCATATTTCCTATATCTTTGATTTATGAATATTCTTATGATATTATTTTACTTACAGATATTTGTAATTATTATATATTAATTATGAATTATACTTTTTAGCATTATAAAGTATTCTTTTAGTGTCTCCTTTAGTATTTTTCAACCTGAATTCCACCAGGTTTGATATTAAAATAATGACCTCTACTTTCTTTTCATTTACATTTCCTTGGTATTACTTTGTTCATATATTTATTTTCAGTCTTTCTAATTAGCTTTGTTTTAGGTGTGACTTCTATTTAGCTTAGAGTTGTGTTTTGTGTTCCACTCCAAAATCCTTTTCTTTTAATTGATGTGTTAAAAAATTTAGATTTATTGTTTTACAAGTATATTTGATCTTAATCTTGCCATATTACTTTACATTATGCTTTCTGTTTTTATGATTTCTTTTAAAATTGTTGACTATTTTGTCCTTTTTTGTTTTTAGTTCTTTTGATAGTTAAAAAAAGTTGAATTTTTGTTTAGTGATTAGCCATATACATAGCAACTTTAGAGCTCTCTTTCCTTAGACATTATATATTAGTTCCCATCACATCATTTTAGTCAAAATTATTTTTCTTGGTGTTTTTGTTCATAATGTTAATATGTTACCACATTTATGATTGATTTTGTCAGCTTTAAATATCTCTGACTCCCAAGTTTTGCAGATGAGGCAATCAGCAAATTTACTTATGTGTTCCCTTCTTTCCAATCCATTTCTAATTTTTTGTAGTTTGCTCATTTCTACATTGTCAGAGTCTAGAAAATTTATATTCCATTAATGTCAGGGTCTAGAAAACTTACATTGCACCTACTACATTTGTTTTATTTTTAGTTCTATAGTAAAATATATTCATTATCACTAATCTTTTTTCCTATAGTTTACTCAGTCATCCCTTGTTTGGATAAAATTTATCCTCCTGTGGTTTTCTCAAGAAAGACTCACTAGAAAAGTGTTCCCTGAGGTCTCCCACATTAAAATAGATTGGTCTGCAGACTTTATACTTGGAAGGAAAGTTTGAATGGATATAAAATCCTTGGTTCACATTTTCTCAAACACCTTGTGGTTTTGGTCTACTTTTTTTTTTTTTGGAATTGCAGGTAGCTATGGACAAATCTGAGGTCAACCTGATTTTCCGCCACTTAGTAATTTGGTTTTCCTGCCTGGCTGTCCAAATGAATTTTCTTTTTAATCTTTGAAGTGCATAACTTAATTAGGATATGTCTTTATGTCTAAATACATTCTAGGTCATTTTTATAGGATACATTGTACTCTTCCATTATGAAGATTCATTACTTCTTTTATTTCAGCAACTTAAAAAAATATAAATTTTATAATCTATCTTTGTTTGGAAATGTTTCACACTTTCATTCTTTCTGTCTTCTTTGGATTTTTTTTTTTTTTCCTATTTCTGTATAGGTTTATCCCTCAACTTTTGTTGAAAACAAAAGATACAGCTTTTGCCTTTCAAAATGGGCTCTTCTCTTTCAGAAAGTTTATTTGCTGGCACATTCTAAGATCTGCCATTACTAGCTCTCTTATAATTCTTTATGCTTCCTCTTGATTGGCTTCTTCCCAATCTTACCACATTTTGATATTCTATCCATTGTGGAGTTTTTTTTACATCTCTTTCCCAGCTTTACTGAAACTATACTTTTGTTGTAGTCACTGTTCTCCTCCTCTTCCTTCTCCTCCTCTTTGTTTTCCCCTTCCTCTGCATGATATCAAGAGTGAAAAAAAAATGCTGACTCATAAAACCATTTTTATGTGGCAAGGTTGTGTTAATTTAAAAATAAATTATGTATGTACAGTTATCTTTTAAAAATGCCAACTATGGTTTTACTTTTCATATTTTAATCTTCTAGAGACACTTGTTAATAATTGTGTCTCTTATACTGTGGCCTCTAACATCACAAGTTTCTCTTTTCTTTGCTCTTCTAAATCCCCTTTCCTCTCCTTTCCTCTGTCTGCAAATACCACAGTAGAAACACTACGTGGCTACCATTGTTGTTTGGCCCCTAACAGTCATTCATTCCTTGAATCCCTTTTGTGTATCGTATACTTCTTGCTAAGAAGTCAAAAAAATCTAAATGCTTCTCTTTCTGTCTCTCAGCAGATGCAAATTATTTTTATAATGAGCTGACCATGCCAGTAGATGGGAACTCACTGATCTTTCCACAGTTGTTTCAATTTAAATAAAAATCTGAAGAAAATATGTAACCCATATATGATTTCAATTTGCTTTACTCTTTTGATCCTTGTTTTTTTGGCAAATACTGAGCATTCTCCCTCTTCTTGTATACTAATTATGTGCCACAAGGGAATATGAATCATCAAAATATCCCTGAGGACAAATTGCAATGTAGGAGTGAATGATGTTACACACACACACACACACACACACACACACACACACTGCACCCTGCCTCTACCTTTTAACTTCCAGAGACTACCCTGTACTCAAATGGGCACCTTCTTCCTAATGCAGCCATTAGCTGCATTTCATCAGCATGAGGATAATGGGGAAGACTCAGATATTAGAAACAGAATCTTGACTTTGCCATGTACAAGATGTGTGACCCTATTCGAGTTTACTTGACCTCTCTGAGCATCAATAATACTGAATTCCTAGGGTGGATCTGACCATTAAAGAGACAATGTCTTTAAGCAGTCTGGCACTTAAGTACTACACAAAGGTTTGTTTCACATAGAGTATATAGTAAGCTGGCAGTGGATGGGAATAGAATAGTGAAAAGATAGTCTACAGACAAATCGGGTGTCCTGCATTCTGTAGTACTGACTCAGATATCTGGTAGGCGTGCTCCCTTGTGCTCTGGTGATCCTTCTGAGAACATGGAAGGATCATGGCTGCCTCTTTGTCTGTGCCCCAGAATAAACACACATGGAAGAGATTTGAACCAAATGATAGCTTGAAGCCAAGCCTAGTCGAAGTATAGCCTGAAGCAGAGCTGCTCAGCCAAGCCCGTTCAAAATTAGCCCATGTATAGATGACCTGCAGATTAATGTGCTTGAGAATAAGTGTTTGTTGTTTTAAACCCCTAAGTTTTGGGGTGGTTTGTAACTCAGAAATCTTAAAGGAAACCTTCTCTGAATTAAATGGCATCCACAAAGGACATAACCCTTGGCATAAAGGAGAGTCAGAACTAAACTTCCTCTCCCACCTCAATTTTAGGAGACTTTAGAGAAAGCTCTTGTGGTAGTGGCAGAAAACAAAGACAAAGAGCAGGAAAGACATCCCCGGGAATTTGTGGTTGCAGACTGGCTTTCATATGGATCTGCATCTTGGGTTCATACAACCCATACCTGCCGGGGGACATTGAGCAATGAACTTGACTTGAGGTTTTCACCAGCTGCAAACACCAGAGCTGTCTGCCAGAAGCAAAGGTAAGGGCTTTCTGAAAGAGGATATACTCAATGTTAGGCCTCAGGGATCATTCACAAATAACTTTTTTTTCAAGAGCAATGACTAGCATGCAGGCAAATTTAACAGGTATACAAAGAGACAAGGCTACATGGCTGCTAAGCAACTGAAACAACAGAAATAGGAAAAAGACTCTTACTGACTTCAGGCATTGGAATTTTAGAGGCAGACTGAAAAAAAACACACTTACTAGGTTTAAATAATTCACTGGGTTTGGAAATATCTGCAAAGAACAGGCCACTAGAAAAACCAAGGAGCAAATTTGGAAAAAGTATAGATATGGTAAAAAAAAGAACTAAAATTGAAACTTAGGATATGGCACAGATTGGACATTACAGAATAGAGAATTAGCAAATTAGAAGATAAGAAGAAGAAATTATCTGGATTATGGTACAAAGAGACAAAATGTTGAAAAATATAGGAAAGAGTAAGAATATGGAAAATACTTTAAGAATTACTAATAAATACAGTACAGAACATGTACAGAAGGATTAACACGTTTGATTAGTGAAAAAATAAAGGAAAGGCAAATTTTCAAGAGATAACTAAAAACTTTCCAGAGCTGTTGGTACCCAACCATTCATAAGCTTATGCAAGCAAGATAAATGTTTAAAAATCTACATTTAGACATCATACATGTAGAGAAATACAAAAGCCAGGAGAAGGTTTTGAAAGCAACCAGAGAAAAGACATCTTACTTTCAAAGCAATGACAATTAGAATGATTACTCACTCAATGAAAAGAACAGTGGAAGGTAGAAACCAGTGGTATGGTATCTTTAATGTGTTCATTAAGAAAAACTACCAACCTAGAATTTTTAACTCAGTTAAAATATCTTTAAAAAATGAAGATAAAAGTAAAGGAATTTTCAGAAAAATTATGTGAGAAATTTAGTAATCAATAGATTACTGAGTTTCCAGGTTTCTGGTTTGCCTTACATACTTAGGACTTGCCAATGTCCACAACTGCATGAGCCAATTCCTTAAAATAAATCTCTGTAAAGACATACTTTCTTCTTGGTTCTGATTCTCTGGAGAACCCTGAAAAATATAGAGGTCATACCACATCTTTTCCTGACAGTGACAACGGGTTTTAAATGAAAGTCATTCAGATAAGTTCTCAGGTATTGATTTACCAGGGATGAGAAGAAGCAGATGGTAGCTGATGCTTCATTAGACTTGCCTCATGAAACAAAGGCACAGTATAACAGCTTCCTTTAGAGGAGAACTCAAAACCAAATTCATCCAAGATACGTTGACACTTAGAAGAGTAGCAGTGAGGTACTAAAATGCTTTTTCCCAGGTTTTTTTTTTTTTTTTTTTTTTGCCATAGCTCAGTACATACCCCTTGAAACATAGCTAGTATCCCTCGATGCCCTGCAAATCTTCAAGCATATTCATTAATTCCTATATTAATTTATTCATTCATGAACTACTTATTGAATACGGCAGGGACTCTTTGTCCTGTTACTACTATATTACCAGCATATACCACAGTGCCTGGGATATGGAAAACATTCAAATATTTGTTAGATGAATGATGTATAAATTGCCTATTTGTGTGTCAATTGCATAAATAAGTAAACCATAACATCTGCAGAGGGTTTTCAGCTTCCTAGTTTGCTCTACGCCAACTCCTGGCCGAAGTATTTACAATAACCTGCCTTATTTATTGCTCCCACATTAGAAACCTTTTAAGTGCAAGGCACTTGGCTCCTATCTGCAGACTAATTCTGACTCTGCGTTTGGGACGGGTGATGTTCTGGAAGGCAACACTTGAGAAGCTTTTACTCTGCTGTTTTGGGTAATCAGAAGGCATCACTCATTCCTGGGCATGCTCTGACTGTAGACTTCTGTGCCTGTGCTAGGCGCTTGCATTTCCCTTGTTTAGGGCATGCTCCCACTTTTTAGTCCAGATCATTAATGCTATGGTAGATCCTTCTACTCCAAAAGGGCAGTGTGGTGCAATGTCACAGTCATGGGCTTTGAACTGCCTTGCACCTGGGTTCAAATTTTAGTACTACCTTTTATTAGCTTGAGCCCTTTCTCCCTCATCTGAAGAAATAAACATGATAATGCCCCTCTTGTACAGTTGTTTTAAGTATTAAGTGATGATATAAGCTCTACCACTGAAAAGCACAGAAGGGTCACCCGATAAATGTTAATTTCTTCTCCTACATTCTGGGATTTAAGCCTATCTTGATTTTCCTTGTGCTTCCAGTGGATGCCATGATTTGGGCAAGCCAATTTACCTCTGTGGGCGAACATTTCCCCACCTATCCAATAAATGGTTGAAACCAGATCTTATTTTCCAAACTATATTTTGTGAAACAACAGATGTTTTTTGAACAATTTATGACAAACAGTTTTTGAGTGCTAAATTTGTTTCAGGCACTTCTGTGTGCTGAGGATACAGTGGTGAACAAAGAAGAAAAGAGTCATGTTTACCTGGAGTTTTTACTTAACATGCAGAAAATTAGGCATCACTGAAATATGACAGAGTGGACCAATGGCTAGTTTAAATTTGGTACTCAGGAAAGTTTCTCTGAAAAGGTGCCATTTAGCCTGAGATTCTAATAACAAGAAAGAGGCAGTCATGTGATGATTAGAGGGAAGATAATCTGAGGCAGAGGGAACTGCTCATTCAGAAATCCTCATGTCACATGTTGATGTGATTGAAGGAAGACCAATGCAAGTCAAGCATAGAGATTGAGGAAAGAGCGTTTGATGTGCCTTTGTGCAATGTGAATCTTCAAGGAGATAATTTGGTTTACAACACTTTTCCAAGTTTATTGGACAAAGAATTGTTTTTGCATAGTTAATATCTCTTGTCAAATAATATTGCAACACCAGCTTCTGATTTATTTCTGTTTTTGTTTTTGTTTCATTGAGACGCAGTCTTGCTCTGTGGCTCAGGCTGGAGTGCAGTGGTGCAATCTCGGTTCACTGCAACCTTTGCCTCCCGGGTTCAAGCGAATCTCCTGCCTCAGCCTCCTGAGTAGCTGGGATTACAGGTGCACGCCACCATGCCCGGCTAATATTTGTATTTTTAGCAGAGACGGGGTTTCGTCATGTTGGCCAGGCTGGTCTCAAACTCCTGACTTTGGGTGATCTGCCCACCTTGGCCTCCTAAAGTGCTGGGACTATAGGCATGAGCCAGCATGCCTGGCCTATTTCTGCTTTTAGACTTTCCTATCCAGCTGCAGTTCTGGCCAAACATCTCTTTGAAGAGAAGTCATGTGATGCCAGGCATTGAACAAATTTTGTGTCTCTCTATGGAAAGGTGCTAGCCCCAGTTGTGGTAGCTGAGTGTTCTGGTTTTGGTCCAATCAGAAATCATTACAGGTTTCTTTCACAAATGCAATGACAAGGCATTTCTTTCTTCAGCATGACAGCAGCCTGCTAGAGATTTCTTTCCAAGTAGAGATTAGTTCAAGGGATGGGCTGGGCAAAGGCTGTGAGTTGGGAGAGGTTTACTTGAATGTCTGCTGTGGTAATCCACCCTCCCTCTCTCAGTGCCATGCCTTTGCCCAGACTCATTCTCACAGCAAATTGTCTAACAGAGAAATGGGCTTATTCCTTTATACATTTTAATTCTTATTCTCATTTGTGAAAGGAAAATGGTTACTTCAAATTGGAAAGTCAATTAGGTACATACTATTTCTAGATAAAGAAATCCTCAGCAAAAGCTACAGTGCCACAGAATGATGGAGCTAGGCTGTAAGCCAGGACTTTGAATTACAAAGTTTATTTTTCTTTGCATGGTAAGATGCTACTTTCTTGAAATTAAGAATTGTCTTCCCAATCAGATCCATTGTGTGGCCCTAGTCTGCAAACCCCTTTTAATGGTTCCACATTCTTCATCTATCCAATGCATACCCAGCAGTAATTTTCCATTATTTTCATTTTACTATTTTTATTACACAAAATAAAGGGAGAATGCTTACTTTCTTGGAGGGATTGTATCAGAATCCCAGGGAAAGCAAGCCCCTAGTGTTAATCCCTGGTGAATCCAGTTCATTGTCAATATTCAGTCCCTAATACTGGAATTAAAAGATGTTTAAGTAGAGTGCATGGCTACATTTCTTGAAAGCTCTGTGAGGCAGGAGAGTGAAATCTGGCTTCTTATGCCTGACTCTGGCGGGTCATCAGTGCCTGGGAAACCTTAACCAGATTTAACCACTTTTGGGGGTCTTGGTTATTGTGAGGATGTTGCCAAGGAGGTAACCGGCTGCTTGTGAAGAAATCTTACAGCACAAAACTGGATCACAAGCTCCATGAGAATAGGATCTTTGTCTTGTTCTTTATTCTCAGAACCTGGCATGATGCTGGATATACAGAGCTCAATATTTTTCAAATAAAAGTGGATTCAGCATTGTGTAGCATCCAGTACACAGTCCAGACTCTGGACTCAAACTGCAAACCCAGATTACCAGCTTTACTGGAAACTCCCATGAGTTAATTAGTTTATCAAAAAAAAATTAACAAGGAAGAACTTCCTTTATCCACGATGCCCAGTTCTTAGTATTTCAGCACCTAAGAAGCTGAAAGCTGGACTAGGTGCCAAGTGGTGGTACCTCCGCCATGTTGGTTCTAGTAAGCCATCTTCACCTCATCTTTGCTTCTCCAAACTGCATTTCTCTAAGTTCTCAACCTCATCCATTGCTACATTCTTGGTTTACTTGAATTATTATTCCTCATTAATCTAGATAATCATTCCCACTGAGGTAGTGATGTTTACGGATTTAGAATATTTTCTTCCTTTTCATCCTAAAAGTCCATTCTCAAGTGGCAACCCTAATTTCCCTTATTTCTTAGTTCTTGGAGAGAATGGGACTGTTGTACTCATGTAACTCCAAAATTGCCCTGAAGGAACTATCAATTTTTTCATTTTCAGCATTAATCAGAGATCTTTTCTTAAACAATTTACTTCTTGGCTCTGTCACAGTGGTACTCTTTGGTCATCATTGTTATGATGGTATTCAGACATTTTTTCCCAGGATTTTTGTTTTTTTGTTTTGTTTTTGAGACAGAGTCTTGTTCTGTCACTCAGGCTGGAGTGCAGTGGCATGATCTTGGGTCACTGCAGCCTCTGCCACCCGGGTTCAAGTGATTCTTGTGCCTCAGCCTCCCCAGTAGCTGAGATTACAGATGTGCACCACCATGCCTGGCTAATTTTGTATTTTTAGTAGAGACAGGGTTTTGCCATGTTGGCCAGGCTGGTATCAAACTCCTGACCTCAGGAGATAATCCCAGTCTTGGCCTCCCAAAGTGCTGGGATTATAGGAGTGAGCCACCATGCCCGGCCTTTTCCCAGGAGTAAGTGTAGTTTCTGAGTGTCTTACTTTCAGGCTTATAAGAAAGCATTAATCAGGAAAGATGAGACTCGTGTAGGAGGATAGGGCAGGTTGCTTTGTCCTGTGAGTCATCTTGACCATGTTGTGTTAGAACAGCCTGAAGATATTTCGGGAAAATGAAAAAGACCTCTCCATCTATTTGAGTCATGCAGGCATGAAATTCATTTTACTTTCTTCAGAAATTTAAACTCAAGCGAAGGTGCTAAATTTCATATAGTTACACTTGGCTGAGATTTCATGCTACATACAAATTAGTGTAAACCATATCAAAAACATAATGTTCAGTATCAATCAATCTAGGTATGATGTTTACATTTACACACTTGAGTTGTTGAACCCAGGTGTGGGAACTTACACTTTCATTTTGCATTCTGTGAACTTTAGTCAAGCCTGTTCCTCCGGCTGACTAAAATCTTTTTGGAACCTAATGCTGCCATCGTTCATAGTCCTAAACTTAGCTTTTTGTCTCATACATTTTGATATTCAGTCTCTTTCTAACTGCATTTAAGTTATTGGAGGGAAAACGTAAACAGGATAACACGGAGGACAGATCCCTGCAATAGATCTCCCAAAATCCACTACCACCTTTAGAGTTGCTATTCCCATCAGATTTTTCCTTTTGAATTCCAAATGCCTGTGCGCAGAAATAAGGACAACAAAACCTCTTTTCAACCAGGAGGAAGAAAGGAAACAAGTATTTGTTGAGCAACTGCTACATATCAGGAGCTTTTGGGCTAGATGCTTTATGGTAATTATATGCTATCTCATTTAATTTAATCTTCATTACAATGCGAAGAGAATGCTATTATTGTGATAGATTTATAGGTAGGTAAACTGAGGCTACAGAAAATGCAATAATTTTCCAAAGGCCATTTCATGATAATTGAAGGAGCTAGGATTCAAACCTAGGTCACCAGGTGCCATGTTGGTCCTTTATGTCTCTTTAGCTCACTCAGCTTCTTTCCTTCAAACTTCATTGTCCCTCAGACCCTTCTGAGAGGGTTATCTGCTCCCTGACTCAGCAGGAGAGAGCAGCGAGATAAGGTTCAGGTAGCGTACGTACACTCACTCCAGTAAGACATCCCTAGTGGCCATATCAGGACTCCACACAGCTGCTACCATTCCCACTGCAGGACTTTGCATACCATTACCTGGAAGTGCTTGGGATCCTCCAAGTACTTCTATTGCTTCGCATTTTTTTCCATTTGGAGGATAAGCCTTATGTCTGTCATGATATTCTGTGAGGCAGAGTTTATTCCTACTTCTTTTCTTTGAAGCTGTTTTTACTCCTCCTCCTCCTCCTCATTCATCTCTTATTCTCAGCCTCCTCATCATTCCTCCTCCTTCTCCTCTTTCCTCCTCTTCTCCATTCAACTCCTCTTCCCTTCCTCTTCTTCCTTACCATCCTCTTTCTTCATTTCTTTTCACCTTCCTCTCCTTGCTCCAACTCTTTTCCCTTCAACTCTTCCTCCTCTTCCTTCTTGTTGTTCTATATCTTCTTTTATGTTCCCTTCATCTTTGGCTTTGATGGTCTTCAGTGGGATCATCACTATTTTGTGTAACATGGGACACTGTTTATTCATTAATTCAACAAATTCTTCCGAGGTGCTCATTACATACCAGGATTTGAGCTTGGTGCAAGGGTCATGACAGTGAATGAGGTCCCAGCACTGTCCTGGTAAATTTTTGACACTTGTGGAAAGAGAGACAAGTAAGCCATTGGTTAGGATGTTGTGCAATGCAGGCTATAACAGGTGGAAGAGAAGGTGCTACTTGAACACACACAATGACTCTTTAAGTCAGTTTTGGGGTGTAGGGGAAGTAGTGAAGGCTTCCTAGAGGATCTGATATTTAAAGTGAGACCTAAGCGCGCAGATGCTTCCTCTGTGGAGAGCTTTATACTTACTGTTAGTTCTAAAGACACAGCTTCCTTTTTCTAACACTCTTGTCTCAGCTTTGGTTACTTAGACGTTATAAGGTTCTTGATATCTTATTGTATTTCCTCTAACCCTGCTACAAATTCTTCATTTTTTCCAATGTGTTCAACTTTGAAGAAGCATCCCTCTGTTCACTCCACTTCTCCTTGAATACAGCATTGAGTTGCATTATTGCAAACAGAGCTGGTTCTGACTTTTCCTCCCACCCCCTAATACCACAAATTTAGTGGTAGAACCACAAGTAGAATTTCCAGTGAAGAACTCTCTACTAGATGACACTGAATCAAACCTAACAGTGCTATCAATTAAAATTCATGTACTCTGTTGCATAAACAGGCGATTACATAAGTTGTGTGCTGACGGAGCAGTGTTGAGACACGCTGTCTGGCAATTGGTCTCTCTCGTTTGGTTGCAAGTTTCAGTTTCCTGGCAAGTCTTGTTTCGCCGTCCATCTGGTACAAGTGAGCACAGCAAGACAGCCAGGGTGAGCAGAAAGCCCACAGATACAGGAAAAGGTACTTAGCTTGCAGGTGATGTCAGTTCTTTCAGACAACTAGTCACTTTTTCCTTTCTGAAACTAGATTACAACCTATTTGTCTTTGGAGAGTTGACTGCTAGTGACACTGAAATTTTGGCTTAATTTGCAGACTGGGATGATGAGCATCTATTTTAGCTTCTTAGGGACATGCATAGAGCTGCTTATCTTGCTTGGCACAGGACATAGTTCTACTTTACATAAAGGTAACCACTAAGATTGGCCTTACCAGGGAGGAGAATAGAAAGCTGCCTCTGAGAAGTGCCAAGCTGAGACCCACACTTACTACATTCTATCCAGGGCCAGTCCTGCCTCAGCCACCAGCACCAAGGTTACTACAGCCTGAGTTTAGGTCATGTAATTTCAGTCTCTTTGGCAGCTTCATTAACTCTGAGTTCAACTGCTTCATCTGTGAAATGAGAATAATAACATTTACCTTGCATGATTGTTTTAAAAATTAAATAATTTCAGGGCATACATTAGATGTGCAATAGATATTCCATTTATTATTCATGGAATGTTTATTGAGCATCTACTATGAGCCAGGCACTGTGTTAGGTATGGAGTCTTGCACTTAACGTGATTATAGGTAATCTCATGGAGGAGACAACAATTTTTTACAGATAATTATACTAAGAATGCAATCGTTACAATAAAAATTAAGAAAATAAGCAGAGGAAATTAGTTGCTGCCACCTCTTAACCTTAGGTTCACTGCTAAATTCAAAATAAATTAGAAGTTATAATCTCTAAATATATCATGAGCAAGTAACATCATACTTTGGCAGTTCATTTCTTTGCAGCAAATTGGAGCCATTACATAATGGGTTTTATGATATATACCAGAAAAGTTCAAAGAGGGGTCTGGTGGATGATCCTTTGTTTTGCTTACATCCAAACCAAACAAAGCAACTAGTTAACTCAGCAACAAATCAACCAACCAACAGACATAAAAGAATTAAGCAGTAAGATGTTGCTAACATTACAGAAAACAATTGCCTTGACCTTTATCACAGAATCAAATAAAAATGATGAGAATAACTGATATTTATTAAGTTCTTTTCATACCCCAACTCCATGCTAAGCACTTTCCTGTATGTTCCTATTTATGCTTCATAATTCTTCCAGATGTAGTTTAATATCCATATTTTATAGCTGAAAGAATTAGTTAGAGAACAACTTGCCAAAAGTCACATTGTATAAAAGAGGCAAAGCTGAGATTCAAGTAAAGATTGTTATAACTGAAAAACCTGGTGCCTTAACCAGTACACCATAAGCATTTATCTAAAAATAAAATTACTTATGAACCAACTTCAGGAAATATTAAATTCCCACATTATGAATAAATTCCAGATGGATAAAATATCTCAATATAAAATACAAAATCACATGAAAATATTAAAATAGAAGAGAAATATTTTTATACAAATATAGTGAGTGAAGAAGCCCTTTTAAGTATGGTATAAAGCCCAAAAATCATAAAAGAAAGTAATGACTGATAAGACTAATTAAAACGTTAACTTTATTTACTTCAACAAAGTTAACTTAAGTAAACTTAAGTTTACTTAAATAAACTTTATTCACTTCAATAAAGGTGAAATGATAACTGAGAAAAATGTGTAATCTAGATAACAGACAAAGGATTAATATCTATTACATATAAAAAACCTAAGCTAATGAAGAAAACAGTGAGCTAATAAGCTAATAAAGAAAACCAGTTAAAGTAATAATAAGAATATAACTATCATGGTAAAATCATTAACTTTACTGACAAATAACAAATTAGAACCATAAGGTTGTATTGCATGAGACAGAGAAAAATAGAAAAATGAACAACAGAGGACTGATTAAATAACTTATGGTGTTTCATATGATGGACTTTGCAGCCATTCAAAAAATAGGTTGACCTATGTGTTCTGATAAGAAGAATGTAATTTATGATACAATTAAAAAGCACCTTGCTGGCCGGGCACAGTGGCTCACGCCGGTAATCCCAGCACTTTGGGAGGCTGAGGCGGGCAGATCACGAGGTCAGGAGATGGAGCCGGGCGTGGTGGCGGGAGCCTGTAGTCCCAGCTACTCAGGAGGCTGTGGAGAATGGCGTGAACCCGGGAGGCGGCGCTTGCAGTGAGCCGAGATCATGCCACTGCACTCCAGCCTGGGCGACAGAGCGAGACTCCGTCTCAAAAAGAAAAAAAAAAAAAAAAAAGCACCTTGCTGAGCAGTTTTATTTCATTTGTGTTATAAAACTGTATTTCTATATATTCAGAAAAAGAGCCTTGAAACGTAAGTACTCAGATATCATTAATAGTTACCTCTGGGGAATAGGAAGGATAGAGGAGGCTTCAGTATCTCTTTTTGTATTGTTTAAATTTCTCAACACACATACACATATAGACACATATATTTCTCTAAAAGCCTTAGAGAGGCATCAGAAATAAAACACTTAGTTGTTTCATAAAAGAGAAAAAGGAGAGATTGTTTATTCAAGAGCCAACTGGTCAAAATATGATTTTAGGCTATGGATGGTTGGATGGTCACATTTATACTATTCTGATGTAGCTATTTTGGGGAATGCCTGAAGATTGCTTTCTTACTGTTTCTCAAGATTCCAAAGGCCCCTTTTTTTTTTTTTGAGATGGAGTCTCACTCTATTGCCCAGGCTGGAGTGCTGTGGTGCGATCTCAGCTCACTGCAACCTCTGCCTCCCGGGTTCAAACAATTCTCTTGCCTCAGTCTCCCAAGTAGCTGGGATTACAGGTGTGCACCACCATGCCCGGCTAATTTTTTAGTAGAGACGGGGTTTCACCGTGTTAGCCAGGTTGGTCTTGAACTCTTGACCTCAGGGTATCCACCTGCCTCGGCCTCCCAAAGTGCTGGGATTATAGGTGTGAGCCACCCCACCCAGGCCCCAAAGGTTTTTTTTTTTTTTTAATTTCAAAAGTTCTATCTTGCTTTTTTTCCTGAAAAAAGTTTAAAAAGCCATATTTATCCTATTGGTGGTGAGGACAGGTCTCTTGTCCTGGAGAGGTGTGTCTTTAAGCAGGAGCCTTGTTCATGCTGCAAACACAGCCAACCACCCTCAGTGTTGAAGCTGCTGTTTGCACATATGGTTATGTCTCTAATTTTTCTTCATCTTAACTCCTAGTGGAAATTCCTGTTCTGGTTAGCAGCTCCCAACTTTTAAGTGCCAAGCCTGAGACAGAGGAGTCATACCATTTTAAGTAGATAATGTTGCTCATTAAAAGACAATAGAGTTTGATTAACTCTGAGCTGGATATTCATCAGCTGGGCTATGAAATTCTCATACCAGAAGTGTTACCATTTCACTGGCCACAGGGACACTCAAGACCTTCCTAGAAGGAAGTCGTTTTAAGACATCTTATTATTATGGTCAAGGTATTATAAGTAGGTTTATGAAACAAGAAAATTTGATGGAATTTGGATGGGATGAATGGCAAAAGGAGATGATTAATAAGTACATCAGTATCAAATTGGAGGGAGGTCTCTCATACTGTGCCATCTAGGTTCTACTCTTGGATCTACCTTGTTTTATATTAGTCAGTAACTTAGAAAAATCCATAAATTTTGATGATCAGGTTTGAGTGTGACATGAAACTAAGAAGAATGTCAAGTTCATTGGTAGAAACAGTGTTGAAAAATCTCTTAGCCACTTAACATGGTGGGAAAGACAACTGGGCCAAAAGTAAGATCTGCTCTGAAATCCCAAAAGGCATAGGCACAGATTCAGTGTGGAGGAATTTGTGGTTGAGAAACAGTATCTGTGACAATGTATTATGATCAAAATCTTTCAAAAATGTGACGTGGCTACCAAAATAGCTAATGGTATCATGGGCTACATTAAGACAAATATAGGTTCTAGATATGTGTTTTCAACTTTAGCCACACATTTGAATCACCTGGGAGCTTTAATGAAAGTCAGATTTAATTGGTTTGGGTGGAAACAAGGTATGGGATTTTTCTCTTTTCTTTTCCAAAATGAAGTTGGTAGACCAATAGCAGCCCTTTGTTCCTTGGCTCTCATCTATTACACAGGTCATCTGGGAAACACACAAGCATTATTTAGAATTATAAAACAATTTATAGCATGCTAAAAAAATCACACATTTGAAGGAGGTAGAATGGTAGTGACTAACTGGTCCCATTCTTGCAAGGATTAGGAAAGAAGAACATTTGCATTAGGCAGCTTAGTTCAGATCTCAATTTTGCAACTTACTGGCCAAGTGACCTTGAAAAAGTTATCTACTCTCTCTTAGGTTTATCTTCAACTTTAAGATAAAGTTCACTGTAAAAGCTACTCATGGAGTTGTAAAAGCTAAATAGTATAAATATATTATATATTTTATTATGATATAAAATGTTCTTGGTATATTGCTAGTTTTACTTTTATTAATATTGCTGATATCTTTGGATCCAATTACTTTGATGGAGTCTTTGGTGGATTATAGTCCATGAAAGGTTGAGATCTACCATAGAGTTCATTCTTACCTATTCCTAAATAATTTTGTTTCATTTCCAGTTGGCCTTTCTTTTTTCTTTTTCTTTTCCCTTCTCCTTCACTTCTCTCCTTCTTTCTTTGCCTCCTTCCTTCCCTCCCTTCTTTCTTCCTTCTTTCCTTCCTTCCTCTCTCTTTCTCTCTCTCTCTCTTTCTTTCTTCAAATATCAACTTGTATAAACATCCACATTTTTAAATGTATACATGAAAACTGGCCATAACCATATTATGACATGTATACCCACGGCAGGGGGGGAGTGCATATTTTCTTGAAATCCTCTTCATTTACCTGAAATCCACTGGTTTAAATTATATCAAAATGTTCTTGCAGCAGTCAGTCATTTCTGACTCATCAGTATAACTGAGTCTTTTTTCATTACAGTGGTGTCCACAGTCCTAATGATTTGTTTTCCTTGAAGCCATGAGTCTAAAATCTGTAAGTAATTGGTCTCATTCCTGCTGGAATCAGAAGAGCCAGGTTTAAGAAGTGGAATCCAGATTACTTTCTGTCTAGCTGATCTCCCTGTGTTGTAAAATGTGTGTGGTTTTTTTGGAAAGCAATGAAAACCACACACTATATATTTTCAGTTTTACTGCTTTGAAGGCTCATGAATCAGTTTTCTCATTCTCTTTTTTTCTTCCCTCCAAATAAAATTAAGCTATTTCCCAATAAGTAGGCCCATTTCCCCAAGAGTATTACAAAGTCTAAATGTTGGATATAGCTGTTAAATATGGGAGCTATTAAAGAGAAAGTCAATTTAGTCATGTTAGTATTTGTGATTTTTATAAAACAAAAAAGAATAAAATAGTAAAATACATATATAAAGGATTCTCATGCCAATTATTCTTTCTAGAGTTAATATATGCATTTTCACATTTATTTCCTTAATTAAAATCTTGATTAAATTGTCAATAGGATTTATCTTGAGGTTAGAAATATATGGAGCCCTAGTATCTATTACACTAATTTTGGAATCAAGTCTCAAATAAAAAAAATAGCCAATAAAATGGCTTAGACTTTATCATTGCTTAATTCTAATCTGTTTAAATAAATATTTTTTAAACATAGATTTTTACTATCAAAAGATTCCCTTATTATTGAGTTAATCATTGTTAATTTAAATAAGATCACACTTTTGAACTCTTTGTTTAAAGAAGAAATACAACAATCTTAGATTTAATTTTATTTTTTAAACTTCAAGCAGTGTGGGAGGCAAGGGAATTTCAAACTAAGGTTCTGACTTAAAGAAAACTCAAGGAATTTATTTTTTTTCAGGTGACAGAGATATAAATTTAAATATCACGATCAGGGCATAATATTATTAAATAAGACAACCAATCAAAATTACAGACTCTTTCAGAAGTTATAAGGTTAGTTCCTCAAGACATTGAAACCATCTTGAAGTCTAGTAATTATACAGTACTAATTATCACAGTTAGAGACAGAGAGATGCAGAGAAAAGTGGGGGATTCTAAGATACAAACTTGCAATGCGGGAAAGAAAAGGGCAGAATAGAAGATGAGCAAATGAGCTGGGTGCAGTGGCTCATGCCTGTAATCCCAGCACTTTGGGAGGCTGAAGTGAAAGAGGCATTTGAGGCCAGGAGTTTAAGACCAGCCTGGGTAACAGTGAGACTCTTTCTCTTTAAAAAAAAAAAAAATGAGCCAAGAATGGAGGCAGATGCCAGTAGTCCTGGCTACTTGGGAGGCTGAAGTGGGAAGGCTGCTTGAGGCCAGGAGTTCAAGGTTACAATGAGCCGTGACTGTACCACTGCACTCCAGCCTGCGTGACAGAACAAGACCCTGACTCTATTTATTTTTAAAGAAGAAGTTGAATAAATGAAGCAATGAGTACATGATATTTTGTGTCTACATTTCTGAGTCCCAACTTTTGCAGAAGATCCATGAAATAAAGACATAACTTCCAAGTGATTACAATAATATTCTTAAAAAGTATCAATTTCTACATTTAATAACAAGTATAGAACTACATACTATTTGAGAAAAACTTCTTAAAGATAAGTTTAAGATCATTAATTAATTTGAAAAATTCCATCAAATGATGTTGCAAACTTAGTAACAAAAATGTTAGTATATCACTGGCCAATGTTTTTACTCACTACTAACCTCAAGAGAATGTTTAGGGCTGACCGGTAATCCTTCTATCTTTTCTTTAGTCCAATCATTTGCCAAGTGTCAGAAGTGCCTCTCCTCACTCCTCAAGGTTCAACACCTCCTCCACCCTTCTCATCTCATCTGAGGACCTTTCCTCTTATTTTTCTGAGAAAAGGGAAGCCATATGGACAGACTTTTCCTGTAGTCCCACTATCATACCTCACCGTCTAGACTCTGCTTTTCCTCCTTCTAAGGATGAGTGGCCATGTCCCTACCTAAGCCAGTTCCTCCGTTTGTCTCCTGGATCCCACATCTCTCCCACTCAGAGGCATGGCTCTTGCAATTGTGTCTTCTTACTTCAGTATCACTCATTTTTTCTCCTTTTACAGGATGACTACATTCAGCTTTCAAACATGCTTTAATAACCCCATCTTTAAAAAGTAAGATAGTTTCTTAATTCTTTGCTTCCCCTTATTTCCCCCTATTTCTCTGTTTGTAGCAGAACTCCTTGAATGTGTTGTCTAAACTCACTGTCTCCAGTTCTCCTTCCTTCTACGTTGAATCTATTCAGTGAGGCTACATCACCACTCCTTTGCCAAAACAGTGGTTTTCAAGGTCACTAATAAGCCCTACAAGGATACATTCAATGATTAGTTCTCAGGCCTCAGGTGAGAAGTTGGTAGACCAATTACTTTGTATACTGAAGTAGTAGGTTTATTTTCTTCTTTTGGAAACCTGTTCATCTCGGCTTCCATAACCCACTCTCTCATGGGGTTTTTCCCACCACACTAGCAGCTAGTTTTCATTCTCCTTTTAGTTCCTCATTTTCTCAAACTCGAAACTTTGAAGAACTTAGGAGTTCCATCCTTAAATCTCTTCACTTCTTTATCAACACAGATCTTTTAAGTAAATGCATCTAACGCTGTGGCGGATAACTTCTAAATTTGTATCTCCAACCTGGACCTCTTCTTTGGCTTATACTTGTATATCCAAACACCTAATCAACATCTTCATATTAATGTCCAATGGGCATCTTCCACTATACACATCCAAAATTGGACTCTTCTTTGTTTGCCTTTTTTCAGTCAAGTCTGCACCTTTCCATGGTCAGTTCTGTCTCAGTAAATGTCATCTTCATTTTGCTACTAGCTCAGTTAAAAAAAATCGTTGATGCTTCTCTTTCATTCATAACACGTTAATACATCAGTAAATTCTATCAGCTCTTCTATCAAAAAAATTTATATAATCTAACCACTTTTGGCCCAGAGCCTTACGTCAATAAATACTTGTAAAATATAATTTCTAATTTTTCGGTTCATGTTGGAAATAGTCCTGGCCCTCTATAACAAAGCTGCTGGCATCCATGGATAGAAGATAACATATTCGGTATTTACAGATTATTTTACACAGCATTAGCCCCCAGGAAGAGTGATCAGGCAGAAGATGAGCTAGGTTGTACCCTCTTCCTTCCTGTTTCTCAGTTATTCTTTAATGAGTCTTCTACCTCCGTGTTCCTAGGGTTGCCTCATCCTGCCCCTGACAGTTCAATCGTCTCCATTTCACTCTAATTCATTGTAGAATTTAGTCCGTCCAGGTCCTACACTTCACCCCACCTCCACTTTCTTCTCTTATCAGTGGCCTTTATTCTTCTTCTTTCCTTCTTACATTCTTAGACACAACTGTAAAGTAGATGAAATGCTCTCTTTAGTCCTCTAATTTCTCTCTCTAGGGTAACTCCTTCCCCTCTTTTGGTACCCAGAGACCTGTTGGTCTTTTCCCCTAGAATGGTGAAGACATAATGGTGAAGTCTGTACTGTACTACCTATTAGATGTGTGGGCTTGGGAGTAATTTAACCTCTTTGTGTCTCAGTTTCCTCACCTGTGAAATGGTGATAAAAGTAACACCTACCTCATAAAATGTCAGTACTTTGAATCAGGAATGATTAGGAAAATTTTGTAACGCAATTGAATGAATCATCAACAACATCACACAAGAGATTGTATCGCGTTGCAAATGTCAGGTGTGCAACTAACATGTGATAAGGACTACTGTGAATATATTACATATTAATAATATAACATATCTGGAATTCACATTTTGTTGCACAACCATATGTGAGAAAAGTAGATGTGTCTGAACCTTGTCTAACATTTACTTGAATGCTGGGAGCTATCACACAATATCGTACTCAACTAGTAATTTTACATGAGCAGATATGCATCAGCCTGAACTCTTCAAAATGCCATAAAACACTTCACTTTCTTAACAATGATACACTTACAAGAAGCACAAATATATTCATGAAGACAGTGGGAGAAGCTTTATCCTAATGCTTGCAAACAAAAAAGGAAAGAAAGAAAAGAATCAATTTGGCTGCATGGTGCAAAAGAAAAAAAGACTAACATTTATTGAATAGCTACCAAGTGCCATGGACTGATCTACATGATTTACATTCACTCTCCAGTTCACTCTCAAAACAACCCTAGAGATGGATACTATTTTTTAAAATCCAAAAGATAAGCATTTCATTTTTCTTAGGTTAAAAAGTATTGTATACTACAACTTGATAACCCCAAAAAACAATTAAAAATGGGCAAAGGATTCGAATAGACATTTCTCCAAAGAAGATATAACACAACCATAGGATAGATGCTCAATATCACTAATTATCAGGGAAATACAGATCAAAAGTACAATGAGATACCACTTTATACCTGTTAAGATGGCTACTATAAAAAAAACGGAAAACAACAGGTGTTGGAGAGGATGTGGAGAAATGTAAACTCTTCACACTGGTGGTGGGATTGTAAAATGGTGCAGCCACTGTGAAAAACAAAATAGAAGTTTCTCCAAAAGTTACACAGAACTACCATATGATTCAGCAATCCCACTTCTGGGTATATAGCCAAACAAATTGGAAACAGGACCTCATAGAGATATTTGCATGCTAATTTTAATTGCAGCATTATTCACAATAGCCAAGATGTGGAGGCAAACTAAATGTCAATGGATGAAAGAATGGATAAAGAAAATGTCACATATATACATACACACACACACACACACACACACACACACACACATAAACACAGATACAAATGGAATATTATTCAGCCTTTTAAAATGAAGGGAAATTCTGTCATATTGAACCTGGAGAACATTGTGCTAAGTGATATAAGCCAATAACAAAAAGACAGATGCAGCATTATTCCACTTATATGAGGTATCTAAAATAGTCAAACTCATAGAAATAGAAAGTAGAATAAGAGTTGCCAGGAGCTAGGAAAAAGGGGACACGGGGCATTTGCTGTTCAATGGATACAGAGTTTCAGTCATGCAAGATGAAAAAGTTGTAGATATGTTATACAACAATGTGCATATAGTTAACAACATTGTGCTATATACTTAAAAATTTAAGAGAGTAAATTTATGTTATGTGGTTTTTATTAGAACACAAATTTCATTTTCAAAAGGAATTAAAATTAAATCATTTAATGCATTACAGATGTCTCATTTTATTTTTGAGGAAATGAGATCACAAGAGAAAAGTGACTTGGTTCAATCTACATGGCTAAATAGAAAAGAAGCTGGGGGAAGAACTCCAGTCTTGGTGCCCTCAGTCCATTGCCCTTTCTGGTGCAACATCAAGTCTAAGTTAAATCAGTGGGCCCCAGAGAGCAAGCCCAATTCTGACACATTTGGGAAGAATGATTTCTCTAATTATTTCCCTCCCTTCAGCTTTACAGGTAGGTGGCATTCAGCTAACCCAATCTGATATCCCAACAGGATTAGATTTAACAGCGATAACCGGTTAATGCATCATCCACCCACAACTTCCTGTATTTCAGGATTTCCCAAAATCCACAGATGCATAAAGCAGTATCATGTTCTGAGCCGGTACCATTTCCAAATGAGAGTTCAAGGCAGCACACAGTGTTGTGGAGTTAGAGATGGAAAGGTGAGTATGCCTGAGGAAGACATAGTCAAGTGGCTGCAACTGTGTATGTGCATAATTACCTTTATTTTCTTTCACAAATGTATAAAGGTATTACATCTAATAACTTTTTTGTTTTATTTATTTTTTTATTTATTTTTTAGACAGGGTCTTTCTCTGTCATCTAGGCTGGAGTGCAGTGGTGCACTGCAGCCTCTGAAACTCTGCCTCCCACGTTCAAGCGATTCTCCTGGTCTCAAACTCCTGACCTCAAGTGATCCATCTGCCTAGGCCTCCCAAAGTGCTGGGATTACAGACATGAGCCACTGCACCCAGGCTTATATGTAATAAATTTTATTGATAAATGAACACACAAGTACATGCTTGTAAACCTATGTATTTATTATATTCTTTAGATTGGTATTTCCCTAACTGGATCAAGATAGGAGGGCTCTCTAAATTCTCTGCCACAGATGCAGAGGGACAAAGGAGTGGGCCAGGGCTGGATGACACAATCAGAATTTACCCCAGTGGTTTATGGGCTGGAGGTAGAGAAATGGTGATCTTGAACTTGATTTCCTTCTGAAATAGAACCCAGACTTTGGATTAGACAGTTCTGCATTCAATTCCCAACCACTCTGCTTATTTGCTGTGTGACTTTGGGAAGGTTACTTGATATCTGTAAGCCTCATTTTCCTCTTTTAGGAACCACAATAGGATTTTCCTCCTGTGGGATCATCAGGTGAATTGGATGAGACGATACATGTCAGGCGCCAATCCCAGTGTCTGGGATTGACTTCAAAGTCATTTTCACTTCAAAGCTCGCCACAAAACTTAAAAGCTAAGTCCTCATGAACAAAATCAAGCTATCGATTACTTACTGAGCACTTTGTATGTACGATTATACATATACAACTACTCTGGGCTCCTGAGAGTGACCTGGGAAAGAATGGTTGTGGTGTCCAGTTGGTGACCCCCTACTGAGTAGGATGTTTGGAACTACAGCTTTGCCTCATAGAGGTTTTTCCCACATTTAAAACTCATTTATAAAAAAATGTGTGATTGATTTTCTACTCTGTCTTGCCACCATAATTATTTGCTCTGGCAGACAATTAGCATTTTTTATGTGACTCATATGACGATTTGTTTGAAACTCACCCCATGGCACTGATCTCACAGCTGCTTCATTTCTAACTCCAGCTCCCTCATCCTTTAATCTTGCAAGAAAACATCTGAGGTATATTTGGGAGTGGAGAGAAAAAACTGCATACATGATTATAGCAATATTGCCTTAAAATTCTCTTGAGTCTTCCTTATCTCAATGTGTCTCTGTCTTCAAAACTCTCCTTTTCCCTTCTCCTCATTGCTCCCTAATTTTTGTAAGCCTCCAGAACACATAATGTTTTTTTGCCTGTCTACCTGTCTTCTTTCCTTCTTTAATAATTAAATGTAAATCTCACCTTTATGTAAATAATTATCTAAGTAATACATATATACTTCACATTACAAAAATTCAGACAATTCAGATAATCAAAATGTCATCGTAAGTGTCAACCCTTAGTCCCAGTCTCCTTTCTGGAGATAACCATGGTTATTAGTTGATACAGCCTTTGATGTCTTTCCCTCTGTAATTGTTGTTAGATAACATAAAATTACTGCTTTTGTAGGTCACAAATGATCAAATATCATTGTGCATAATTACCTTTATTTTCTTTCACAAATGTATAAAGGAGTTACATGTAATAACTTTTTATTTTATAAGATTCCTCCTTCTATCTATCTACCTGCAGAGGTGTAGAGTGTTATTTTGTGCACTTAAAAAACATAAATAGAATCATATTACACATATTTTATTGCGATTTATTTTTTCCAGCACAGCAATATATCCTGGATATCGTCTAGGTCAGTACATGTGTCTCTACCCTATTCTTTATAACAGCTTGTAAAACTCTTTAGAATGGATCACTTATTTAACCTATCTACCTACCTACCTACCTATCGATTTATCATCTACCTGCTTATCTATTACTATTTTAAATCCTACAGTACTTGACTATATCTCCTTGCTTATGTGGGAATATTAAACATTTAAAAAGCAAATGCATAAAGACACAAATTAAAAATAGGTTAGGTGTCATTCCCTATAGAATTAGTACTTGACATTGTCCTAATTGTTAATAGTGGATCTTTGCTTAGAGGCACCCTATCTGGGTTTAACATGTTTTGATCTGGCTTTGGGGGCCTTCCAGCTTTGTGTGTCTCTGCTATTTGGCTGTTAGAAGCTCTCCTTGGTATAACCATCTTTCTTATAATAAACATAGAAACATAATCATAGGAGCCAGATTCTATGCTTCTTGAGTAAATGATCTGCTCCATCTTTCTGTAGGATTTAAATGACTGACCTGCATGCTTCAAACCTTTCTGTCACAAATGGCCTACCTTTTGTATTGTTCCTAACCCCAGACACTTCAGAATTTAAAAGATTTATTTTTGACTACCAAACAGAATATATTGATCAATACATTTGATTTTATAAATACTTATCATAGGTACAGAAATATATAAATCAGTCTGATTGGCATGAGTGAACAAATGTGTCGCGCTGAGTTACTATGAGTCCAGTTCAAAGTGAGGAAATGTCATTGTTGGGTCTGACTCAGATCCTTATTGTAGATTGATCTACTATTTCATTAGGCTATTCAAAAGATGGAAGAAAAGCTCTGGGTCTCCCTACTACTTGTGCTAAGTGAATAAAAGCTGAGGTTTCTCATAGCCTAGCATGTAATCTCATTCAAAGAAACACAGTCTGCTAAATGAAAGGGATTCAAGCATTTTCCATATTTATTAAAATCTCTTGTAAAACATCTATGAGGACAGAATTTATATCCCACAGCAAAATTTTCATTTCCTATTCCTTTATAAAATTATATTTTCTGTTGGTTCAACATATCCAAATCAATAAGTGTGATTCGCCACATAAACAGAATTAAAAACAAAAACCACATGATCATCTCAATAGATGCAGAAAGGGTTTTTAATAAAATTAAACATCCTTTCATGTTAATAACCCTCAACCAGTTAGGTGCTGAAGAAACATACTTCAAAGTAATGTGAGCCATCTATGACAAACCCACAGCCGACATCATATGGAAGAGGCAAAAGCTAGAACTATTCCCAGTGAGAACCAGAACAAGACAAGAATGCCCACTCTCACCACACCTATTCGACATAGTACTGAAAGTCTTAGCAGAGCAATCAGGCAAGAGAAAGAAATAAAAGGCATCTAAATAGTAAGAGAGGAAGTCAAACTATCTCTCTTTACAGATATGATTCTAAACTTAGAAAATCCCATAGTCTCTGCCAAAGGGCTCCTGGAACTGATAAATAATTTCAGTAAAGCTTCAGGATACAAAATCAAGGTGTAAAAATCAGTAGCATTTCTATACACCAATAATGTTCAAGCTGAGAGCCAAATCAGGAACATAATTCCAATTACAATAGCTACACAATGGATAAAATACCTAGGAATACAGCTAACCAAGGAGGCAAAAGATCTCTATGATGAGAACTACAAAACATTGCTGAATGAAATCAGAGATGACACAAACAAATGGACAAACGTTCCATGTTCATGGATAAGAAGAATCAATATTGTTAAAACAGCTCTACTGCCCAAAGCAATTTACAGATGTAATGTTATTGAATTTATCAACATCATTTTCCACAAAATTAGAAAAAAGCTATTCTAAAATTCATATGGAACCAAAAAAGAGCCTGAATAGGCAAAACAATTCTATGTAAAAAGAAGAAAGCCAGAGGCATCACACTACCCAACTTCAAACTACACTACAAGGCTACAGTAATCAAAGCAGCACAGTACTGGAACAAAAACAGACACATAGATCAACAAAATAGAATAGAGAACCTAACAATAAAGCTACACACAACCACCTGATCTTCAACAAAGCTGACCTTTTATAACAAACAATGGGGGAAGAACTTTCTATTCAATAAACTGTGTTGCGATAACTGGCTAGCCATATGCAGAAGAGTGAAACTGGACCCCTTCCTTTCACTATCCACAAAATTTAACTCAAGATGGATTAGAGACTTAAATGTAAGACCTAGAACTATAAAAACCCAGAAGAACACCCAGGAAATACTATTCGGGACATTAGCCTTAGCAAATAATTTATGACTAAGAAGTCCCCAAAAGCAATTGCAACAAAACCAAAAATTGACAAGTGGTATCTGAGTAAACTAAAGAGCTTCTGCACAGCAAAAGAGACTATCAACAGAGTAAAGAGACAACCTACACAATGGGAGAAAATATTTACAAAACATGCATCCAATAAAGGCCTAATGTTTAGAATCTATAGGGTATATAACAATTCAACAAGCAACAATCAAACAACCCCATTAAAAAATGGGCAAAAGACATGAACAGACACGTCTCAAAAGAAGACATACAAGCAGCCAACAAACACATGAAAAATGGTCAGCATCACTAATCATTAGAGAAATGGAAATCAAAACCACATGAGATACTATCTTACACCAGCCAGAATGGCTATTATCAAAAAGTCATAAAATAAAAGATATCCGTGAGGCTGTGGAGAAAAGGGAACTCTTATACAGTGCTGGTGGGAATGTAAATTAGTTCAGCAAAAGTGGGAAGAAGTGTAGAGATTTCTTAAAGAAATTAAAACAGAACTATCACTTGACCCAGCAATCCCATTACTGGGCATATATCCAAAGGAAAATAAACTCTTTACCAAAAAGACTCATGCATTCTTATGTTGATCATAGCACTATTCGCAATAGCAAAGACATAGAATCAACCTAGATACCCATCAACAGTGGATTGCGTAAAGAAAATGTGGTACATATATGCCATGGAATACTATACAGCCATAAAAAACAAAATCATGCTTTTTCGCAACATGGATGCAGCTGGAGACCATTATCCTAAGTGAACTAACGTAGGAACAGAAAACCAAATACCACCTGTTCTCACTTATAAGCAGGAGCTAAATACTGGATACATGTGAACACAAAGGTACTAACGATAGACACTGGGGATTAGTTGAGGCAGAGTGAGAAGGAGTGAGGGTTGAAAAACTACCTATGAAGTACTAACTATGCACACTACCTGGGTGACAGGATTATTTGTATCCCAAACCTTAGAACACGCATTTTACTCATCTAAGAAACTTGCACATGTACACCCTAAACCAAAAAATAAAAATCAGGAAAAAAAACTTATTTCTCATTTCTTTTGCTCTTAAGATCTCTCAACCCATTGCTCTCATGAAGACTTTCTCTTTGCCTCTCAAATTCAACTCAATACAAACTTCCTCCACACTCACCACTGCATGGTTCTTGATTTCCTTGTCCCTCATCTCTCTCTTACAGTGTAAGACAGCAGTGTATGGGCAGCATGGACTCATGGTTGTCAGACACTTGTGTTCATGGGAGAGAGATACAAAGGTATAGGAAATTATAATCAGAAACCAGACATTCTAACACTGAGCATAAAATCCCCACTGTTGACATTCCAACACTGAGCATAAATTTCCAAATGTTTTCTTACAACACACCCATTTCTGTTCCAAATGAGTCCCAGTCATAAGTCGGTTATGAGGCTACATCTATAAAGATGCATCAGTGTCTCCCTTTTCAGTAAATATTTCATTAAGTCCCTGCTGAGGAAGGCCTCCTGGAATGGGTGAAACTTGTGCCAGGTGAGTCAGACTTGGAGCCTGTGCTCAGACACTCTCAGTCTAGTTGTTAAATAAGACATATAAATAACCTACTATACTATAAGATGAAGTGGAGCAAGACTACCCTGAAAGTTGAAAGGAAGATGGATTTATTCGGACCATGAGAATTAGGAAAGCCTTCAGAGGAGGATTTTGTGGTAGGGTTTGAAGGACGAATAGGAACTTTTAAAGTATTTTTTTGCATATAAAGAAATACATGCTCACTACATGTTTAAAAAATATAAAAAATACAATGAATAAAATTAAAATAACTTACAGTATCTACACTAAAAGATAATCAACATTTGTGTTTGGCATATATACTTCTAGTCTTTTTAACGAACATGTATATACACACATACATGTGTATTTATATTTTTCCTTAGTAGAATTGGAATTATAGGCCGGGCACGGTGGCTCACGCCTATAATTCCAGCACTTTGGGAGGCAGAGGCAGGCGGAACACAAGGTCAGGAGTTTGAGACCATCCTGACCAACATGGTGAAACCCCATATCTACTAAAAAATAAACAAAAATTAGCCAGGTGTGGTGGCGGGAACCTGTAATCCCAGCTACTCAGGAGGCTGAGGCAGGAGAATTGCTTGAACCCGGGAGGTGGAGGTTGCAGTGAGCCAAGATCAAACCACTACACTCTAGCCTGGGCAACAGAGTGAAACTCTATCTCAAAAAAAAAAAAAAAAAAAAAAAAAAAAAAAAAAAGAAAAAGGAAAAAAGAAGAATTGGAATTATAAGGTATGCACCCTTTTTTTAACCTACATTTTTCCATTCTTATACTGTAGAAATATTTTCAGGGGACTAAACATTTTGAAATTTACAATTAAAGACCCAGTTGCTCCTATCATATGAATGTATCATAATTTATACATTTTTATATTTTTAAAATAAATTCCCCTTGGTTGGACATTTAGATTGCATACAACTTGAAAGCATTATAAACAAACATTAAACATATTTGTATTCATCTCTGAACTATCCTTAGGATAAATTCTTAGAAGTGGAACATAGGGATAAAGATTTAGATATTCACAACCATTCTGGTATCTTTTGCCAAATAGTCTTCCAGAAAAATCTATCTTCAACCATACTCCCATATGCACAGGTGAGCGTGACTATGAGAAAGACTTTGCTGGTTAGAGACTAGCACTTCAGTTTATTGAACTACACGGACAAGCATGACTTGAGCTCAACATATTTGGGGAACAATAAGGATCCCACTATGAAAGAAGCAAAGGGTACATGGTAGATGTGGCAGGAAGTGACCATGGAGAGATGGTTGCACGTCATGATAGGAAGTTTGAGATTTACTCTGTAGGCAATTGGGAACTTTCAAAGAATTCAGAGCCAGGGAAGGCCCCATCTGTGCTCAGTAAGCCCTATCTGACACCAACATGAAGATAAATTATGCAGCTGGGAAACTGGAGGCACAGAGATGAGTTAGGGAGAAATTATAATGACTCAGGTGAGAGATGTAGACATCTGAACAGGCAGTGCCATCAGGGATGGAGAGGACAAAATGGATATGAAATGCCTTAGGAAAGTAAAAAAAAAATGCAATTAGATGTACATTTTTCTGTTTGAGTGACGGCTGGGCTTGTTTGGGTGATGTTATTTTTCCAAGGTTGGGAGAGTCCATTACAGGCAAATTGTGTCCGGGAAAGGGGTTACTTGGGCCTGAGGGATGATGGAGGTGCTGCTCTGGTGGAAATAATGGACTCTTTGGAGTTAGGCCTGAGTTTGAATTCTTGTTATGCTCCTGGTTGGATCCATGACCCAGAGCCAATTCTTTACCATCTCTGAACCTGAGTTTCCTCCTCTCTGAGATGGAGCTAATTCTGCTCACCTTATAGTGTCATTATGAGAACTAGAGATAATATGTGCCAAGCGCCCCCACAGCTACATGGAAGCTGGTTCTTTGCTTTTCCCGCTAAGGGACCCAATCCATCTGCTTTATACTGCTGGAGTGAATAAGCAGCAACAAGTCCTACAAATATGAGCTGGTTTCATTGAAGTCAGAAGAAAGTTGACTTTTATAACAGCTTATAAACCTCAACCTAAGCTTTTTGTGTGTGTTATCTTTATTAATACTTACTTGCAGCAACCTTCCAAGGTAATGCTATTATTCCCACTTTATACAGGGAAAATGAAACTCGAAGAAATCCAGACAGCCCTGCTGGAAAATGGCAGAGCTAGGAGTAATACTTTTGCATAAGTTAGACTCACTTTCCACAAGTCCTATTGTTGCGGCTGCAGTGGCAGGAAAAGGAAAGGATATTTACTGCTAACTCTGTAGTCAGAGAAAAGAAGTGTGTTTCCTGATGTTTTAAATCAGACCTTATTTTTAGAGGAGCCATAGAATGTGATAAACCTCCCCTTCCTATACTGTTTCTGTGAGAATATCCAAGTACTGTTTGTTGAGGCAGAGGAAAGAAGAGGTGACAGGAAGAAATTAAAAGGAAACATTATTCATTTCCCGTTTTGCTTTGATTCAAGTTCTCTGAAACAGATTACTTGGAAACACGATGCTTCAGGTGAGATAATCTGATACTTCCTAATTATTTGATGGCGTGTTAACATGTCTTAATAGAAAATGTAGTCCTGCTGAAGAGGAGAGCACTGAGTCCAACAAAACATATCATTTACAAAAACAAAAGCTGAAGAATGAAAGCGGCCCTGGAAAAACTCTTTCAAATATAGGTAGTATTTGACATGGAGATTTGGTGTCAGACACACTAGCGTTCAATTCACAGCTTTGCCATCATCTGGCTCTGTGACCTTGGGAACGCCCATCCTGAGCCTGTGTTCCTTTAGCTGTAAAGTGGAATCCTACATTTGATTAGTGACTGTTTAGCAACAATTATATGCTACGCACTATTCTAGGCACAGGGCATATGGTAGAGAAAAAAGAAAACAAAGATCCTTTTCTAGTGGAGCTTACATTCAAGTGAGGGAGGAGGGAGACATAATAAGTAAGGCATATAAAGCTAAAACATGTAATACATTAGATAGTGATAAGTGCTAGGAAGAAAAAATAAAAAGGAAAGGAAGGTGTGTATTTTCATGTGGAGGAAGGGTAGTTAGAATTTTAGGATGCCCAGGGCCCGTCTCAATGAGAAAGTGATTTTTTTAAGTAAAGAGACTAAGGAAGTGAACGAACGAGCTATGCAGATGGCTGGAGACGATAGTAGTTGGTTATATAGACGAGCTTATTGTTTAGGGGAAAGTTCCAAGCTACAGATATAATTTAGAAGTTATTACCTCATAGATGATATTATAATTAAAGTCATTGAGATTGAATGAGGTCATCAGGGAGTGATTTGTAGACAGAAAAAAAAATTGGTCCAAATACTGAGCCCTATAGCATGTCCATATGTACAAGTATAAAAGAGAGAAAGTACCTGTAAATGAGACTGAAAAGGAATAGCAAGGGATGTAAGAGGATGGTCAGGTGAGTGTGGTGTCCTGGAATCAAAATGAAAATGTATTTTAAGGCAAAAAGTGCTGCTGATACACTAAATAAGTGAGATGAAGACTGAGAAAGGAAATCTGGATTCAGAAACATGGTGGTCACAGATGTCCTTGAGAAAAGCTGTTTTGGTGGAGTATTGGGGACAAAATCCTGCTTGGACTGGGCTCAAGAGAGAAGGGAAGGAGAGAACGAAGAGTATGTCTAGACAACTTGTTTGAGATGCTTCGATATCAAGGGAAGGAGAGAGAGAAATGTGGCTATGATGGAGACAAAGTAGCATCAGGAGAGGAGTTCTGTCTCTGTATTATTCTGATGGGGAAAACAGTCCCATATATGTTTGTATGTTAGTGGAAAATATCTAGTAGAGCAGGAAAGACAGATGAGGTTTCTGAAAAATGAAATAGTATCTGGAGAGAATTGGGATAATAATAATAACCATAAAATTGTAATTGATCTTTTAAATTAAATACCTACTGTGAGTCAGGTTTCTGTACATGGCCCTTTGCATTTATTATTATCCTCTAAAATGCCCTGCTTATCATTCCCATTTTACAGACAAGAAAATTGGGGCTTGGAATGTTAGTTATCATGCTCTAGAGCAAGGGTTCTCAAACTCCAATGTGTGTGCACATCACCTGGGGATCTTGTTAAAATGCAAAGTTTGATTCAGTAGGTCTGAGCAGGGTCCTGAGAATCTGCATTCCTAATATGATCCCAGGTGATGCTGATGCTGCTGGACCACACGAAGACTAAATGGAGTCTAGAAAAGATCATGTGGACAGTACTGAATTCCTGGCCTGTTTGACAAAAATCCCAAGTCCCTTTAACAGGTGCTGTGTATCCTCCCATGATCTTGGTTGGGTTACAAATTAGAAAAACAAAAGTGAAAGAGAAACCCAAGGAAACCCAAAGAGAAACCCAGGGAGGAAGGAAAACCACCATTTTTTTTTTCCTGCTGTCTTGTAGGAAAAGTCCTGAGGAAAGTGGCACAGGCAGATTTGGCACACCGAAGCATATGCTCATTATTGGCCCATTGGAAGGATCAAGATTCCCCCACTGGGCCATCTCAGAAAAGTGTCTGGGCCAGACGGGCTTTTTCTTCCCTTCCCTCCCCTCCCCTTCTCCTTTCTCTTCTCCTTTCCCTTCTCTCCTTCCCTTCCCTTCCCTTCCTTTCCTTTCTCTTTTCCTTTCCTTTCTCCTTTCCTTTCCTTTCTCCTTTCCTTTCCTTTCTCCTTTCCTTTCCTTTCTCCTTTCCTTTCCTTTCTCCTTTCCTTTCCTTTCCCCTTCACCTCCCCTCCCCTACCTTCCCTCCTTCCCTCCCCTACTTTCCCCTTCCCTCCCCCTCCCCCTTCCCCTCTCCTCTCCTCTCCTTTCCCTTTCTACTCTCTCTTTCTCTCCTACAGTGTCCCTTTGTTGCCTGGGCTGTAGTATAGTGGTGCAATCATAGCTCACTGCAACCCCAAAACCCCTGGGCTCAAGTGATTCTCCTGCCTCAGCCTCCTGAGTAACTGGGACTATAGGAATATGCCAGTGCAGCTGGATACTCTTTAATTTTTTTTTTTTTTTGTAGGAATGAGGTCTTGCTATGTTGCCCAGGATGGCCTCAAACTTCTGGGCTCAAACAATCCTCCCATCTTGGCCTCCCAAATTGCTGAGATTACAAGAATGAGCCACCACGCCTGGCCAGACAGGCTTTTCTAGTCATGATGAAGTGTCAGCTCATCCCAGTTCATTCCCTGCCTTGGTAGTATAATATATAAAAGTTAGTCCCACATCTAGAATTAAATGGAAAGTAGCTTTATTGTAGTCCACCTTGAAAACTTGCTCTTTGCATCAGCAAGGTGTGGTGCAAGGTGGAGCACTCAGATTTGGGAGTTAGATGTAGTCACTTTCAAATCTGATCTGGGCCCTGCTATTTATTAAATGTGTGATCTGAGCACATTTTGAACCTATAGGCTAGTGCAAAAATAATTGCAGTTTTGCCATCACTCAAGGGCAAACAACACAATTACTTTTGCACCAACCTAATATATTCTCATCTCTAAAATGGAGATTATGCTCTCTAATTTACAGATAAGCAGTACTGCTTCATGGTTAAAAGCATAGCCATTGGAAGAATTAATATAAGAGCTTAAATCTTAATACTATGATTTCCCAGTTGTGTTTTTAACTCCCATAAGCTTTAGAGTTTCTCATCTGTACAACTGGGAGATCAACCTTACTTCCTAAGATTAGTGTTCAAACAAATGAGATCTTCTATGTAGAAATCAATAAAAGTCAGCTCTTATTATTAATATTAATGCTATTTTTACAGGGCTTTTGTGAGAAGTGATTGAGACACAGATGTGAAAACACACAGTACAGCATCTTTCATGGAGGAGGCACCCTGTACATCTTTGTTTTCCTTTCCCCCTAATCTCTGGGGTTATTGGATGAAGTTTGTTAATAGAAAACAATTGTAAAAGAAGTATCTTAAGCATCCAGAATCTAGAAATAAAATTAATTTAGCCTTCAGTCTGAAGCATAACCGAAGAATAGAAGAAATTCAAAGGAACCATAAAGATTTTTTTTCTTGGGCAATAGGGAATACCAGAAGGATGAAGTAAAGCCATCTTACAGAAGTGTCTGTCAATGCACTTTATTCAAGCTACCTTGAAATACCACTATTTCAACTCTTAGGTCTCCAAATATTATATGGAAAGACATATTTAGCATTTAAAAATCTACTTTGAAGAATTAAACACCATTAAAATTCATGTAAGAGCATAATCTGATTTTATCACTAATGATAAGCAACATATCATTTTAAGATTTTTTTTTTTTTTGAGACAGAGTCTCCTTTTGTCACCAGGTTGGAGTGCAGTGACTCGATCTCAGCTCACTACAACATCCGCCTCCCAGGTTCAAGCGATTCTCCTGCCTCGGTCTCCCGAGTAGCTGGGACTACAGGTGCACACCACCACACCCAGCTAATTTTTGTATTTTTAGTAGAGACAGGGTTTCACCATGTTAGCCAGGATGGTCTTGATTTCTTGACCTCGTGATCTGCCCGCCTCGGCATCCCAAAGTGCTGGGATTACAGGCGTGAGCCACCGTGCCTGGCCTTCAGATGATCTTTTTTTTAATTTAATTTTTTATTTGTGTATTTCACTGTAGTCCTGTGACAACAAAATGACATCTGTGTACCAGAACATACATACATCAACAGTAAGGTGTAATTTTTCATTACATCACTGCTAGAATATTTAGCTTTGTGTAGAAGACACATAAGCATGTAAGATGGCCACACCAAATAATTTTCTGTTTTTTTCTTAATCTTTTTTTTTATCAGTAATACTTTATCAACCTCACTATTAACAGAATTGTAAATTATCTGGGCAATAGGGTGTGTGGAGAAGATTAACTGTGTTATACTGTAATAGTTGCTAGATAATCTCACACACTCCCCAATAAGGAACTGTCACCATAATTAAGGGCTAATTACTGTTGTTAGTTGCACAATGATAAAGTTCTTTTGAAAATATTGGTTAGCCCACTTATATGTGAAAAATGCCGTTTCCACTTATACACAAGAAAAAAATATTCAGAAAGCTACTTTTGGCCTTGCTATGTCAAAAAGTCAACTGTACAAAGATCTACATGTTAAACCTAAAATTATAATTTTAAAAGTCTATTAAAGACCAAAATGTCATGCATTTTTTACTATCAATTATGCAGAGGCTTTAAAACTGTTGCAAGACCATATAGTATATATTAGCTTTTATACTGCTAATGCACAACTAACAGCAAACTTGATTAGATTAACAGAAATCTGTCTTAATTACACCTTTCTATATCACACTAGAGACAAATGCCACAAGATCTGCAGAAACATTCCGTTCTGAGCACTCGAATGACAGGATAACTTTTTGAGTTGTAATCTTTCACATATAGAAAAACAAAAAAAAAAATCTTCAGTCTCACGTTACAAAAAAAGTACTGTACAATATTAAGAAGGGGTAAAGGATATCATCTATAACATAAACTAACAACTCGTGTCAAAAAGCAAACAAAATCTATAAATAAAAATATCAAAATACACAGAACAACTGAAGCACAAATCCTGCATTAAATACAGTAAAGATTTAATATGACAATGCACTGCTTAATGGAAGACACAAAAATAGGGTGGGGAAGCTAAGGCAACCAGAAAATAAAATCAAAATAATGGGAAAAAATTGGAACCACTGTTTTCCCCCTAGTCGGAGCATATTTTTTTTTTTTGGTGTCTTTCCATTCAAATAATACATAACACTGTACATTTTTTAATGTCATAGAAAAACTTGGTTCTTCCATGAAATCCTTTAAATTCTTGATAAATGTTTCAATGTAGACATTATTATGAATGAAAAACAGCCAACAAATGGGCACTTTTTGTTTTTTTAACACTGAAGATTTGCAGACACCTTTTAAAAGTTATCATAATCTTTTTTTGTCTTTTTTTCTCCTCAGCTTCAAATCCATCAACTCCATCACTATCCCTTCTTCATTTCCTGTTGTCATGGATGTTAAAATGTTGGCTCATTTGTGGTAATGGATCCATGCCTATAACTTTGTATATCTGGTGGAATGCAAGGAGTCTGAATGCAAACTGTGTACTGGATGTGAAGTCTTCACACTGCTGGTCAGTCATTGTTGCCAAGGTATCAAAGGGATCCTTTTCACAAAGATCCAGAAGCCCAGGACTACCTTTAAAAATAATCCCTGAAGAAATGCACTCAAAAACTCTTCTCAGTGCATCCCCAGGGCCCTGAGGGCTAGAAGCACTGCTGATTGCTTTCTCTACTAATAACTCCATAGTTGCAGAAACTTTATCAACTATTTCATCATCTTAAAGTGCCTAGCCATTATGTGCAAGGCATTGTAACCAAAATAAAATGAACATGGGCTCTGTCTTCCAAGAAATTGCAGAAATGTAGAGGTAACGAATAAGTCAAGAATGAGGTAGAAAATAGAAAATTTCTTAAGCCAAATGTAAATACACTAACAGCTCAGAGAAAAATTTTTTCAAGGAAATTCACAGAGAGGATAAACAGGTGGCTTCAGTCTTAAGGGTTAGAGAGGATACAGAAATGAATCATCAAAATCCACTCAATTTGCAAACTTGGATTTATGAATTTATGTGTACTAATTAGACTAACTCTTTGAGGCCCAGGAGTTTTTGAAGATAAAGATCATTATTTAGTAATAAAAAGTGACTTCCACTGTGGAGAGATTCCACTGAGTTAGGTACTATGCTCAGAATAATCTTCTGGAACGCTGTCCTTCTGAGATGGAGAATGAAATGAATTTCTGACATGCGCACGTAAGAGCGTATCAGTTTATCATCATCAAAACTCACCTCTGGTGACATGATAGTACTTGTCTCCAAAACAGCAAGCTGTTTCTCTCCTCTGTGCTTGTGCTCAGGCTGTTCCTTCTGCCAAGAATGTCCTTCCCCTACTTTTCTTTTTTCCTTCAACATTTATTTTAAGTTCTGGGGTACCTGTGCAGGATATACAGGTTTGTTACATGGGTAAACCTGTGCCATGGTGGTTTGCTGCACAGATCATTCCATCACCTAAGTATTAAGCCCAGCATCCATTACCTATTCTTTCCAATGGTCTCCCCCACAACCCATTCCAACAGGCCCCAGTGTGTGTTGTTCCCCTCCCTGTGTCCATGTGTTCTCATTTTTCAGCTTCCACGCATAAGTAATAATATGCGTGTTTGGTTTTCTGTTCCTGCATTAGTTTGCTGAGGACAATAACTTCCAGCTCCATCCATGTCCCTGCACAGGACATAACCTCATTCCTTTTTATGGCTGCATAGTATTCCATGGTGTATGTGTACCACATTTTCTTTATCCAGTCTGTCACTGATGGGCATTTGTGCTGATTCCATGTCTTTGATATTGTGAATAGGGCTGCAATGAACATACACATGTATGTGTCTTTATAATAAAATAATTTATATTCCTTTGGGTGTATACCCAGTAATGGGATTGCTGGGTCAAATGGTATCTCTGCCTCTAGGTCTTTGAGGAATCATCACACTGTTTTCCACAATGGTTGAACTAATTTACACTTCTACCAACAGTGTAAAAGCATTCCTTTTTCTCTGCAACCTCAGCAGTATCTGTTGTTTCTGGACTTTTCAATAATCACCATTCCGACTGGTGTGAGGTGGTATCTCATTGTGGTTTGGATTTGCATTTCTA
The DNA here is from genome assembly GCF_000001405.40 of Homo sapiens. NCBI lineage: Eukaryota > Metazoa > Chordata > Mammalia > Primates > Hominidae > Homo > Homo sapiens. The sequence continues at coordinate 89,137,660 of NC_000010.11, read as the reverse complement.
TAATGATCAGTGAGGTTGGGCTTTTTTTTCATATGTTTGTTGGCCTCATGAATGTCTTCTTTTGAGAAGTGTCTGTTCATGTCCTTTGCCTACTTTTTAATGGCCTTCCCCTACTTCTTAACCTGGGCAACTCAACTTAGTGGCTACCTGTCAACACACGTGACTTCATAGAGAGAATTGTGCCCCTCTTGTCAGTGCTCCTGTAACACTATGGGATGATGTCTGCCCTCAGACTAACCTTATGGTACTAAAGATGGAGTAATCATTGCCTGACTTCTTACTGTATCATGAGCTCCTGACCTTTGCTACCCCTTCTGCGTTGCTTGGCACTTATCAGGCACCACAATCTGACACTATCTGTCTTTTACTGGGCAAATGTATATTCTGTGATTAATGGACATATTTGGATTTATTTCTATAGTTTTGTTCTATTTAAACTGTTTTTCTATTCCTTATTTAAAAAATCTTCCTGAGTTAAAAATCTTCCTGATTAAAAAATTATTTTTTCTTCTCATTGTGGCTTGAAGCTGTACATTTTATTTCTACTGTAGTCTATTTTGGTGGCTAAACTTAACATTTAAAAAATGTATGCTTCACTTTAGAAAGTCAAGTAAATGAACATCTTTACTCTTCCTAAACAGTTCAATGCCTTTAGTATCTTAATGCAATGATGCTTTAGATCTCGTCACTCTAATTTTGCATATCATTGCCTAATATTGCAGTTCATTTTATTATCATTGTATGTTTATTTTAAAATGAAATTTACTTTTGCCAAAGAGCAACAGACTATATATGAATGGGTTTAATTTCTATTTTGTTCCGTTCATCTATTGATATATAATATATCCACAATAAAGCTTATCAATTTTAAGTATACAAGTTTACAAATGTATGCAATCATTTAATCACTGCCACAGACATAGCATAGAATATATCTTTACCTGGCACAGTTTCTTTATGCTCATTGCAGTCAATACCAATTCATCATGGTCCCAGGCAACCACTGATCTGCTTCCTACCACTATTGATGAGATTTGTCTTTTCCAGAGCTTCACAAAAATTAAATAACATTATGTATTGTTTTATGTCTAACTCCGTTCACATAGTTTAATGTTGTTGAGAGCCATCCATGTTGTGTGTATCAATTTTTTTTATTACCAAGAATTCCATGATATGGAAATACCAATATCACAACTATTTTTATTCATTAATCAATTGATAAACATTTCTGTTATTTCCAGTTTGGGGATATTATGAATAAAGCTGCTATGCATTTATAAACAATTTTTTGAGTGGGCATAAGTATTTCTCTTGGATAATTACCTAGGAGTTGAATTGCTGAGTTTTATGGTAAGTGTATGTTTCTTTAAAAAACATTATCACTATAATTCTAATCAGTTCACATATTAATATTAAATATGCTTCAAAAAACAAATATTTTCAAAGCTGTGTTATATACTATGACATCAAGAGTGTGGAGGTAAGTCAGGTAAATGTGTGCTTATTTTTAGAAGAAACTTCTAAACTGTTTTTAAAAGTTGGTTGTACCATTTTGCGTATCCATCTGCAGAATATGAGAGTTCCAGTTGCTCTACATCCTCATTAATCCTTGGAATTACCAGTCTTTTTGATTTTAGCTGTTCTGTGGCTGTATGGTGGTACATTGCCCTTTTAAAATTAAATTTCCTCAAGACTAGTCATGTGGAGAATCTTTTTGTGTCCTATGGCCATTCATATACCTTTTTTTTTTTTTTTTTTTGAGACAGAGTATCACTTTGTCGCCCAGGCTGGAATGCAGTGGCATGATCTCAGCTCACTGTAACTTCTGCCTCCCAGGTTCAAGCAGTTCTCATGCCTCAGCCTCCCGAGTAGCTGGGATTACAGGCAGAAGCCATCACACCCAGCTAATTTTTTGTATTTTAGTAGAGACGGGGTTTCACCATGTTGGCCAGGCTGGTTTCGAACTCGTCACCTCACGTGATCCCCCTCCTCGGCCTCCCAACGTGCTGGGATTACAGGCATAAGCCACCACGCCCGGCCTCATATACTTTCTTTTATGAAGTGTCTATTCTATTTTTTTGTATATTTAAAAATTTGGTTTTCTTCTTATTCTTGAGTTGTAAAGATTATTTGAGTATTCTTATTATGAATATTTTCTACCTGTCTTTGTAACTTGCCTTTTTGTTTTCTTAATGGTGTCTTTCATGAAGAAGTTTTATATTTTGATGAAGTCAATTTTATCAGTGTTTTATTTTATGGTTCATAGTGATCGGGTCCTGTGTAAGAAATTCTAAGCCAACTTTGCAAAGATTTTCTACAGTTTTTATTCTAGAAGCTTTATAATTTTAAATTCTAAGTGTATATTTTGGATTTCTATTGAGTTAATTATTGTGCATGGTGTGAGGTAAGGGTTGAGGTTTGTTGTTTTCTATATAGAGATTTAAGGTTTTCAGCACCATTTGTTAAAAAGACAGTCCTTTCTCCATTTCCCCATTTCCCAACTGGTCTAAAGTTAAATGACTGTACATATGTGTGCATCTATTTCTGGACTTCCCTTCTGCTCCATTGACCTATTTGCTTATTCTGACATCAACACCACACTCTATTTCTGTAATTGTATAGTTAATTTTTAATCAGGTATATACATCTTGCTACTTTGTCCTACTTTTTCTAAACAGTTTAGGCTCCTCTGGGCCTTTTTAAATGCCATATAAATTTTAGAATCAGCTTGTCAGTTTCTACAAAAAAAAAAAACCCTGCTAGAATTTTGATTTAATTTTGATTGAGATAGTGATCCAATTTTACCTTTTAAAAGTATAGATAACAATTTTCCCAGCACACTTAAAAAAACTATCCTCCCTGATTTTCACAGCCACGTATATTATACATCAATGGTACATATACATATGCATTCGTTTTCTAGGCAATCTATTGTTTCATTCACACTTTTATGGTTTTCTTCCACTAATAATACATGGTTTTAATAATTACAATTTTATAATAATTCTAACTATCCAGTAAGGGCCATTGCCCCTCCTTGTTCTTTGATTTTTAGAAATGTTTTGAGCATTTGTAGCATTTTTACTTTTCACATTACATTATCAGTTTCTAAAAAATACATGCCCCCAAAACAAAAAAACAAAAACCTGTTTGTATTCTGATTGGAATCACTTTGAATTCTTAGATGAATTTGCGGAAGAATGAATATCTTTATAGTATTACATCTTCTAACACATTGAACCTGTTTTTTCTCTTAATTTATATAGGTCTTTAAAACCACTTTTGAATAATGTTTTAATTTTCCCCCATAGATATCTTACACGTTTTTTGTTAGCTGTACTATTAGGTACTTTACATTTATGGAAGTTATTGTAAATGACAGTCTTTTTTCTTAAAATTATAGTTTCTGTGTGTTGTATAGAAATGCAAACAATTTATTATTCTGATTTTACAATTAGCTAAACTCTTATAAATTCCTTTTTTCCCCCTCTTTTTAAATTTTCCCAGCCACTTAATCAGTCCAACTCCGATAAATTCAAATCATTTTAAAGATTCCTTGGGTTTCTAAGATTACAAATTTATCATCGAATTAAAGAGATTTTATTTTGTCCTTTCTAATCTTTAGCCTTTTCTTTTCTTACTGCATTGGCTAGGACTTCTAATATAATGTTGAAAAGAAAAGATGGTGATAGAAAGTACCCCGGTCTCATGCTGATCTAAAAGGAAAAGCTTTCAGCACTTTACTATTAAATATGTTTACTTTACCTATCCTTAGTAATGGACCTACCTAAGTCTATTTGGTCAGGTACAAGGTTTAGGACAGGTTATATAAGCTGTTTTGAATCGCTTATAAATATATATTTGCTTAATAAATTTCTGTAATTGTGATAAAAATTGGTTTTAGATTTACTTTAATTATGTGTGAGAATGTTGACTTTTATCAGAAGGTTCTCTGCATTAAGTTGATCAAATAATTTTTCTCCTTTAATTTATTAATGTAGCAAATTACACTAATTGATATTTTAATATTAATCCAACTTTACCTTCCTGGGATAAATAGAACTTGGTCATCACATATTAATTGTTATTGCATTATAATCAGTTATACATTATACATTACTATATTTAGTTATATAATATTTCATTTAGAATTTTTGTGTCTATCTCTATAAGTAGGATTGACCTGTAATTCTTGACCTGTCACCCAGGCTGGAGTGCAGTGGTGTGATCGTAGCTCACTGTTTTGAAATGTCAAAAGCTGGCTCCCCAAACATTACCAACACAACCTGTTGATGAGACAAAGATGACAGTTTGATGAGACAAATGCTCACAGCAGTAAGAGAATACTAACTCTGCAGAGCTTTAGCAATGTCTCTGAAGAGCGGAGGTAAGGGCAAATTTATTGAATTGGAAGTTTGATTTAAGGGAGGGGGGAGGGATAGCATTAGGAGACATATCTAATGTAAATGACGAGTTAATGGGTGCAGCACACCAACATGGCACATGTATACATATGTAACAAACCTGCACATTGTGCACATGTACCCTAGAACTTAAAGTATAATAAAAAATATTTAGAGAGAGAAAAAAAAGAAGGCTCTTTCAAAGGTGGTGGAGGCTGGCTAATTAGGATTGGGTAAACATCAAGATGTAACTGTTCAGCATAGGGGAAAATACTGGGAAGGATTAAACAACTGTAGAGTGCAAACTGTTTGTTGATGTTTACCATCGAAGATTTATTGGGTCTTTTAGGAACTTTCTATAATGAAGAATCAGAAAACTATGTGTCTGAGCAAGATACTCCTAGAAGGCAAAAGTCATGCTAATGAGGACAAAAGGATACCACCAAGTCATGATAACATAGCCCATGAGGTGTGGTTTTGGTTCATAGTGTCCAGGCTGAATGTAAGATAGACAGTGTCTATTCTTTGGAGCTAGCTGTCAAGATTGTGCAAAATTGATAAAATGAGCTGTGAAGTTCTCCTTAATTTTCTACAGTATGACATATTTTGTGTAAAATTAGAATTATGTATTATTTCAGTATTCGTGAATACTTCCCTTTTAAAATTGTCTAGGACTGGTGTTTTCTTTGTAGGAAGATTAGTTAGCTTTGATTTAATTTTCATGTTTTCTGTTCTTTAATCTTTTTTAAAAATAGATATTATTATTATTATTATTTGAGATGGAGTCTCGCTCTGTTACCCAGGCTGGAGTGCAGTGGTGCAATCTTGGCTCACCGCAACCTCCACCTCCCGGGATAGATCTTATTTTTTAGAGTGGTTTTAGATTCACAGCAAAATTAGGGGAAAAGTCAGAAATCTCCCATATATCCTCTGGACCCAATCCCATCCACATCCTGGACTCAACAACACACACCAGAGTACTACATTTTTTACAATTGATGAATCTACATTGATGCATCATTATCACCCAAAGTCCATAGTTTACAGCTTGGGCAAATGCATAATGACATGTATCCAGCACAATGGTTTCACTGCCCTAAAAATCCCCGTGCTCTCTTATTCTGATAATCTGGTAGTTACTTTGCGGTGGTAATCACTGATCTTTTTTTTTTTTCTTTTTTGTCTTTTGTGACAGAGTCTCACTCTGTGGCTCATGCTGGATTGCACTGGTGCAATCTCAGCTCACTGCAGCCTCTGCTTCCTGGGTTCAAGCAATTCTCCTGCCTCAGCCTCCAGAGTAGCTGGGATTACAGGCGTGCACCACCACACCCGGCTAATTTTTGTAATTTTAGTAGAGACAGGGTTTCGCCATGTTGGTTAGGCTGGTCTCGAACTCCTGACCTCAAGTGATCTGCCTGCCTCGGCCTCCCAAAGTGCTGGGATTACAGCCATGAGCCACCATGCCTGGCCATCGCTGATTTTTTTTTTACTGTCTCCATAGTTTTGCCTTCTCCAGGATGTCATATAGTTGGAATTATTTAGCCTTCTCAGATTGGCTTCTTTCACTTAGTAATATACATTTAAGGTTTCTTCATGTCTTTTCATGGCTTGATAGCACGTTTCTTTTTAGTGCTGAAAAATATTCCATTGTCTCGATTCATCACAGAATTTCTATCTCTTCACTTACTGTAGGACATCTTGGTTGTGTTCAAGTTTTGATGATTTTATAATTGCCAAATGAACCATTTAAAGCTGCTCTAAACATCTATGTGCAGGTTTTTGTATGGATATCAGTTTTCATCTTATTTGGGTAAATAGCAAAGAACACAATTGCTGGATCATATGGTAAGAGTATGTTTAGTTTTATAAGAAACTGCCAAACTGTCTTCTAATGTAGGTGTACCATTTTACATTTTCACCAGCAATAAATGAGAGCTCCTGTTAATTCATATCCTCGTCAGCATTTGATGTTGTCAGTGCTTTGAATTTTGGCCATTATAATAGATATGTAATGATATTAATATCTTAATATTGTTTCAATTTGTATTTATCTAATGACATGATGTTGAGCATCTTTTCATATGCTTATTTACCATTTACATATCATCTTTGGTGAGGTGTCTGTACAGATTTTTGTTTTTAATTTTTTTTTTTGAGATGGAGTTTTGCTCTTGTCTCCCAGGATAGAGTGCAATGGCTTGATCTTGGCTCACTGCAACCTCTGCCTCCCTGGGTCAAGCTATTCTCCTGCATCAGCCTCCCAAGTAGCTGGGATTGCAGGTGCCTGCCAGCATGCCCAGCTAATTTTTGTATTTTTTAGTAGAGACGAGGTTTCGCGATATTGGCCAGGCTGGTCTCGAACTCCTGACCTCAGGTGATCCACTTGCCTCGGCCTCCCAGAGTGCTGGGATTACAAGCGTGAGCCACTGAGCCTGGCCAAAAAATTTTTTTTTATTGTTGAATTTTAAGAGTTCTTCATATGTTTTGGATAACAATTCTTTATCAGATATATCTTTTCCATATATTCTCTCCTAGTCTGTTGCTTGTCTCAATCTCTTGACAGCGTGTTTTGCAGAGGAGTTTTAATTTTAATGAAGTCTAGCTTATCAGTTATTTCTTTCACAGATTGCACCTTTGGTGTCGTATCTGAAATATTATCACCATACTTCAGGTCATCTAGATTTTCTCCTATGCTATCTTTTAAGGAGTTTTATCATTTTGTGTTTTACATTTAGGTCTATGATCTATTTGGTGTTTATTTTTATGAAGAGTGTAAAATGTGGGTCTAGGTTTTTTTTTTCATGTAGATGTTCAATTGTTTCAGCACTATTCATCCTATTTCCTTTTAAGCTTAGCTGTGTATTTAAAAGAATACTTATTTGATTTTTCCCGTCATTTCCAGCTATTTTAAAGGGGGAGTTTTTCAGTATATCTATTTCATCATGGTGCTAGAAAAGAAAGTCCCCTAAAAATGTTTGTTGAAATGAATGCAGCACATGACTAGAAAAAATACTGGAAATTGAATCTGTTAGGAAAAAATAAAAGAGAAATTAGCAAATTCAGCAGTTTGCTAGTTTTATATATAATTTGATTTCCAAGATTTCATCAGTATGCGATCTGTTTTACATGAAACCACAGACACGCCATAGTGTTACTCAACCTTAGCCATGGGCATGATTTTCTTGGGTTAGGTCCAGGCCCAACATCTGTGGTGAGTTCAGATCCTATTTGTGGCTGGACCATGGCCGGTCGTAAGGGTGGTATGGGATCAGGAAGTGGTGGCAATCTGGCCCACAGAAAGATACCAGAAAGTAAAAAGACCTGCCATGTTGTTCTAAAGAGAATTATCACTGTTAAAAGTTAATTTTCAAAAAAAGGATAAATGATAGTGGATAAAAGGATCATCGCTCTTATAGGGATGAAAAATGAACTTAAATATTTAACTCATACAGTTATAACTATGGACATGTTCTAAGCAGTTAAAAGGAGAAGTCACAAAAGCACACTTTTATATTAAGTAAAGGAATGCTGAAATGAATGTGCATGAGGAGGCAACACTAATTTTTTCCTAGTTGGAGAGAGAAGCCCATTAAGCCTCTACTAGACAGGACAAAATTGCAAGTCTATGGACAATAATTTGTCAGTTATTCATCCTTTTCAGATTTATGAAGTAGTTTCTGCAGAATTACATTAAGATAACCTGGAACAGTGTGCTGTAGACAACATGTAGTTTTCTGTTGAAACACATGTTTTTTCTTATACTACTAATTAAAGACAAATCCATTGTTTTAGGAAAATTTGTTAATCCATGAAATTAGGGTAATTTATTAAAAAGTAAGCTCCTTCTAGCCCTGCAAATCTAGTTTTCTGAGGTATGACTGACCCACAAACCTGGATTACCTCTGCATTATAGTTATCCGCAAAGCTTTCAGAAGACAGATGCCTGAGGTGTAATTCCCAAAGAGTCTAATCTAAATGCTTTGGCTGTGGCCTGGGAATCTCTATTATTAAAAGCCTCTCTGGCGATTTGCTGTATAGTCAATATTGAGAATTATTGCCCTAAACAGATCCACACCTGCCTAACCCTTTTCTGATTATACCTGTCTTGTATTTGAAGCTAAAAAGAATGTTAGCAATGGAGTGTGGTAATCAGATAAATCAATCTTTGCTAAAAGGATAAAATAATCATTTTGCCTTAAGGGAAGGCAAAGGGAACCTATTCTTTTAGATGATCTTTATGGAATAATTCTAATTATTGGAATTTTCAAGTATCTGACTGCCTGAACAAACCCAAACAAAACTACTCATCATTATTTTTTCTAGCATTATTGAATGTTCTTTTTAAGCCAAGCTTCTTGCATCTCATCTACAACTTCTATAATCCATTGATTATCAAAATTTATGCCCTATTTGGCCTCCTAAATTTCCTGTTTGTCATGATTATAACTCAACTCTGCATCAAGCCTAGAAGTTTATTCCTGATCTTCCAGCCAACATCTTTGTGACTAGTCAAACTCAACCTCCCTGTGTTTCTGTTTTTTCCTCAAATAATTTAAATTATTTCCACCTTCTCACTCTCACAGTATTATTTGGTAAGACTTATCAATTGTGACAAGACATAAAACTGGTAGTAAGACACCTAACCTTTTCAGAAACTCTCTAACTTACTTTCATGCCTCCAGGCAATAACATTTTTATAGGACATTGACTATGCATCCACAAATATTTTAGGAATTGGTTTACAAAGGTAATAGGATATAATTTTTCATGCCAAATTGTTCACAGATGGAGCAATAGCCAGAGAAACAATGGCAACCCAACGTGGTACTGCCAGCCTAGGGTTGTGCTCCCCACATGATCGAGCTAAGGGGACTGAGTTTCCTTGGGAGCATCACTGAAGTCTTCTCAGGGAAGCCTGTTCTCAGATGCTTAGGGCTCTGAGCTGATCATACTGGTCACACACACTCATTTGAAGACATATTTGAGCACTGAAGCCGAGCAGCAGTGAGCATAATTTTCTTTTCTCTACTAACTGTATATGGTGAGAATTTTTCTTCAACCACTGTGTTTCCTTCATCAAAACAACATTTTGATTCCGAGCTATTATATAATCTTTTAATCTTCAATGCTTTAAACAAACTAGAAATATCTTTCTTGGCAGGGATAACGGCTTGTTAAAGCAGAGGGAGAGGGCAAGTGATCAAACACTATCTCTCCCCTTTAAAGCCATCCTGTCTCAGAATGTTGTCTCTTATTTTTAAACCCACTCTGGAGTGCAGTTTAATCAAGTCAGTTGTGCTTCCACAAAATAAAAGATGACTGGATTACGTATGTCAGACTAAATAGTAATAAAACTTGTTTAGATGAGACTTTTGTTTAAAGACTTTAGCCATTTCATAAACAATCTTTAACTCTCTTTAAAATTTAATTTAATTCTCCATAGAGTGTCTGTGTCCCCACGGAGTTGGTTTCAGAAAATGTGTCTTTTATACACTAATTTGAGATTAGGGTTCCATGCAGTGTCATTTGACCAGAAGACTCAGATATAACTATATACTACCTCTTAAGTAACAAAGATTGAATCACAACTGAGGACCAAGGATAGGAAAAGACAAAATACCGTTTAATTTAATCTCATCTAGGGTCCAAAACCATAATCCATACAGCCCTGGTAACCTAGACTTGAGAAAGTGGTTTGGCTAGTGTGCTAAACAACCTCTTTATTGTTCCTAAACCCAAATACCAGTCTAACACCCCAAATTATATTTGTCTTCCATGCTGACAAACAGAGGCCACTGTCCTTCAGGAGAAACCTTAGCCAGCTAACTCACTACTGGGGTGGCATAGGGTGATGGCTTAGGGTGTTCTAACAGGCATTTTCACTGATGTCATCCTACAGAGCAGTATAGAAAGGACTAATGTTTCTAAAAGTAAGCCATGAAAGGTGAAACATTTTTATTTATAGTTGCATGTATATTTTAATATATTTGGAAATATATGGGCAGATTATCAAACGTGTGATTTCACAAATGAGACTGACCACATTTAAATGAAAGAAGTGAATCAATTAAAAAATATTCAGCAAATATTAATACAAATGGGAGGTGGTGTGGAAGCTCCACAGCCATCATTGTGGGTTCAAGTTGTGATGTGACACTGTCTGGTTTCAAATTCTAGCTTCAGTGTTTACTAAGTGTATTGCTTTGAACAAACCACTTAGGTTTTCAAATCCTCAGTCTCCTCAGCTATAAAATGGAGAAAATACCACCTACTTTGTAAGTTGTTATGAGGATTAAATGAACATATAAAGTACTTTGCACAGTTCCTGTCAAATCGTAAAGGCTTAGTATACATAAGACAGTGCCATCATGATCATTAATATAATCACTTTCAAAAATACATCTTTACTGAGCTAATAAAGGCTAAACTTTGTCTTAGACTTGGAGACCAAAGAAATAAGTAAGACATGATCCCTATTTTCAAGATGCTCTAAGTCTTGAGATAAATAAAAAGATGTATATAAACCATTGGAAATTACTATGTGAATAATAGTACCAGTGTCTGCTGATAAATGCTTACCAACCAGCAATCTGGGGGCAGGAGGAATACATATATACATACATACAAGTATTATAAATTTTACTAATAATGTTTTTATTGTTTTTTTGCTGAACTCTTGTATCCATCATCAACTTCTGGTTACAACTGAAAAAAGAAGGTAGCTTTGCTATGAATGGTTATTGATATCTTTGTGTACATTAATGAATAAGATGAAAGTGAAAAAATAATGACATATGTTAGAACCTCACTCATTCACCAATTCTGTGTGTGGCTTTGTTGCTGAATTGGTTTTAGAATAATAGAGGAATATTTCCTAATTGTTGGTACTATTCACAATGTAAAAGCTATGATCCACTTTTAAGTTTAATCTGCATAGTTAATGTATCTCCATTGCTTTCTTAGGTATAGACCAAGTAAGGTCAAATTACAACCAAAACTACCCCATCATCCCAATCCACCTTGATTGTATAAAAAAGTTTTATTAGAACACAAGCATACCCATTTGTTTTTATATTGTCTCTGTTTTTAGTTGTAGCTACTTCCAAGCTACAACTACACAGTTGAGTAGTTGCAATAGAGATTGCCTATAAAGTCTAAAATATTTATTACCTGGATCTTTATAAAAAAATTTACTAATCCATGGTATAGACAATCAACAAAATGATAAATCACACTCCGTTCTGTAGTGCTTGCCAATTTACATATTGTAAATACTCCAAGGCCAATTTCAAGCTACCGACATGACATCACTGAACATGGAGTTGGGAAGAGATGCACAGTAGATCATGGTTATATATTTGCACCATATAGTTATGATCAGCATAAATAATCACAGGGACATAGATAATAGTAAAATATAGTAAAATAATCACAAAGTAATGAGTTTTAAAATATAATTAATTTTAAGCTTATACAATTTGCTTTTGTAGACTGGTTAGGTTTAACAACTGGTTTGCAAAATTCCTGATGATTTATAATCGGCTCTCAGGATCCGATATGCAGTGGCTCCAGCACACCATTGTAAATAGCACCCTTGTGCATGGGGAACTACTGGTGCAGAGGGGAGGGTTGCCTACTTTGTGGGTTTGTGTTACATTTGTCTGGCTAGTCATTAGAAAAGACTTCAAAGGGGGAAAATGGAGGAAAGTAAGAAGGAAAGAATGGAGAATCCTTAAAGAATGAGTAGGAGTTAGACTGAATAAATGTTCATTTCTATGAACATTTATTGAGAACCTATAGGCATTGGCTTAGAGCTAGAGATACAAAGATGAGTAAGACACAAGCTTTGTTCTTAGAGTTCACAACTAATGGAAGAGGTATTCATTCGTTCATTCACTGATTTGATTAATCAATTAATAATTTATTGCTGCCCTACTTTGAGCTTCATGCCATGGATTTAATAGTAAAAAAGATATCGCACAAAAATACTTATGATGCAAAGTATTAAATGCTACAATAGAAATGCGTTTTCAAAATGTTATAAGAACATAGAGAAGGAAGGGATTAATTGTCTGGAAGGATTAAGAGCTTTTGTACAACCCTTTAGGTTACATTCCATATTTGCCTATCACTTTCTCCTTCCAAACTAATTGTCTCATTGTCTTTGAAAAGGCTATGGGCTTCCCATCTTTCTTGCCTTTTACTCTTCTGTGATCTGGTTGCTCTTACCCCATCTGCCTTCCAAATTTGAACCACTCCTTAAGACTCAGTTAAAATCTGACCTTCTTTTTTTTTTTTTTTTGAGACGGAGTCTCACTCTGTCGCCCAGCCTGGAGTGCAGTGGTGAGATCTCAGCTCACTGCAAGCTCCGCCTCCCGGGTTCACGCCATTCTCCTGCCTCATCCTCCCTAGTAGCTGGGGCTACAGGCGCCTGCCACCACGCCCAGCTAATTTTTTTGTATTTGTAGTAGAGATGGGGTTTCACCATCTTAGCCAGGATGGCCTCGCTCTCATCCGTCTCGGCCTCCCAAAGTGCTGGGATTACAGGTGTGAGCCACCGTGCCCGGCCAAAATCTGACCTTCTTCCTGAAACTTTCACTGACCTTCCCCAGGCCACAGCTCTATGTGCCCCCTCTGAGCTCCAGCAGCATTTGCCGACAATAAAGGTCTCTTAAGTATTTTTTTAATCATCAACTGTGTGTATCAGTGTTAAGATGGGGTGAACATACCATAAACACCACTGACATCTGAGTCAATAGATATCAGAATTCCAGGGCCCTGTTACATATGAGTGACAGAAAAAAAAAAGATTTGTAAATTTTTGCAATGTTATGAACTCTCTCCATGTTAGTGAATATAAGCATTTGGCAGAATATGAACCAAAAACGTGAGGATTTACAAAAGAGTCTGAGGCCAGGAGAAATCTGTATGGTATGGTAGGAATAAGATGGGTTTTAGCTACGAGGGGAACTGCTTAAATTCCTGTCCTTTCTTTTCTTAGCTGTATGTCCTAGGATGAGTTATTTAACTTTTTGGAGGCTTTTTTCCTTTACCTGGAAGTGAGAGGTAATACAACTACCTCACATGACCATTGTGAGGATTACTAGAAACATGAGGAAATTGATTGACTGATGCTCATTTTTCTGTCCTTTGTGTCTGGCACTAATATGTAATATGTATCTGTTAAAAGAATGATTGAGTTAGCTCTCAGCTATTACTATGAAATAAGTTAGAAACATCATTACACCGGACACAGTGGCTCACGCCTGTAATCCCAGCACTTTGAGAGGCCAAGGTGGGAGGATCACCTGAGGCCAGGAGTTCGAGACCAGCCTGGCCAACATGGTGAAACCTCGCATCTACTAAAAATGCAAGAATTAGCCGGGCATGGTGGCATGTACCTGTAATCCCAGCTACACGGGAGGCTGAGGCAGGAGAATTGCTTGAACCTGGGAGGCAGAGGTTGCAGTGAGCTGAGATTGCGCCATTGCACTCCAGCCTGGGCAACAGAGAAATACTCCATCTCAAAAAAAAAAAAAAAAAAGAAAAGAAACGTCATTACTTCTCCTTGCAATGGAGTAGACACATGGACATTTCCTCCGTTCATGTGACCAAAATAACAACTTATATTTGTAACTGATGAAGGAAATAAAACTAATGTTAAAAGAAGAAGTGAAATCTAGGACTCAGTGGATTTGTTAACATGATCTGGTTCCTTCCTACGGTCACTCATTTTAGATATGACTGTACCATTTCCTAAAGTCTCAGAGTACTGTAATTTTCCATCTGCTGGGGGTTCTGTCCTTTCCAAGTTGTCTGTGCTTGCAGAATTCTCAAGTTGTAGGCCAGTCTGAATTCCCTGTGGTGAGGAATGGAGAGAAAGGTGTATTTTTTAGGCACACAGTACTCTCTTCTATGTAGGTGGTTTCTGGAATTTTTATGTGCATTGGAAACACAGGGGGACGAAAGCAGTCATTATAAAGATTAAGACCTGTTATACATTCCACTTTAGTATCTTTGCATCAGTGACAACTTTAAAGAGCTGACATCTATTTACTGATTCAGGGCTAGGATTAGGTCACTAGATCATATGCGGCAGGCAGAATAATGGTCCCCCAAAAGCGTCCACATCCTAATCCCCAGAACCTATGAATAGGTTACCTTTCATGGCAGTCGTGATTAAGTTAAGGATCTTAACATAGGGAGAGTATCCTAGATTATATAGGTGGGCCTAGTATAATCCCAAAGATCTTCAAAAGGTGGGAGAAGCAAGACAGTCAGAAGAGAAGTCAGGATGGAAGCAGAAGCTGGAGTGATGTCATTACTGGCTTTGAAGCTGGAGGAAGGGGCAACAAGGCAACAGATGTACGTAGCCTCCAGAAACTGGAAAGGGAAGTAAACAGATTACTTCATAGAGCCTGCAGAAAGAGTACAGTCCTGCCTGTACATTGGCTTTAGGCCGGTGAGACTCATTTTAGATTTCTAACATCCAGAACTGTACAATAATAAATTTGTGTTGCTTTTAAGCCACTAAATTTGTGATGATTTGTTATACAGCCACTGGAAACTAATACACCATAGCTTCCTCCTAGCCGGTAAATTACAATGACTCATTGTTGCCCGGCCTAACAAGGCCCACCCCTCTGCTTTATTGTTCAGGGCCTTCATCATCTGAACCTCTGCTGAGGCTGAGCACTGTCTAAGGCTGAGCACTTTTCATTTCTTCTAGACACATTGGTGCTGTTACTGTTCCTCTAAAACTCCCAGAACATAGCACATACATATATATACACACTCTATTCCAGAACAACTGATTTCCACCTCTTCACATGTCCAAATTCTACCAGTTCTTCCAGCCTCATATCTGTTCCAAAAGTCTTCTCCATTTCATCCTAATTGATCTCTCTTATTATTTAACATTTATGACCCCTTCTATGGAGTTTGATACTTGATAACAGAGTGTATGTGAGAGGGATAGGACACATGTCTTATTTTTCCCCTTATTTTTCTTTCTTTGCTAAGAGCTAGATACATAATCAAACTCAAAAACCACTTGTTGTCTCAATCATTCTTCTGAATGTGGTGAGGTGCCAAGCTTTGGTCATGGGTTCCTTTGCTGAGCCCCAGATCCTATTAAAACTTCAGGTACCATCAGATCACAAAGTTAAATATTACAGTTTTTAAAGAATTTTGATTTTATTAAATACTTCTGAATGGCTGCCTGCTCTGCAAGTTTCTGGCTGGTGATAGACCCCATACCCAACATGGCCATGAAATTGCTTGATTGCATGGGAAGTCCAGAATTATGCACCAATTCTGAACAGTCTGCATCAAAAATATTTGTTCTGTTTTCTGTCTAAATTGATTACATCACCCTTCCTAACTTCTTAAAATTCACTAAATTCACTAATCCTAGTCTGGTTTAGCATTGACTTGCAAAATAGCAATAACTGGCTTTGTCTTTGTAAGTAGCACTTTCATCATTTGTAATGATATTGTCTATATCCTTGCCCATCTACTTCTCTCTCTCATTCTCTCTTGCGCACTCATGAAAGTAAAGTGTCATGTTTTGTGTCCTTTGGTTATATGTCACCAGTACTTTCTTTGAACTACAATGTATGCAGGTGTGAGGCATGAACCTAATATTTTACTGCTGATAGATGAATCTTCATATAAGTGCTATTTTTCAACAAAGCAAAACAAAATGTAGTGGAGGCAACAACAACACTGTCTCCCTGCTGACTACCCCCAAATTATTACAGGAACCACTTCCCCCATGTGACTTACTGAGCCTTTTTGCTCAACTTCGGCTATTGCCATTGGGATCCTGCTGCATCTTAAAAGGGAAGTGACTACTCTTTATGATGGACAAGATTCTCCTTCTCTAGCCTGATTAGATTCCCCATCCAGCATGTATTCTTATATACATAAGAAGCCAGATTTTTCCTCATAAATACTTAAATAAATATATAAAACTATAGTGAAGATTCCACTTTGTGCTGAGACTCAAGTGGCTTTTGCTGATTTCTGCATCAAAGCCCCAAGAGAACGCAAGCTGACCTAGAACCAAAGTCTTTCAAAAGTTGAGGACACAAGAATGCAGCATTCCTAAGGAAGATATTTCTAAAGACTGGGGAAATTCCAGTATTTAAACATTGTAGCACAGTTAATTATCCGTGTTGGAATGTGGAAGAAACCCACGAAATAGCCCTCCTGTTTTCTGACTGATTCTTACTCCAATCCATTCTCAGTATCACTGTGACAGTCATTTTTCTAAAATCCTTATCAGGTACAGCCAGTCCTTTGTTTTCAGTCTTCACTGAAGCCCATCCCCATACCTTGTTGAAGAATCTGGACCCTTCCTGCTTCTCCAGACTCAGGTCCTGTCACTCTCACCTCACCTGCCACAACCCAGCGATGTCCAGCTTCCTAGAGGTGCCCCAAAACACTGTGCTATTTCATGCCTCCATCCCATTGTTCACGGTTTGTCCTTCACAAGAAAGTCCCACTTCTGTGTCCATTTCACAAATGTCACTTCCTAGTCTTTGTTCAAAACCCAAATGTTCATCTCTGTATTATTTTTAATATGTAAAAACTGGGAATCTTATGGATTTCCACTACCATAGAATGAATAAATTGTTGTATATTCACACAATAGGATATTATATAACAATGAAATAGAGCAGAATGCAACTACACACAACAACATAGGTAACACTCACAAATAATTGAGCACAACAAGCCAGACACAAAAGAATACATGCTACTTAATTCACTTCATATCAAGTTCAACAATCATACAAAATTCATCTGTGGTATTAGAAGACAGGATAGTGGTGTCCCTTGAGGAGAATAATGGCTGGAGGAGGCAATATGGGGAACTCTGGGATGCTGGTAGTGTTTTCTTTTTTGATCTGGGTGCTAATTATATATGTGTGCTCACTTTCTGAAAATTTATTGAGATGTATTATGATTTTTTAACCTTTATGAATTATGTTTTAACAAAAAGTTGAAAGAAAACCCAAAGCCAACTCAAGCACTATTTTTGCAAGATAAAGGGAATTATTTACTTCTAGCTATCTCTGTATTGTGTGCATTTTTTCTTTGTAGTTGCTTTGGTCACACTGAATTGAAATGTACAGGGCTACATTTTTGTTGGATATTTTGCCTTTTTGTTGGATATTTTCTGTTTGCCCCTTTAGATTCCCTTTGCTTCCTTCTCTGGCACACTCTGTATTCCAGGAAAACTCTGTATTCCAGGAAACTTTCCTGGATTGAGTGTGTCAATAAGCTTACTTTTACTCCAGTTGGGTTCAACCAAGAGGAAGCACCAGCAAGAGCAGAGTGAAAGGAGAGTGAGGAGGGAGTGTTTACTTACCCCCTCCTTCTCTGCCAGCTGCTCCTAGTTGGCTCCCTCCCTCTATTAAAGGCCATGGCTCTTTTAGCTGGCCCTGTCAAAGGCTGCGGCTACCCTCTCTGAGCTCTCTCCCTTTGCTTCTTCAGGCCTAAGGATAGAAACACCCCCTTGCTGGTGTATTTTACCATTCCTTGTTTGTTTTCTTTAACCTTACTCACAGCTTTGTAAATAATTCCTTTATTAAACACTCCTTAGATATGCTGTTTGCCTGTGTATGTGTTTTCTTCTTGGACTTGCTGATATAGTACACTTTCCCAACTCTCTATCAGCAATCCAAAATCTGTGATACCCAGTTTTATTCATACTTTTATCATCCTAAACCACTAAGTAGTCCCTCTCAATAGTAGGCACCAAGAAATATTGCTTGAATCTTTTATATCCTTGTGAACAGCCTAAAATAATATAATTGTAGACAAAATACAAACAGCACAAAATGGCTAAATTTTGAACTTTGGTGATGGATACATAAGAGTTCATTTTACTATTCTCTCTACTTTTGGGAATATCCGAAATTTTCCATAATTAACAAACTTTTTAAAAGGGTCTTTAACCATTAATTGCTCCTTGCTTTGTCTTTCTTGAAGCTTTGATCTGGATTTTTTTTTTCTTTCCTCCTCATTCTACATTTTCTGCCTAGTGATTTCAATCATATCCACAGTTTCTACTGTCAGTTCTTACCTGGATTATTGCAAGTTTCCCAGCTTGTCTTCCTGTCTTGGATCTATATAATTATCTTTTCCAAAGCCAGAATAGTGTTTTCTAAGATGTATATCATACAATAAATTCATTCTTTTTTTTTTTTTTCAGAAATATTAACCAACCATTATACGCAAGCAAGCTACTGTCCCAAGCACTGAAAACAGATGGGTTCTCTGTCCTCAAGCAACTTAAAGTTAAACGGAAAAAGACAGAACATAAATAAATGTAGGTATAAATATATTTTCTTAAAAAGCATGTTTCTACTATCTATAGCTATGTAATAAGCTGTCTCAAGCCTAGAGCCTTAAAGCAACATTTACTTTACTCAAAAATCTGCAGTATGGATCTGGCTCACCAATGATAACTCATCTCTGGTCCTTTCATTGCCACCTGTGGCAGTTCCCAGACTGGGGGCTAGAATTATCTGAGATATCACAGACTTACATGTCTGACAGCTGATATTGGCTCAGTTGGGACTGTGTTCAGAACACCTAAATGTGGTCTTTCCATGTGGCTGTTTGGCTTCCTTAAAGAACAGTGGCAGGAAGAGGGGTTAGAGAACCAGGTGAAAGCAGGATGTCTTTTATGACCTGAACTGGAAGTCAGCAGCCTCATCCATGAAGCTTCCATTTATTAGAAACGAGTCACAAAGCCTGGCCCATACTCAAGGGGATTAATCTATGTTTCCCCAGGGCCTACCCCCCTTCCCAGTACCCAGTGCATAGTAGATTCTTAATAAGTGAATTATAGATAACTGAATTATAGCCCTTGTCCCATTGCATAAGTGTTTATATTTCTTTCACCTAAGAGCCCATTTGATTCAAGGATCAAAGTGATTAATCACTCAGGACTACACAAGTCGTAACACATGAAAGATGCTTAGTTATCTTTGAAGAATGCACAAAACCACACTTCACAACAGCACTTGGGTCATACATGACAGCTGTTACCCTCCAGCAGTAATAGGAAGGCACATAATTATCCACCAAATTATCTCAAACTCCTAACAGAAATTCTTGTGATTATTTTTCCCTATTGAATTTTAAGTACTTAGCAGAACACCACACTGAAGTCCAACATACATTTATTGAGCAACTCCAATGTGTAATGCCAATGAGGAAGATTTGAGTATGCTTTGATAGTTAACACCAAAGGGGGAAATTAGTGTGACTAATTAAAAACTTGACAATGCATAGTTCCATGGAAATACACTGGAATTCTCTAGTGAATTTTACAAATGGATACTGTTTTATGAAGTTACTTCATTTTTTTCATACTGTATGTATGCAATAGATTATTCCAAGAATGTATATATATTTTTATTTTCTAGCTTCAAAATAAGTGTTGAACTTCAGTCTGTGTATTTGATATCTTCTGTGATCAAGAATCTTACCAAAAAACTAATCAGCACCATAGTAGGAAAACGTGATCGTTAAAGCAACTGAAGATAAAACAGTTCTTGAGGAAAAAGTCTGACTTCATTTTTCTGTCATATCCTACTAGACTGAGAATCATAGAATTTGATTTAAAAGGTATAGTAGTTTTCTATGGCTTCTGTGACAGTTTTCCACAAACTTAGTGGCTTAAAACATCACAAGTGTATTATCTTACAGTTCTGTAGTCTGGCATGAATTTCACTGGGCTAAAATCAAGGCATTGGCAGGGCACCTGCATTCCTTTTGTAGGCTCTAGGACAAGATTCATTTTCTTGCTCCTTTGGGCTGTTGGCAGAATTCAATTCCTTGTGATTTTAGGACTGAGGTCTCCTTTTTTATTGCAGTTATCCATTGAGGGCCTTTCCTGGCTTCTAGAGGCCCCTACATTTCTTGGCTTATGGTTCCCTTCTTCCATCTTCAAAGTCAGAAACTGTGATTTGAAGTCCTTTTGTATTTGAATCTTTCCTCCTTTCATCTCACTTCTCTGGTACATTCTTCTTCCCTAGTAGGAATCACATGAATAGTCCAAGATAATCTCCCAATCTCAACGTTCTTCACTTTTACATTTGCAAGTCCCTTTGACTATGTGAAGTAACACATTCACGTCACAGTGTCTGGGGATTAGGATGTAGACATCTTTGGGGTTGGAAGTGGGGCATTATTCTATCATACCTTCCACAGAAAACCATATTTCCACTTGTTTTCTCTTTGTCTTCTCTCACCTGGCATCTTTTAATATACAAAAACCCTAAAGTTACTAGACATTTAGAGAAGTTCTTCTATCCACCCTTTTTAAAAGGAGTAGCAAGTAACTATGAAATCCTTAGTAATAGCAGAGATATGAAATCCTTAGTGATATCAGAGATAGTGACACTATGACCTGGATGAATAAGAACAAATATTTTAAAATAGTATGACTTTGAAATATAGGACATTCTGTTTCTCGGGGGCTACTTCTTTTTATTCACACTAACTTAATTTTTAAAAAGTTATTCAAAATAGCTTACTTGGAAATAAAGGGGACTTTCAATGCAGTGGTTTTAGAATCCAAGGCAGGAAGCACATTTGAACTACACAAAGAACCATCTGCAAAAGAAGGAAAGCCATCAGAAACTTTCCCCTGTCTCTTCACCACCTTCTCCTATACTGACTTCCCTATCTCCAAATGGTGTGTACTGACTTCTTTCTGTGCTTCTCCTTTTCTCTCATTACCCTTCCCTGCTTCTGTCTGATCTTGGTGCTTTTCTCTGCTTGCTCATGGTTACCCCAGTTCCCAACAGGGCTTCTTAGTTCAAGTTCCAGGAGTTGACTCCCTGGAGTCAATGAGTCATTTAAATTCTTGAAAAGACTCTTTGGCATTTCTTGAGTCAGATGTCATCACTATTTTAATGAACTGCGACTAGAGGACAGGACCCTATACAGTGCAAATGCCAAGGGCCATTGTCAGATTGGCAGCCAAACTTGTCTTCTCCCAGTGTCCAACCTTATTATTTTAATATGTATTTTGATTAGTTACCCTTCAATACTTTCTCTTCTCCAATATGGATAATTTGGTATAAAATGCTATATATTTTATTTAGTCACCATTTTCTTTATGTAGTATATATTAAAACGTTATGCCGGCCGGGCGCGGTGGCGCACATCTGTAATCCCAGCATTTTGGGAGGCTGAGCCAGGTGGATCACCTGAGGTCAGGAGTTCACCACCAGCCTGACTAACATGGTGAAACCCCATCTCTACTAAATACAAAAAAATTAGCCAGGCATGGTGGTGCATGCCTGTGATCCGAGCTACTTGGGAGACAGACAGGAGAATCGCTTGAACCTGGGAGGCAGAGGTTGCAGTGAGCTGAGATCATGCCATTACACTCCAGCCTGGGCAACAAGAGCAAAACTCCATCTCAAACAACAACAACAACAACAAACGTTATGCCTTGATGAGGTTCCTATGGCTTAAAAATACAACAACTTTAGAGATTAAAACACTCAACATTTTGAGACTAGTGAATCTCAGCTCTGTCATCAGGAGGAGAGAGAAAAATTTTATTGTCAATGTATGATCATATAGTAATATAGAGTTCATATTTTTAATCTGAAATTTCCATCCCCCAAATCCATTATAAGGTGATACATGCATAGCAGCTACTGGAATAGATAGTTTTGGTAGTTATTTCATTTAATTTGGCTCTTACCAGGTTTCCTGACATGAATTCTTTCTTTGGATGTCATCTTTGCCTTGATCCCAGGAATCTTCTGCTATTCCAAAATGCTATTCTTCTCAAACCAAAACTCTCTTCAAATTCTTTTAATACCTTTTCTGACTCATTTTCCTTTTCCTTTAACTGCAGATATTTGAGTCCCTTTGCCCTTCCTCCCCATTGTTCTCTATTCTAGACAAAAATATTTTTTTTTAACTTAGAGATTAGTAGATTCTTTTGGGAGTCATTAAAAATTATTTTTCTACAAGCTTGACATGATCTCTTATTCCCAAATCCAGAAAATCTCAAATTGTGTTATTACTATATATGTGTTTATATATATGTGTGTATATATATAAACACATATATATTTAATTATATATATAAACACACATATATTTAATTAACAATGTGCTTACTTGTCTGCTACTAAACAAACCAGTTTCCTTAGAGACAGGAGATAGGCTTTCTTCTGCCTCTCAGCCATAACACAGTTTCTGACACATAGAAGAAATAATTGAATGAATACATTTTATGAACATTAACGTACATTCAGTAGAGATCAATTTTTTTTTAGATTTGTAAAACATTAGTAAAGTAAACTAATAAAAAAGTGGTGAAATCTTTAATAGGGGTGTATTCAGGTACATTCAAGGCCTGGTAGTTACCAGAATGATTTGCTTGCATTATTTCTTAATGTCTGGATTTTCATTCTGACAGTTCCTCCCCAAATATTATCCATCCATTCAATGCTCAGCTCAGATGTTACCTTGATTCTTCTCTGATTATCTGAACTTCAGGTGATCTCTCCTTCTTTGAACTCCTATTGTTCTTTGTACAACTTTGGTGATAATTACCAACATGTCAATGAATTTAGCATACTTCTCTGGATTGCTGCCATCAGTGAATTCATTTTATTATAAACTTAAGATTACAAACTCCTTGTGTAGCATGCAGATCTATTTAATTTACTTTTGTTTACTGGGTCTCCCCAAACACAGTACTTTAATCTAGGTTAGTGATGACCAGATGTTTTCTGAAAAAATAACATCTAATTGTATTTGTTTACCCAACTAAACCTTAGGCAACTGCATCTATATTACTAGTTCTAGATAAAAAGCCATGTTGGATTTTAAAAGTACTGAATTTTACTACTGTACTTTGATTTTCTAAAGATGGTAGTGTATATTACACACGATTCTCATCTCTTGAAGTTTACTATATTTTCTCTGGTATGAATTTTGTCAGAGTCAACTGGAAATCCAGTGGCCGAAGTTTTACATTCCAACTTGGAAATTTAGACAATGTCTCTTTAATTTTTGGCAGTATAAATAAAAACTGAATTTCTTACATTGGCTATATGTTTTCCAACATGCATTACTGATTGAACTTTCTGATATTTATACAAATGTTGTGATGTACTACAGACTTGATGTACAGACTTACATTATGGTTTCTTTTCTTTGAAGCTTTTACCTAGCCATTCCAAGCTAAAATGATAGCTTGGAGGTGAAAGGCATAGTACACAAAGAGCACAATTCTGTTTGCTGATGACTTGATCTTACAGATAAAATCCTAAAAACTCCACAACAAAATGTGTTAGAACTCATAAACAAATTCAGTAAAGTTATAGAATACAAAATTGACTTACAAAAATAGCGTTTCTAAATATTAACAATCAACTACCTGAAAGAGAAATTAAGACAATCCCATTTATAATGGCAGCAAAAAACAACAACAACAACAACGACAACCAAAACACCAAAAACAACTCAGTAGTAAATTTAACCAAGGAAGTGAAAGAGCTATATACTGAAAACAATAAAACATTCATGAAAGAAATTGAAGATGACTCAAATAAGTGGAAATATATCCTTGTTCATGGACTGGAAAAATTAATATTGTTAAAATATCCATACTACCCACAGAAATCTTTAGATTCAATGCAACCTCTATTAAAATTCCAATGCTGGATGGGCGTGGTAGCTCATTCTTGTAATCCCAGCACTTTGGGAGGCCAAAGTAGGAGGATTGCTTGATACCAGAAGATCAAGACCAACCTGGGCAACACAGTGAGACCCTGTCTCTACAACAATAACAACAACACAATCCCAATGGCATTTTCAAAGACATAGAAAAAACAATCCTAAAATTTGTATGGAACCACAAAACATCCTGAATAGCCATAGTAATCTTTACCAAAAAGAATGAAGCTGTAGGCATCACACTGCTGGACTTTAAAATGTACTGCAAAGCTATAGTCCTCAAAACAATATGACACTGGCATACAAACAGATACACTGACCAATGGAATAGGGTAGAGAACCCAGAAATAAACCCACATGTCTACAGTCAACTAATTCTTGACAAATGTGCCACTGGCATACAAACAGATACACTGAAAAATGGAATAGGGTAGAAAACCCAGAAATAAACCCACTTGCCTACAGTCAACTAATTCTTGACAAATGTGCCAAGAACACAGTGGGTACAGTCTCTTCAATAAACAGTGTTGAGAAAACTATATCCACATACAGAAGAAGGAAGATGAATTCCTATCTCACCCTTTGTACCAGAATCAACTCAAAGTGAATTAATGACTTAAATATAAGACCTGAAACTATAAAATAACTAGAAGAAAACATTTAGGAAAAGCCGCATGACATTGGTCTGGGCAGTGATTTCTTGGTTATGACTCCAAAGGCACAGACAATGGAAACAAAAATAGACAAATGAAATTCCCTCAAACTAAAAGCTTCTGCATAGCCAAGTAAATAATAAAGTCAAGAAACAGCTCACAGATTAGGAGAAAATATTTGTAAATCATCCATCAGATAAAGGGCTAATATTCAAAATATACAAGGAACTCAAACTACACAATAGCAAGAAAATAACCCTATAAAAATGGATATAACACATAAACAGACATTTCTCAAATGAGGACATAAAAATGGACAACAAATATATGAAAAAGTGTTCAACGTCTCTAATTATCAGAGAAGTGCAAATTAAGACCACAATGAGACATCACCTTATACCTAATGGATTGGCCACTATCAAAAAGATGAAAGATAACAAGTGCTGGTGAGGATGTGAAGAAAAGGGAACACTTGTATACTGTTGGTGGTATTGTAAATTAGCACAGTCATTTTGGAAAACAGCATGGAGATTTCTTGCAAAACTAAAAATAGAACTACCATATGTCCCAGCAATCCCACTATTGGTTCTATACCCAATGGAATTGAAATCAGTATGTCAAAGAGATATATGCACTTCCATCTTCATTGCAGCACTATATGCAACAGGGAAGATATGGAAACAACCCAAGAATCCATTAGTGGATGAATGAATTTTATAACATGATATATATATACACAATGGAATGCTGTTTGGCCTTTAAAAAAGAAGAAAGATGTGAGCGGATCATGAGGTCAGGAGTTCGAGACCAGCCTGGCCAACATGGTGAAACCCTGCCTCTACTAAAAATACAAAAATTAGCCACGTGGTGGCGCACACCTGTAATCCCAGCTACTCAGGAGGCTGGGGCAGGAGAATTGCTTGAACCCAGGAGGCAGAGGTTGCAGTAAGCTGAGATCACACCACTGTACTGCAGCCTGGGTGACACAGCAAGACTCTGTTTCAAAAAAAAAAAAAAAAAGAAGAAGAAGAAGAACTCCTGTCATTTTTGACATGTCTGAACATAGAGGACATTATGTTAAGTGAAAAAGTTGAACTCATAGAAGTAGAGAGTAGAATGGTGCTTGCCAAAGGCTGGGGGTGGGGGGTGAATGAAGAAAAGGGAGACATCAGTAGACAGGTACAAAATTTCAGTTAAATAGGAGGAATAAATTCTGGTGTTCTATTATATTGCACAGTGACTGTAAGTAATAATCATGTATATTTCAAAATAGCTAAAAGAGATTTTAAATAATCTCACTGCAAGCAAATGACAAATATTTAAGGTGATAGATGTGCTAATTAGCCTCATTTAATTATTCCACAATGTATACTTATATAAAAAACACATTGTACCATACAGCTATAGACAATTATAAAAAAAAGAGTACACATTCTGGAGCTAGACAGATTCGAGTTCAAATTCTTGGTCTACCCCTTACTAGCTGTGTGACCATGGGCAAATTACAAATGGCTAGATGCTTCAAACTTTCTGAGATCTAAAATGGATTTAAGCTAGTACTTAATTCACAGAGTTTTTATGGAAATTAAATGAAATAATTAAAGTAAAAATCGTAGGTAATGTATAAGTGCCCAATAATTGTTAGCTATTATCCTAGTCAATTTTAAGTAGAGCAGAGGGTTGAGAATGAAAGTTTATTGATTGTCCATCACATTCAATATGCACGTGCCAGCCTCTGCACCAGGCACATACATAGATGACCTCATTTGAACTTTCATTACCAGAGGAGAAAATATTTACTTCCTGTGGGTTTTCATAAAAGTTACCTCCTTCAGGAGTTTAAAAATACTATACAAATAAAATTACCTCTTATTAAACAGACAACATTGCTTTTCCATTAAAGTTTACCCATTGAAGTTTACATCCCTTTAATAACCTTGATTTCCTTTCTGCTTAAAAAATATTATTTTAAATTAAGGAATTAAATTTAAATTTGAATATGTTGGCATTGACACCAAAATAATTTCTTTCACATTCTACAACTGCAATACATGAAAAGAATTCTCTCTTAGGACATAGGCACATGACTTATGACCAGGTTGCTCTTTCGAATTTTTAGAGAAACTCTCAGATACATGATATAAACTCACATTTACAAAAAAATTTTTCTGAAAAATTTCAAAGTTTTACATCATGAACGTTTAAAGACTTTGTCCAGGACTGGCAGAAGACCGAATATACTAAGAGCAGGTTGATGGCAGGAAAAGGAACGAGCTGAAACAAATTATGCCTCTTTCTACAGGAAACAAAGGGCAGTTTGTTGTGAGACTGATAATTGTTTCAAGCAATCAGGTGTGGAGATGCAGAAGGGAAATAAGAATGGGATATCCTAATGCAGTAAACAATCCACCCTACCAGATTAACAAATACAAGTCATACAATAGACTATTTCAGTGATAACTATCCCACATTAATGTGTGTGGGTGTGTGTGTGTGCATGCACAAAGGCACGCAGGTCATAAAACAAAAAACTTCCAGGAAAACTTGAGGGACTACCATAACTTAAATCCAATGATTTTTCCATCAGTCTTACTCTTTTTGTTATTGTCAATTCAATGAAAGCAAACAAACAAAAAATGTTTTGCGGGCATGATTTTATGACAGGCATTAGACAAGATTGAGCATACAAAGTTTAATAAAACAAAGACATTACTCTATGAAAACTTGCAATTTAGTGGTATGAAGGCATCTCTATCCTCAAGTTTTAACTTTGAAACATTTAACCATAAGCACAAAATAATATACACCATTAAATTCTTCTTCCTGAAATATATTTATTTATTGCTCTTTCAGCAAATGTAGGAGAGTGATAGACGGTCTCAGTCTTTGTTTGAGAATGTCGATTGTTTTCCTTCATTCTGTTATAATAGTTTGGATGGTATGGAATTCTTAAGTCACATTTACTTTCCCTCCACAATCTGAAAATATTCATTACTTTCCTTACTTCTCTTGTTGCTTTTGAGAATCTGCTGTTGCCTGATGTTTGTTTCTTTGTAGGTAAATTATCTTTGTATGTGATTGCTTTAAAAAATTTCTCTTTGCATTTATTGTTCTACAGTATCACTTCAATATATACACAGAATTGACCCTTAAATAACACAGGGTTAAACTAAGTAGGTCCACTTATGAGGAAGTTTTCTTCTGCCTCTTCCACCTTTGAGACATCAACACCAACCCTTCCTCTTCCTCCTCCTCCTCAGCGCTACTCAACAATAACAAGGAGGATGAAGACCTTTATGATGATCCATTTCCACTTAATGAATAGCAAATATATTTTTCTTTCTTATAATTTTTTTATTATGCTTTAAGTTCTAGGGCACATGTGCACAACATGCAGGTTTGTTACATATGTATACATGTGCCATGTTGGTGTGCTGCACCCATTGACTCATCATTTACATTAGGTATATCTCCCAATGCTATCCCTCCCCACTCCCCCGACCCCATGACAGGCCCTGGTGTGTGATGTTTCCCTTCCTGTGTCCAAGTGTTCTCATTGTTCAGTTCCCACCTATGAGTGAGAACATGCAGTGTTTGGTTTTCTGTCCTTGCGATAGTTTGCTGAGAATGATGGTTTCCAGCTTCATCCATGTCCCTACAAAGGACATGAACTCATCATTTTTTATGGCTGCATAATATTCCATGGTGTATATGTGCCACATTTTCTTAATCCAGTCTATCATTAATGGACATTTGGGTTGGTTCTCAGTCTTTGCTATTGTGAATAGTGCCACAATAAACATATGTGTGCATGTATCTTTATAGCAGTATGATTTATAATCCTTTAGGTATATACCCAGTAATGGGATGGCTGGGTCAAATGGTATTTCTAGTTCTAGATCTTTGAGGAATCGCCACACTGTCTTCCACAGTGGTTGAACTAGATTACAGTCCCACCAACAGTGTAAAAGTGTTCCTATTTCTCCACATCCTCTCCAGCACCTGTTGTTTCCTGACTTTTTAATGATGGCCATTCTAACTGGTGTGAGATGGTAGCTCATTGTGGTTTTGGTTTGCATTTCTCTGATGGCCAGTGATGATGAGCATTTTTTCATGTGTCTGTTGGCTGCATAAATGTCTTCTTTTGAGAAGTGTCTGTTCATATCCTTTGCCCACTTTTTGATGGGGTTGTTTTTTTTTCTTGTAAATTTGTTTGAGTTCTTTGTAGATTCTGGATATTAGCCCTTTGTCACATGAGTGGATTGCAAAAATTTTCTCCCATTCTGTAGGTTGCCTGTTCACTCTGATGGTAGTTTCTTTTGCTGTGCAGAAGCTCTTTAGTTTAATTAAATTCCATTTGTCAATTTTGGCTTTTGTTGCCATTGCTTTTGGTGTTTTAGCCATGAAGTCCTTGCCCATGCCTGTGTCCTGAATGGTATTGCCTAGGTTTTCTTCTAGGGTTTTTTTGGCTTTAGGTCTAGCATTTAAGTCTTTAATCCATCTTGAATTAATTTTTGTATAAGATGTAAGGAAGGGATCCAGTTTCAGCTTTCTACATATGGCTAGCCAGTTTTCCCAGCACCATTTATTAAATAGAGAATCCTTTCCCCATTTCTTGTTTTTGTCAGGTTTGTAAAAGATAAGATGGTTGTAGATGTGTGGTATTATTTCTGAGGGCTCTGTTCTGTTCCATTAGTGTATATCCCTGTTTTGGTACCAGTACCATGCTGTTTTGGTTACTGTAGCCTTGTAGTATAGTTTGAAGTCAGGTAGCGTGATGCCTCCAGCTTTGTTCTTTTGGCTTAAGATTGTCTTGGCAATGCAGGCTCTTTTTTGGTTCCATATGAACTTTAGTTTTTTACAATTCTTCAAAGAAAGTCATTGGTCCATTTTCTTTTATCTAGTTTATTTTAGAATACAGTATATAATAATACATATAACATAAAATACATATTAGTTGACTGTTTATGTTATCAGTAACACCACAGTAGGCTATTAGTCATGTTTTCAGGAAGTCAAAAGTTATACATGGATTGTTGACTGCATAGAGATCGGCATCTCTAATCCCAGAGTTGTTCGAGGGTCAGCTGTAGTATGGATTTACTTACATTTATTCTTCTAAAAACTTCGTTAATCTGAGAAATTTTTTTTAATAATTCTAGAAAACTCTTAGCATTATCTCTTTGAATATGATCTATTCACTATTGTCCCCTTTTCTTCTTTTAGAAATTATATTAGACAAATAAAAGTAAAATGTTCAACGCTTTTACTTTAACTTGTACATTTTTTTTTATTTTTTTATTTTTTTGAGACAGAATCTTGCTCTGTCACCCAGTTTGGAGTGCAATGGTGCGATCTTGGTTCACTGCAACCTCCGCCTCCCCAGTTCAAGCAATTGTCCTGCCTCAGCCCCCCGAGTAGCTGGGATTACAGGTGCCCTCCACTACACCTGGCTAATTTTTGTATTTTTAGTAGAGACGGGGTTTCACCATGTTGGCCAGGCTGGTCTTGAACTCCTGACCTTAGGTGATCCGCCCGCCTCAGCCTCCCAAAGTGCTGGGATTACAGGCGTGAGCCACCGTGGCCGGCCTATATTTAAAAATTTTTAAAATATTCTCCATAGCTTTAATTTTCTCTTCTGATTAATTTTGTGGGAAGTTTTCCTTCCAGATAGCCAATTCTCTCTTTAACAGTGTTGAATCTTTGGACCAATAATGGAATAATATTTTCAAAGTTCTGGGAAAAAACAATTGTCAACTTATAATTCTATACCAGCCAAATAATTACACGAATGTGAAGACAAATTAGACATTTTTGGATAAAGATCAAGAGAATTTACCACTTTTATACACTTACTGTGGGGAGTATCCATTGAATTATTCACTTAAATTGTTATTTCTAGAAGTTTTACTTTATTATTTCCCAAATGGCCTGTATTTTTCTTGGAAATTTGATTTTTAAGTTTCTGCCTTGAATCATTTTAAACATGCTCATTTTTATTTTATTTTGAAAAACTCCATCATCTAAAATTTGTGGGGCTCTAATCACTATTTAATGTTCACTGACTCTGTCATGGTACATTTTTCTCCTGAATAATTTTAAAATGTTTTAAAATTCTGACCACATCTTTGTTATTATTTTTTTTTCCTACGAAACACTTGTGGGAATACACCTCCGGAATATTCTTCCATCTTCAATCAAATTTAATATTAATTTTCTTGCTTGGACACACATGGACTGTGTAATCAGTAAGGATATGCCAAACAGAGTCTATTTTCCAAATATATATTTTCAAGAACACAGACAAAAGTTACAAAAATTAGTCAAATTCTGGGCCACAAAAATAACTCATTACAAATTTCTCTGACCTCTTGTAATTCAATTAGAAGTAAATCACAAAATGATAACTAGTAAATCTACCTATGTTTGAAAATCAGGCATTTCACTTCTAAGTTACCAATGGCTTTAAAAAGAAACTATGACAAATTATAAAATATTTTAACTGAATGACAATGGCAATGTGATAAATTAAAGTCTTGTGTTATACGGTTAAATAAGAACTTAGAGAAAATGTTATGTCCTTAAATGGATATTAAAAATGAAAAAAGCATAATAATCAATGATCTAAACATCAATCAAAAAGCTAGTATTAAGCCCAAAGAAAGTAGAGAGAAGTTACTAGTGCGAACTGGACAGACAGAAATCAAATATGAAGCAAACATGCATTGTCAATGGATTAAGAAAGCCAAAATCTTTCTTTAAAAAATGAGTAAAATTGGTGAACCCCTACTGAGAATTCTCAAAATAAATTAAAAGTCACAAAATGATCAGTATCTGGAATAAAAAGGAAACATTATTACTGATCCCTCAGATAGTAAGAAAATAGTAAAGGATTATTATGAATAAATTAATGTCAAATATGACATTAACTTGAAAATGTAAAGGAAAAAAACACAATCCTCACTCAAAAAGAAACAGAAAAACATTGAGTTCTTTATTCTTAAAGAAATTGAATAAAAATTAATACCTTCTTACATAGGAATGAAATGCAGGAAAATTAAAATGAGTAAAATGTTAAAATAAGTCTAATGTTTAATATTGGTGTTAACTTGATTGGATTGAAGGATGCAAAGTATTGTTCCTGGGTGTCTGTGAGGGTGTTGCAAAAGGAGATTAACATATGAGTCAGTGGACTGGAAGAGGCAGACCCACGCTCAATCTGGGTGGGCAGCATCTAATCAGCTGCCAGCGCAGCTAGAATGAAGCAGGCAGAAAAAGGTGAAAGAGCAGACTAGCTGAGTCTTCTGGACTTCATCTTTCTCCCATGCTGGCTACTTCCTGCCCTCGAACATCGGACCCCAAGTTCCAGCTTTTGGACTCTTGGACTTACACCAGTGGTTTGCCAGTGGCTCTCGGGTCTTCATCCCTAGACTGACGGCTGCACTGTCAGCTTCCTTACTTTTGAGGTTTTGGGACTAGGACTTGGCTTACAGATGGACTACTGGGGAACTTCACCTTGTGATCGTTCTGTCCCTCTGGAGAACCCTGACTAATAAAGTAAGGTATTTCTGAAATGCAAGGGTTTCAATATTGGAAATTCAATCAATATAATTGACCATATTAACAAAACAAAGAGCAATATAATTTTCTGCATTGATAGATGTGGAAAAAGCATGTGATAAAGTTCAATATCAATTCATAAGATTTCTTAGTAAGCTAAGAGTAGAAGGAACTTCCTTAATATGAAAAAATACGCATAAAAATCCTACAAGAAACATACAACATAACAGTGAAACATTGAAAAATTTCCAAGATAAGAAATAAGAAAATGATATTCAATACCATAATTTGTCCTCTTGATGCACTTACCAGCACAATAAAGCACAAAAAAGAACAAAAGAATAAAATTAGAAAGGAAAAAATAAAACTGCCATTATTTACATGATTGTATGCACGTGGAGCAGAAATCTACAGATAAATTATAGAATTTGTAAGTTTCACAGATGTTAAATATAAGCATAACCTTGACAAATCTATTGCATTTCTGCATATAACAAGCAAACTATGAAGTAAAATATTTTATCAATTGCTAAATATCAAAAATATAAAATAGCTAGGAATAAATCTGATAAAATGTGCTTTTGATAGGTACAGAAAAATCCATCAAACATTATTGAGAGACAAATAAATGGAGGGATATGCCAGGTTGATGTACTGTGAGCTTCTTTACTATAAAGGTATCAAATTCCTCAAAGGGATCTACAGATTCAATGGAATACCAATTAAAATCCACATGACAGTTTTGTGAGAATCGAGAAACCAGTTGATAAAGTCATGTGGAAATAAAAAGAGCCAAAACCAAGATAATAACGAAGCAGAAAAATGAAGTGGGAAGATGGCTCTATTAATTATTGAGGCTTTGTAAAGCTTTAGTGTTAAAAATGTGGCATTGGAATAAGAACAAATAGAAATATGTAAAAAATAAATGTCCAGAAGCAGACCCTCAGAAATACAGATACTTGATTTATGAGAACTGTGGCTCTATTAAGAAATGGTATATTCAGGAATGATGCTGGGTCAATTGAATTTTCATATGGAAAATGAAAAAATAAGCCCTTACCACAAAATATAGACAAGTCAATTCCAGTGATTGTGAATTTTAGTGTGGGAGTAAAATAATTAAGATTCTAGAAGAGGAAATATATATATATATATACACACACACACATATATATACAT
Organism: Homo sapiens; assembly: GCF_000001405.40. Taxonomy (NCBI): domain Eukaryota; kingdom Metazoa; phylum Chordata; class Mammalia; order Primates; family Hominidae; genus Homo; species Homo sapiens. Next base: position 89,104,131 of record NC_000010.11, on the reverse strand, counting down.
ATATAATACTCTATATATGTTTTTTATATATTAACATGTATGTATACATGTATGTGTGTATATGTATGTACACACACACAAATATATGTGTACACACACATACTAATATAGGCCTTAGAGCAAGCAAAGATTTTTAAAGAAAGAAGCTAAAAGCACGAATAAAGGTGAAGATAAATAAATTTAATCACACTAAAATCAAACACTTCAAAATATAAATAGAGTGAAAATCTAAGCCACAAAATTGGAGAAGATAATTGCAATACATATAATAGACAGACGGTTAAGATCCAAAATAAATTCACAATACAGGAAATAAGCAAAAGACAAGCAACCCAATAAAAAATGCTCAGAGACTTCAGCAAGATCTTCACAAATAATGCTATTAAAATGACCAGTAGGCATATTAAGGCAATAAAATTCATTTGTTAAGGAAACAAATTAGAACCACAATGTAATAATGCTCCAATATTGGTACAACTACATTGGAAAGACATGACATTATCTATTAAAGTTGAGCATATGCTTAACTTATGATCTGTGAATTCTACTTCTAGATATATATCCAGAAAAAAAAGTTTATGGACCACAAAATACATCTACAAGAATATTCATGCATTATAATTCACAGTGAACACTAACTTGGAAAAAAGTTATCAACAGGAAATTTGATAAATAATTTGTAGTATAATCATACCAAGAATGCAACAGAGTAGCAAAAACAAACTATATCTATGCAAAACTGCATGTATATGTCCATCTAAAAATTCATTGTTGCACTCTTAATCCCCAGTACTTTAGAATTGTGACTATTTGGAGACAGGGCCTTTACAGAGTTAGTTAAGTTAAAATGAATTCATTGGGATGGCCACTAATCTAAGTGGTGTCCTTATAAGAAGAGGAAATTTGAACCTAGGCGTGTACCAAGGGAAGATGATGTGGAGACACAGGGAGATGAGCATCCCCAAGTCAAGAAGAGAGACCTCAGAAGTAACCTACCCTGCCAACACCTTGGTCTCAGACTTCTAGCCTCTCAAACTCAGAAAATACATTTTTGTTGCTGCTTTGTTGTGGCAGCCCTAGAAAACTAACGCAGAAGGGAACAGAAGCACTTCAGAAATAGTAGAGTAAGAATGTCTCAAAATCTGCTCCATAGAAGTAACAGAAGCACTGGTAAAGACTGCCAACATCAGCTTCTCAGAACTCCAGAAATAATCAAAGGCTTGCAACACTCCAAGGAGTGTTTATTCGAGAAAAATTACTAAATATCAGTAAGCAGAGTGAGTGAGCTGTGTGGAGTTTTAACTTGCCCTACTCCCATCACCTTCTCCCCATCTCCATGGTAGTCTTGAAAACTATCCTCCCCATGCCTATGATAACTGACAACCGGAAGCCTAGCAGCCACTGGAGGTGGGAAAGGGGGAAAATGAGTTTGGAGTTCCCTAAAACAGCTGCATCGAAGAGAATTGTAACCATTTGACCTGTCTGGCAGCTTCCTGAAAAACTCCATCTTCAGGGCCTGGCTTTATTTGACTTGACTAGAAATATTTCTGTGCAAAAAGTCCTATTCCCAGGGTTTTTGTTGAAAACAAGAAGCAGGAATTGTTTAACACCACAGGTGCCTGTGTTGTGGATACCAGGTGGGGCTAACAAGAGACTGACTGAGAAAACTTGAAAAACAGAAATGAGATGTCCCTAATCAGCTTCGTCTTGGTCTGTTTGGGCTGCTATAACAAAAATATCATAGGCTGGGTAATTTATAAACAAAAACTCATTTCTAACAATTCTGAAGGTTGGAAAGTTTAAGATCAAAGTGCAGGAAGATTTCACGTCTGGTGAGGGCCCCATTCCTTGTAGATGGTGCCTTCTAGCTGTGTCCTCCTTAGGTGGCAGGGGCAAACAGCTCCCTGGCATTTTTTTGATGTCACTAATCCCATTCATGAAGGTGGAGCCCTCGTGACTTACTCACTTCCTGAAGGCCACACCTCTTGATAGTATGGCATTGGGTATTAGGTTCCAACCCACATGTTTTGGAGGGACACAAACATTCACATCATACTAGACTTTGAAAAGCTCATATATACTCCTGGGAATCTGGAAGGCTACCGGCATATTCAGGGTTGTGCATATGCTCAAGACAGCAGAAGGCCCTAATCTCTCGTCTTTGCCTGACTGTGTGGCTCAGTGCAAGCAAAAAGTAAACACAAGGAATAGTTGTAAACTGTCTGCCCGAGTGTTGAAGGCATAACCCAACATAACCCAACTCCCTTGGCAAATGCTGGGAAGCATATTCATTCAAGGAATTTAAGGAAATCTCTGTCCAATCATTTGCTGACCATCAAACAAACTGAGCAGAGACTTTAATATCTGCACAGCAGGAGCAGGAAGGGCGTATTTCTGTGTGCTGGCCATTTCTTATATTTTGAGTTGGGTGGTTGTTAAACAAGTGTTTTGTTTGTAATTACTCAACAGGATATACCATTATGTCTCATGCATCTATTTGCTTGTGTGTTATATTTTGCCATCAACTTATTATTTTAACAAATGGAAGACGATATAACACCTATGTCAGTCATCTGTGAAAATTAAATGAAATAAAGCAGGTACATACACAACAGAATTCAGCCTTAAAAAAAAAAGAAGAAAATCCTGTCACTTGCAACAACATGGCTGAACCTGGGGGACATTATATTAAGTGAAATAAGCCAGACACAGAAAGACAAATATCATGTGGTCTTATATATAGAAATTAAAAAGCTGAACTCAGAGCTAGCGAGGAGAATGGCGGTTACAAGGAGGAGGGGGCAGTGTTGGGAAGATGTTGGTCAAAGGATACAAAATTCCCGACAGACACGAAGAATAAGTTCAAGAGATCTATTGTACAACATGGTGCCTATAGTTAATAACAATGTATTTTATTCTTGAAAATTACTTGGATAGTAGATTTTAAGTGTTTTCACTACAAAAAAACATAAAAAGCATGCGGGGTAATTTTACATGTTAATTAGTTAAATTTAGTCTTTAAGCAATGTATACATATTTCAAATAATCATGTTATACGTGATAAATATACAATTTGTATTTGTTAAGTAAAAAATAAATTTTAAAAAGGAATGAAACAGAAGGCTTAATCTAAGACCAGCTTTTGTTGAGTGCTCTAAAAATCTCAGCTATTACTAGTAGTAATAGCAATAGTACTTGAAAAGGTCAATTATGATCCAAGAATTTCACCACAGGGCTCATACTGTGGAGAAGCTTTTGTGCATGTTTATCAGATGCGTAAGAACATTCACTACCGTAGTGTTTAAAATAACTCTTGATTGGAAAGAGTCCTAGTGTCCATTTTTAGAAGAATGAGTAGATGAACTGTAGTATTTTCGTAAAGTAGAACATTATATCATGGCAGAAAGGACTAAATTGGAACTGCATATTAGTTATAAGTAATCTCAGAAACATAATATTGAACAAAAACGAAAGTAGGAGAAAGTAATCTCAGAAACATAATATTGAACAAAAATGAAAGGAGGAGGAGAACAAACACAATATGACTCTAGTTATAAAAATTTCAGATACATGGTGTTTCCTTGTTGTTCAGAGATATGAATATGAGTGGTAAAATAACAATAAAGCAAGGAATACAAGCATAGGTAATAAAACAATAAGAAAGCAAGGAATAATTAGCACAAAATTTGAGATTGCTGATACTCTGTTGGGGGAGGGTGGCTGAAGGACTAAGACAGGATGGACAAGCAGGGGTCAGAATCCCAATCAATATTCTCTTTCTTAAGCCGGGTGGTAGGTATACCTATGTTTATTTGATTGTCTTTCTTTGGACATTAGCCATGTTTTAAATATTCCTTTTTATATACTTAAAATTTCATGTACTTCAATCCTTTCTGGAAGTCGAGAGAGAAGGAGCAACAGGGTGTTTGGGAACTAAGAGCAGGGAGGTTTCGCTTGATTTATTCCAAGTGAATGAATTCATTGTGCCTACAACACAAATCTCTCCAAGTGATATCAATATAAGCTGAATAGCAAGAGCATTGAAGAAAAGAATTAAGCCACAAAATCATCACTGCAGAGGATGAAGGGAATGGAAAACCTTGTCCCTCTTCCTTGATTGTGGTAGGAGTAGGGCAAGGAGAAGGTTTGGGCTAATTTTCTAGTATATTGTCTAGATCCTCTTAAAATGAAAGTGGCTTTGCTAGTACCTTTGAGTCACCACCTAATGCATGGGGGGAAACATCTCAAAACATTAGCCCCAGAATTTATTTAAGGACCCATTTAAAATTAATTTAGAAACCACGTTATGTCCTTGCTCCTTTGAGTCATTGACCTAAAACAATTGTTACTAGATTGGTCTCATGTCTTTAAATTTTCCCCAACTTTTATGACTACTGACTCATGGACTATTTGTAAATTGATAATTTGTTCTAGACAAAACACAGGCCCCTTATTTAGCAGAACATCAAAACAGAATTTTTAAAGAAGTCTTATAAAGGAGAGAGAGCCTAGTCAGGTGTGGTGGTGCATACCTATAGTCCCAGCTACTTTGAGAGGCTGAGGTGAGAGGATCACTTAAGTCTGGGAATTCAAGGATGCAGTGAGCTGTGATTGTGCCAATGCACTCCAGACCTGGGAGAGAGAACAAGACCCCATCTGCTAAGAAAAGAGAGAGAGAGAGAGAGATCAGTCTGGCAGACAAGGCACCTATCTTGGCCCAGGAAAGTTGCTATTCAAGTACTAACTCTCTTATTTGCAAGTTGTATCAACATCAGCAAGTCTTTTCCTCTCTTTGGACCTTAGTTCTCTTATGTATAAAGTGAGGGAATGAACTAAATGATTCTGCCCTAATGTCTAGGTGGAGGTTAAAATCTGACAAGTGTAGGTCCACTGATTATCATTCTGGATACACTCTTGTGTCAGCTGGTCCCTGTTGTCTTTGAGCTGGAGCTATGATTGCATGGTACTGATGACAGGAAAGAGACAACATTCTTCTCCCTGTGCTACCATGTGCATTGGGGCCAATTGGTGTTGGGCCTCCACTCTTTACCTCCAGGCCTTTGTTTGTGCTCTTTTCGGTAAAAAGTTGTGACAAAGCAATCAGGAGCCTGGGCTGGTCAAGGCCTAAGGCTGAGAGAGCTTTAAGTTCTGTCTACTGCCTATAGTTGAGATGGACACACCTGGAAATAGGAGTACATACATCTTGGAGAAAGTGGACTGTGACTGAATTGAAAGAGCTCTCTCAGCGAATTTTGTTAACACTTCAGGATTGAAGCGACTTTGCTGCGGGATTCCACTTGAATAGGTGAGGGAGATAGGGATGAGGGAGAGGACTGAGGAAGAGAGTCTCTCTCATGTCTCAGGGGCATGACTGCCTGAGGGAGTCAGCAGAAGTCTGTAAGGATGCCAGGGTCAGCATGAAGCTTGATCAGAGCTGTGCATCTCTCTCTCTCTCTCTCTTTTGGCACCTGAGCTGGGAACTGCTGGCAGTAGTAATGGTAGATCTCTGGTTATCCCACCACCATGGATATTACTATGATCATTCCATGTAGCTAACCCTGTCACAGCCTACACCCCATTGGCTGTCTTGGGTTCAAAGGTTTCTTGTGTCAAGCATCAAGAATCATCAATGGATGGTAAAATCGCTGGCTAACAGATGGGGAGCAGCGGCTTATGTGGTCTAAGCAATGACCCTGCAGGTTATTTATTAATGACAAAAGGAAAAATGTACGTTTACTATGGAGAGATCTGGGGGACACTACCTTAACCATGTGCTCAAACTTAACATCCCCAATAATGAAACAATCTGACATAATGTGACTTCTGATATCAGAAGAGAGACACAATACCAACTATGTAGTATTCCTGCCAGAAAAGTTTAACCTAAATCTCATCATGAGGAACAATCAATCATACAAATTCAGAAAATGGGATGTTCTAGAAGTCAGGTGACATGAATTATTAAAAATGACATAAAAATCCATGTCATAAAAAGAATAGTTGGGGCAACTGCAGTAGTCCACACTTATCCTCAGTTCAGTTTCACTTTCTGTGGTTTCAATTACCTGTGAATTACCACTGTCTGATATAGGTGAGTACAGTACAAAAAGATATTTTGAAAGAGTCCACATTCACTTTTATTACAATATATTGTTATAATTTTTCTGTTTTATTACCAGTTATTGTTAACCTATTACTGTAGCTAATTTATGAATCAAACTTTATCATAGGTATGTACATACAGAAAAAAACAGTATATATAGGGTTTGGTACTATCCACAATTTCAGGTGTTCACTGTGGGTCTTGAAACATATCCTGTGTGGATAAGAGGGAATCACTGTGTTTAGGTGAAAGGTACATAATAAATGATTACAGAGAATAAACTGTAATTAGATCTAAGATTTTTTTTTAAAAAATGAAACTATGAAGTTAGAATGCTTAGGGGGACAACTATAGAAAATTTTGAATATTAGATGATATTAATAATAAGTTAGTATTAATTTAATTAATAAATTAGCATTAATTTTCTTAGATGAGATAATGATGTGATGTTGAGCTTCTACTCTTTACCTCCAGGCCTTTGTTAGTGCTCTTTTTGGTAAAAAGTTGCGACAAAGCAATCAGGAGCCTGGGCTGGTCATATGGAGAAATTGTGGTTACATAGAGCAATTCCTTTATTGTTAGGTGATGCATATTTAAGTACTTAGGAATAAATATTATGGTATCTGAAACTTCCGAATTCTTGAACAAAAAAAGTGTGTGTGTGTATGTGTGTGTGTGTGTTGTGTAGAGAAGGGCCAGAGAAATGTGGCAAAATGTGAACAATTGCTGAATCTAGGTAAAGGTCATATGGATTTTATTCTGCATTTTTGAAGTTTTTAAATATTAAAAGTGGGTAGAAGCATGCAAGGATCTGAAAACTGTCTCACTTAAAACTACCCATGTCTATATCTCTTTGTGAAGTTTAAAGTACCCCAGAGGTGCACAGTTAACCTTGCCATCCAAACATCTAACTTTCCTGCTTTTGCCTTTCTCATGCACTGCAGGTTAAGCTGTTGTCTTCCTGCTCCCAGAACATGTAGAATGTACCTTCTGAGAATGCAAAGATTTGCAGATTCAAGTTCCTGGAGAGACGTCTCCACTATTAAGGACCTCTAGATGAGAGAGGAGGGAGGAATGGTGCTAGAGAGCAGGGTAGTCTGTCTTGGAAGCTTGTTAGCAGAAAGTGTATAGAGGCCTCTGGCAAGTGAGATGATCCTAGAGGATCAGTTTTAGCAAAGACAGAGAGAAGATGAATTATTGATCTCCACTTTCTGGAACTTTTCTCCTTCCATTTTAGCATCCCTTCATTAAATATTCTCATTTCATTTATGTTTATTTTACTGAACTTTTACTAAGCGCCTGTCACATGCCAGGCAACAGTCTAGGCCCTGCATATACCGAGATGGATGAAAGACGATTCTTGTCCTCAAGCCACAACCTCACCTATTTCCAGTTTCCATCACACTGAGTGAAAAAAATAAAGTCAGACTTATTGAGTTGACCCTCTGAAGTCAGGTAGAAACAGGTGAAAACTAACTCTAAGGAGTGATTTCAGTGGCATCTTTTTTTTTTTGAGGCATCCTTGATCAGTAGGAGTGTGGGAGGTGGAGGCTGCTTTACACCCAGGGCTGGAGAGCTTCCTCAGCCCAGAGTCGCCAGTTGCCCCCCTCTGTCTACATATTACACTCCATCAGGGAAAGAATACCAGGCAAAGATAGCTGAACCCAGCTTCCAGATATTTGGGATAAGGAACAGACTGAAAGCTCTGGGAGAAAAAGCTATCTTTTTAGAGAACAGAAAATAGTTCTATCTCTTTAGACAACAGAAAATAGTTCCATATACGGAAATGTCTGTGAACCAAAAGGTCAAGTGAGTAGTTCAGAGCCTCCTATGAAAGTGGCTTGACCTACATAGGCCAGCTACCAAGGAAGTTGGCATCCTTTATTTCTGAGGTGTGTCTCTCTTTTCTTTTTACATTTTAATGATCCTGGATACTAACTCATTTCATCATGGTATTTAATACATTAGACTGAGAAGGAATGTATCTTTCCCATATTTTTAACAATAGGCCTTAAGGGGCTTTGAGCAGTACACTCCAAATGTTGATTTAACTATGAATGAATGATACTTATGACAAAAGAGTTAGGTTGCAACTATAAATCTTTAGACCTAACCTGTCAGTCCAGACCTAAGTAGAAAACCTGTGTGGGTATTTCAGATCATGCTTTGTTCTGGAATGACACTTTTATTACTGTGCTCCAATCTTAACTTTTATTGTCTGAATTCTGGCCAGGCTTTCCTGCCTGACTTGCTCCCTCTTCTCTCACTAATCTTACACTATCATTGTGCTGCTTTCAGGATTCCAGATATCTGGTAGTTTTCAGATAAAAGCTAATGAATGCGTATAATATCATGAGTATAATGAATATAATGTCAGAGATTGTTGTTGTTACATGGGAGGAAAATATTTCAAAGAATGAAGGAGGGCATGTTATACATCATCCATGCATAGGCTAGGTTTGTTGTTACTCTGTTATGTCACAATATTGCCATTTCTGTAATACCGTTTTGGAGACTTATACTAATACTTGTGTTTTATGGAAATTACAGGATGTCCTACAATTATTAAATTCACTAGGTCTAATTTATTTAAAGGATATTTTCACTGTCTTTGAAATCTTCTTTTTCATTTTGTCAATGCACGCAAACTAGAGAAATGAACTGAAGCAGTGATTTAATAATGCTACGAAGAAAGTTAAAGTTCTAACCAAATCCATGGAGAATTATAGCGGGCATAGTTTTCCACTTGAATTTCCCCTTCATTTTCCTCAGATAATGGAAAAAGGCTATACAACAACTAGATCTCACCTAAGAGGACAATTTACCTTGTGATTCAATGGCAACAAAATTGCCTTCAACCTCAGTGTTAAATTAGTATATCAGGTCCTATCTTATTTAATTACTTTCTACTATAACTGTGTTTTACAACAAAACCACGTTCAAAAAAGAGCTAAACAGAAATCAGTCACCTCCATCCAGGCAGAAAGGTTTTAAAATTGGTACAACTTTCATCTTCTGCTATCTGCTTGCCCTCCACACTGACTCTTCCTTTAGAAGCACTCTCAATAATTGAGGAAGGGGCCACATGATTCCCTGTGGTTCATATAATGGAGCAGAATAAGAGGACAGAATTACTTGAGCCACTAATAACCTTGCAGGGAAACAGTGTTTTTATGAACACTGGATGGGCACCAGAAACATGGAATAAGGGATTCCAGATAAATTCTCTTTTAAAGTTTTACTCTGTCACTTAGGCTGGAGTGCAGTGGCATGATCATAGCTCAGTGTAGTCTCAACTCCCAGGCTCAAGTTATACTCCTGCCTTAGCCTTCTGAGTAGCTGGGACTACAGGTGCGTGCCACTACACTTGGCTAATTTTTACAATTTTTTTTTTTTTTTTTTTGTAGAAATGGGGGTTTGGCTTTGTTGCCCAGGATGGCTCAAACTCCTGGCCTCATGTGATCCCCCTACCTTGGCCTCCAAAAGCACTGGGATTATAGGTGTGAGCCACCACATCTGGCTCCAGATAACAATTTAACTTTTTTCAGGGAGACCGTAGCTACAGATTGTTGTGAGCTCACTGTGTGCCAGGCCCAAAAGCTAAATATTTTACAAACCTTATCTGTAAAGCAGGTATAAAGTAGGTATTAACATACATTTTACAAAAGAAGACAGGAACTTTGAGAGAAGTTAAGTAAATTTCCCACTATCAAATACCTTGAAAGTCAAGGTGAGGTTTAAACTAACATTGTTGTCTCGACACCAGTGCTCTTCTAGTTGATGTTGATTTGCTCAGCATTGGGTCACTTTTTATAGTTGTGAGAGGACAAAAACTGTTACAAGATTTTGCCACATCCTTTCCAAACTCACCCACTAACAAGAGTTTTACCTCTTTAGTTCCATCACCTTTGATCTGGAAAACATGGAGAATACAAAGAGGAACATGCTGCTTGGATATGGGAGAAACATTTCAAAGAGTTTTGAGAAAGAGAAATGGGAGAATCTGTGGCATGAGGGGAAATTGGATAGTTGGATAGAAAAAGAAGGCAAGAATCACCCTTGTGGTATTTGAAAAACTCAAGAAACCATCTTGAATTTCCTTGGGATTATTTTTGGTTGCCGGATTGTGTCTCCTGAGACACAGTGTCCCCACGGAGACTCTTGCATGTGGGTCACGGAGAATAAACATAATATCATAAAGTTTAGCTGTTTTTATCTAGTAGAATTCCTAGTGGAGCTGGAGAATTCAGATTGGGAAGCCAGAGCTGCTCCCCAAGAAAGAAACCTCTGGAATAAGAGATTAAAATGTTTATCTCACGGTATAGTGGAAGGGTCCCCAAAAGAAGTGAAGAGCTCCCTCTCTGTGATCTCATAATTACTAGTAAAGCCAAAAAATTATAATATGCTTACTGAGATTGAATTTCTAGTGGAAAGTGGCAAACAGATAAATTTTGTGTTCAGATCAAAAGTGCCTAGGCCCCATGGCAGCACAGGAGATAAGGTGCCCTGGGGAAGTAAGAGTAGGGATTTATTGATATCATTATCTATTTCTATCAAAATAGAAGTTGAAAAAGAAAAAAAAATGGTTGTTGAATTAACACAAACTAAAACACTGGGGATTGGAGTCAAGTTTAAAAAAAACTCACCAAAGTCTAGGGAAGTTTCACATGATACCTGGGTTATCTTTTGGAATCACGACTGTGATATTTAAATGGAGGTGCATTTCCTTGCCACATCTCTGACAACAACATTCCATCACTCGGAATCGGAATCAAGCCAAGAGCATACCTTCACTGTGACAGCCAAGCTGTTGGACATGAGTGCCTCTGCACAGCCACGATGGTCCAGGTAATGTTGCCAAGCTTCCAAGTGTCAAAGTGCTCAGCTAAGACAATGAACCAAACTGAAAGTAGCAATCAAGCCTTTTAAAACTCACTGTAGCAATGCAAGCAAGCTGTCCAAAAGAGAAGCACTGGCTCCTCAGTATTCCACTTTTCTTCAAGGAAGGACACTGCTGAGGATCAGATGACATGCAGCTCAGACAGGAAAAGTCACCTCGCTGCTAAGGAGCCCAAAACTAAGGTCTCCTGCCTCTTTACGGACATGGAGGGCCAGGGATAGAGACAGGGAGAAAGGTTAGGAGTGAAAAAGTACTGAGTTAAAATGGAGAAAAGTGCCCTAACCAAGATCCCAAGTGAGGAGGACTTGGCAGAGCCAGATGATTAGGCAGAGCAAACCCAGAGATAAAGATGTGGGTGTAACCATTGGATACACATGGCCAGAAAGATGGGATCAATAGACACTGTGGACTACCAGGGCAGGGAAGTGAGGGAAGGGAGCAAGGGCTGAAACACTGCTTACTGGGTACTATGCTCACTACTCGTATGACAGGTTTAGTCATACCCCAAACCTCAGAGTCAGCATCATGCACTATAGCTTTGTAACAGACCTGCACATGTACACCCTGATAGTAAAATGGAAGTTGAAAAAACAAAAACAACAACAACAATATATATATATGGGCATAAATAGTTTATTTCATAGAGACAAAAAACACCAGCACACTCTCTAACATATAGTATAGCCTAGTATGTCAAGTATGTTTGGTGTGGACACAGGAGCAAGTTCTTTGTTTGTTTGTTTGTTTGTTTTTAAAAGGACAAGTGAAAAAAGCATTCTATGAGTAAAAACACCCAATTGTTTTGGTTATAGGAAAGGACTAGCCTCTTCTAGCAGGTCGTACATGTGTAGGAAACTATTTTGCTCCTCAAAAAAAGATGACCATGAAATGCTTTGGCGTGACAAGCTGTGGCAGTACTTGTAAGAGAGAAAGCTTGAAGAGGGAAGCTGAGGCGAGGAGGGCCACCACTAAATGATGCTTCTTTGCAGACAGGAGACAGTGACACAGAACAGGGCCTTGACTTTGAGCATATAGGAAATGGGGCAGAAGAAATTCGAATTTCCTTTAGGTCACTTTGGAATCTCTGCTGCAGTTGACGTTTTAACAACTTCCCATTCTGCAGCCTCCCAGGGCCCGCTGCGGACATGTACTAGTCCAGTTAGCCCCTTGAATAGCCAGATTTGAATGCTGGCAGTCCGGTTTAGAAAGCCAAGGAGATATTGTCCTCATGTCTAAGCAACCAAGCAGAGTAAGAAAGCAACCCCTGCAGAGGCTCTGCTGGTACAGAAGCTCCAAAGGTTCTTTGAGTTTTAAATTAATAATTGTTTTCAGAGATGGCTAGGCTGCGAACTATGTGTCCTTAGGACCCCTTCAAATTTATGTTTGACATCTCTCTCCTAAGCATGACTCATATTTGAAAGATCACCAAGCCTGCTTGAGCTGAAATATCTAAATTATGCAAGAGGATACTTGTAATGCCTTTCAAGCTAAATGGTAGTGTTCTGTCGACCTGGTTATTTCTCTTTGGATAATTCAGAAATTTTGCCTCCCATAGGTTTTATGTAAAAAAGAAAGCCAGAGCATGACAGCATTATCTTCTACGTGTTCTTTCCAGACAGGGAAAATTAAAGATTAGCCTACAGATTCGTGTGAATGACAAAAGGTATCTGGATATGCATAACTGCTATTATAAACAACCCAGATTCCTCCTTTGAAAAGTATACCGAAATGATTTGAATTTACTTAAAAAATTATTTGTTCCATTCTTGATAATTAACGTGAAAGGTCACATACTCTTGATTAAACGAAAGTATTACAAAAGTATTCTTAGAACAAAGGAAGTTAGTACTAAGAAAATGCGTTGTTCTGCTTTTTATAGCCTACTTTTCCTTGAACTGGAGAATGAGAGGTCCTGAAAACAGGGAACTAAATATCAAGCTAATTGTACTGATATGTGAACCCACATCTAATGGATTGAATAGGGGTAGGCTCTTAAAAACAACCATAGCTACTTGCTTTTGGTCTCTCTGTTTCATAACATTCCTAAGCTTTTCACTGGTTCATCAGTTATGCCAACATTCAAGCTCTACTAGCATTCTCCTTCCTAACAACACCAAAACGAGCAGCCAAAATACTTTGTGGCAGTTAGTGGGAATGTAAATTAGTACAGCCACTGTGGAAAATAGTATGGAGGTTCCTAAGGCAACTAAAAATAGAACTGCCATAAGATTGAGCAATCCCACTGCTGGATATACAGCCAAAAGAAGGAAAATCAGTATATCAAAGAGATAACTACTTCTCATGTTTATTGCGGCACTATTCACAACAGCCAACATATGGAAGCAACTTGTGTCTGTCAATGGATGAATTGACAAAGAAAATATTATATATATAAAACATATATATGTACATAATATATATATAAAACATATATGTATATAATACATATAAAACATATATGTATATAATATGTATAACATATATATGTATATAATATGTATAACATATATGTATATAATATGTATAACATATATGTATATTATATATATAACATATAAATGTATATTATATATATAACATATATATATATAACATATACACACACAATGCAATAATATTCAGCCATAAAAAGGAATGAAATTCTTCTCATTTGCAGCAACATGAATGCGCTTGGAGGCCATTATGTTAAGTGACATAAGTCATGCACAAAAATACAAATATCGCATGTTAAATTAACAAGCTATTTTTGCTCCAATGCCCATTTTCAGTTTATTCCAACTTTTTAATCTCCCACCACATCTCCAGGCAAATACACAAGGTGGAAAGATGTGGACAGTCATTCATTCCATAATCTTGTGCATGATGAGTGCTCTCTCATTTCTATGGAAAGTGGGGATGAGGCAGAGAGAAATGGAAGGTGAAAAGGGATTGAGGATGAGTAGCACAGGAGGAGAAAATAGAGACAGGTAGAGTAGGAGGAAACTGGGAAATGTGTCACCGTGGCTTTTATAAGCTATAAGTAAGCCTTGCTGTACCTGAGCGAACACACACACACACACACACAAACACACTACCCTTCACTCAACTTGGCTTTATACTTTTGTAAGGCTAAAAGCAGAGTTAAAAAAGAGAGAGACAGGCCAGGCGTGGTGGCTCACGCCTGTAATCCCAGCACTTTGGGAGGCCGAGGCAGGTGGATCCCTTGAGGTCAGGAGTTCGAGACCAGCCTGGCCAACATAGTGAAACCCCATCTCTACTAAAAATACAAAAATTTAGCTGGGCGTGGTGGCAGGTGCCTGTAATCCCAGCTACTTGGGAGGCTGAGGCAGGAGAATCGCTTGACCCCGGGATCCAGAGGTTGCAGTGAGCCAAGATGGCACCACTGCACTCCAGCCTGGGGGACAGAGAGAGACTCCATCTCAAAAAAAAAAAAAAAAAAAAAAAAGAGAGAGAACATGGATGGAGTTGGAGGGAGGCCATTATCCTAAGTGAACTAATGCTGGAACAGAAAGCCAAATACCACATGTTCTTACTCATAAGTGAGAGCTAAATAATGAGAACACATGAACACAAAGAGGGGAACAACAGACACTGGAGCCTACGTGAGGGTAGCGGGTGGGAGGAGGAGGGAGAGGATCACAACAAATACCTATCAGGTACATGTTTATCAGCTGGTGACAAAATAATTTGTACACCAAATCCCTGTGACATGCAGTTTACCTATATAACAAACCTGCACATATACCCATGAACCTAAAAGTTCAAAAGAGAGAGAGAGAAAGAGGTAAGTCTGATAGCAGACTATTTTGTCATAGAGTTGGTAAGGCTTATCTTTTTACTGAAAAAAGTCCTCTTCTTGACTAATACATTTTATGCTGCATCTTGAATAAGGTGTTTTCCCTAATTATGTAACCAACTGTGAGGAAGTAGTACTCTTAAAAATAATATATTTTAACAACATTGTATCTCCTAATGTCTTATACAAATATTTATTGAATGAATCAGTGAATGCAAGCTGAGTAGCATTAATATAAACACACGTGTACAGATGTAAGCATCTTTTAACGATGGTCCTTGGGTGCATAATAGCCACTAACAGCAGTTCCCAGACTTTGCTGCATGTTAGAGTTATCTGGAAAAATCCAGATGCTCAGGTCATGCCTTGTAATAATTGAGTTACAGATGTCTGAAAGTGGCAAAGAGAAACCTGTATTTCTTAAAGGTCCCCATGTGAATCCAGTGTGCAGCAAAGTTTGAGAACTCCTGTCCTAATTGATTTCTAACTCTGAAGGATAATTAACTATAATATGTAAATAACTTTGTTTGCATATATGATGCTCACATTTCTAACAAGATCACATATTTTTAAAAAGCTAGTCTTATATTAACATGCATTTCTAGTGAGTTTTTGATATTGTGAAGGTAATTTCAAAAGGATTAATAACTCAAAAACCCTTGAGTGTGCACTGCATGAGTTCGGCAGTGACATAGTATCTAGCATTGCTGTTGGCTAGTATTCCAGAGACTGGTATCCCAAAGAGCTTGTCTTCCTATGGTAAACACCATCTAAAGACAGAAGATGAAGAATCATGCAAGGAGGTAGAGGTCAACTGGGAAATAAGTAACAATTGAAAGAATGTAAAAATCAACTCACAGGAGAGAAATTATGAGTATATTATAGTCTTAGGAATTTAATAGCAGAATATAAGGTGACATGTTATATCCTGCCATGTCACTGTCCCCAGGACATGCCACTTATAAAAAGTAATATGAGGAGAATATGTAGGCTCATTACCTGATCACCTACTATTTTTAATCTGTTTTATTTTTAATTGGCAAATAATATTTACATATATTTATGGAGTACAAGGTGATGTTTCAATACACGCATATATTGTGGAATGATCAAGTCAGTCAAATTGGCATATCCATCACCTCAAATATTTATCATTTCTTTTTCGTGAGAACATTTAAAACGCGGTGGCTCATGCCTGTAATCCCAGCACTTTGGGAGGCTGAGGTGGGTAGATCACCAGGTCAAGAGTTCGAGACCAGCTTGACAAACATGGTGAAACCATGTCTCTACTAGAAGTACAAAAACTAGCCGGTAGTGGTGACATGTGCCTGTAATACCAGCTACAGGAAGCTGAGGCAAGAAAATCGCTTGAACCTGGGAGGTGGAGTTTGCAGTGAGCCGAGTGCACTCCAGCCTGGGCAACAGAGCGAGACTCTGTCTAAAAAAAAAAAAAAAATCCTCTCTTTTAGCTATTTTGAAATATACATTATTGTTAACTGCAGTCACTGTGTGGTGTAATAGAACATCAGAACTTACTCTTCCTACCATACACAGCATTTTACACATATTATCATGATTAATCCTGTCATTAATTCTATAAAATATTATTGTTTCCATTTTCCAGATGAAGAAATTGAGGCTGAAAGAGGTTAATTTCTTAAGATAATAGAGCCAGGATTCACATTCAAATCTAACAGGTTCTGGGATTCATATTTTCCATTGCACAGAAGCATAAAACATTGCCCTTCCCCTCTCCCCAATATTCCCTCCATATCTTCTTATATGGGTGGAAAATCTGTGTGCTCTGTGGGTGGCAACAGTTGGAGTCTTTAAGAGAGCAGGGTTACTAAATACTAACTTTAACCGGAACTGAGAACATCTGTTTCTGAGGGCTGCATTGTGTAGCTGGGTGGAGGCAGTCGTGTTGGTGAGGTTTGATCTCCTACGTTCAAGGAAATGGGAAAAGCTCAGCAAAAAGCATTTACTGATTTGAATGAGTTCCAGTGACTAGAGAAAATAAGCATCTCTGACATCAGTTTTTCCCAAACCCACAGCAGTTTAGTCTTCATACGTTCTTCCGGAGACCAGAGAAAATGTCTGTTCCCACATTTCCAAAAGCACTTAGGGAGGGACGATGCAGTCTGCCAGAAGTGGTTCTGCCTTTGGGACTGAGTCCCCTTCTGGGACATTTTTAGAACTTCCGCCCGCCATGTGTGAGGGCGGGTGGTGAAGTTCTGGTGGCCGGTTCTGAGGAGCTCACGTGACTCACTGCTGTGCCTTCTGTGGGTCTCCAGCTGCGCCCTTGACTTGCATCATTAGCTGTCCTCATCCAAGAGGTCTGAAGATTCATCAGACTGTAAGCTCGCACTCCATTTCCTTTTGATTGCATCATGTCATTAGCTTACTGAGAAGACAATGACTATTTCCAAGAGAAAGGTCCATTCTGCCACCACAGCTGTTACCAGTAAGCAGCTGGCACCCTGCTGGTAGGCAGGGTAGAGTCCTCTGTTGTGTATATAAGATGGTGGAGGAATTACTGAAGCAACTTCCTCACTTCAAGTTTCCTTGATTTTCATGATTACAATGGCCTTTACTTTCATTCTTCTCTATTTTTCTATGGTCATACTTGTTCTTTACATCAACTGGAGATGTTCTGCAGCAGAAACTAGTATGCTGTTTTCTGATCATAGCCTCTTCTCCCTTTAACTCTGTTATTCGTAAGATGTCACTTTAAGCAAATGAAGTTTACTAGTCCCTCTGCAACTGCCTTTTTTGCCCAAATGCCACCCCCTCCTACTTTACTTCTTTATGTGTGCAAGCTTTATCCATGAGGTATTGTTTAATCCACTTCATCCTCCTGCCAGAATCTCCAACATCCCAGCTCTCTTTTCTGCCCTAAATATCCAACCTGTAAGTACTAAACCTGGGTGCCATCCACCATCCAACTGTCTGCCTTCTACAACCACTTATTGAAACACACACACACACACACACACACACACACACACACACGCACACAGAGTTATGGGCATTGGTATTAGTATAATTGCTTGTATCCAACTTGAGTGGATATTCACCACCACTCCCCAATTTTTTTGTGTGTGAATGTGTGTGCCCCTAATAAGCTTCCTCTCTCAGTACTCATGGTGGACATTCCAGCAAGTTCTGGAATGGAGCACAAGGTGATGTTTCAATACATGTATATATTGTGGAATAATTAAATCAGTCAAATTGGCATATCCATCACCTCATATATTTATCTTTTCTTTTTGGTGAGAACATTTAAAATCCTCTCTTTTAGCTGCAAGTGTCTCTGCACACTTGTCCTAGAGAATAATAATGACTATTCTCTAGGGGCAAACTTCCTATCCTAGAACCTCTCTCCTATGCTGCCTCTTCAAGTCTCTCCTCCTGCACTCACCACTCCTTTTCTCTATTCTTAGGACAAGTTCTGATCTTCTCCCTATCCAGAAAAAAATCTCTTTATCTGTCCTCTAGACTCCATTCCTGCCTGCCTCTTCCAGGACCTTACTCCATTAATTACTTCATTTCTCTTCTAGAGTCAAACTTTTTCTCCAATATCGTTCATTTTAAAATTTAAAAAACAAAACAAAACTTCCTTTACTCTGCATCTCCTCTAGCAATGCTTATCTAGCAAACACATAAGGTATTGTTCCAATTTTTTCACAACTCATTTAATATTCACAGTGACACTATTAAACATTCCCTTTCTCAGTTTCATATTTGAGACATCTGAGACACAGAGAAGTCAAGTAACCTTCCTGAAGTCACCTAGTTTATTAATTAATGTCAGAGCTAGGAATCGGACCCAGGAAGTCTGGCCTAGAGGCCACCGGGCTGTTCCGTACTCCCCCTTCAACATTCTACCTCCTCCTTTTACTTCTCAACCAACCTTTTCAAAACATGGGCACTACTTACACTTTCTACATTGCAAATTGTCTTCTGTTTCTGCAGTCCTCTGAAAGTGTTGCTTAGGGACACTGGTGACTAACTTCCAGCTTGCTCAATCCAAGAGACATGTTTTTTCCCTTTCCTCTCCACTCTCTCGCCCTTTCTCTTGTTCCTTCAATGAACAGAATTAGGTCAGTCATAATCCTGGTTCATGCCATATTTATTATTGGTCATTCAATGCCCATTTACCTTTAGTTAATTTTGATAAAGTATTTTTAAAATATAGCAATGAAATAAAAGTCAAGGCCTCAAAAATAACCTACCCCTAACTATGCTCAAACCACCATTTCATTCCCCTTACTCCCTTCACCCAGGTAACTCATTATATTAAATGCTATGTTCATCACTCCTTTATTTTAGTTTTGAACATTTTTTAAAAGAGTATCATACTATGTACAATTCTCCTAGAAACTGTTTTCAATTAATGTTATATTGCTAAGATTCATCCATACTGTTGCATGTCAATTGATTTCATTAATTTTTACTGCTATATAATAACTAGTCAAATATATGCAAATATAACACATTTTATTCATACATTTTCCTACTGATGGACATTTGAATAAAAGACATCTCTAGACCTTATGTTATTACTCTGGTGTTTGGTGATATTTGTTGACATCTCCTCCCTTTTTGAAAACCACTGCTCCTTTTTCATTTTCTTCCAGTTCTTCTTTAATGTGACTGTTTCTTTGTAGTCACCTTCATTGACTCATCTATCTCCTCCTGCCACTTAAATATTGATGTTGCTCAAAGTTCTGTCTTTAGTTCTTTCACTTTCTATTTCATATGTTATTCTGATGCAACCATGGAAAGTGAAAGTCCATGGTATCTGTGTGGGCTGTGAGCTGTGAGTTTCTAAATTTATTTTTTTATTTTTATTTTTTGTTTTCATTTTTGGTTTTTTTCTTTTTTCTTTTTTCTTTTTTTTAGACGGAGTCTCGCTCTGCCACCAGGGTGGAGTGCAGTGGCATGATATCGGCTCACTGCAACCTCTGCCTCCCGAATTCAAGTGATCCTCCTGCCTCAGCCTCCTGAGTAGCTGGGACTACAGGTATGTGCCACCTTGCCCAGCTAATTTTTTTTATTTTTAGTAGAGATGGAGTTTCACCATGTTGGACAGGATGGTCTTGATCTCTTAACCTTGTGATCCGCCTGCCTCGGCCTCTCAAAGAGCTGGGATTACAGGTGTGAGCCACCACGCTGGGCCTCTAAATTTATTTTTAATCCTGCATACCTCTCCTGAGGCAGAGTCTTATATTAAACTACCCACCTAACTTGGCCTCAATTTTCTCACTTGTAAAATGGAAGGGACAATAATATCCACCTCTTGGTGATGACAGTACTGAAGGAGATGGCCTGTAAACTATAGAGTACAGCTTCTAGAACAAAGAAGGGTTTCACAAATGAAAACTATTTTATTACTATTGTTCTGTAGTTTACCACATGCGTTCATGTCCCAGATTTTCCTCAACACAGACAACAGAAATGTAAGGGCATCATGCAGGAGTGCAGTTGAAGTGGATGGTCAGAGACTACTGCCTCAGAGACTAGTCTTGGTAATTGCATATAGGCTGCAATTCTGGTCCCAAATGGGAAAATGAAAAATGCGCTGTCCTGTAGCCTAGCTATTCAAGCTTGCCTATCAGAACAGTGGGAGCCTCAAAAGGTGAAAGTAGTCTTTCCTTAATTTCCTTAAAGCTCAGCCCAAATTTTAACTATGGAAAGACAGAACATCAGGAGATGCCAGCAAATGTACCTAGATTAAAAGAAGAAACAAACTTGGATTCCAAATGCTTCAAATTATCTCAAAGTCATGACGTTTAACCATAATTTTCATAACCAGGCACAAGACGACTGAAAAAGTGGCCAGTGCTCCCATATCATTAGGTGCTAGTCAAGGAGGGTTATAAAGGATCTTTTCTCACTATTTCTTGCTATGAATTTGATGTTGTAAATGGATAGGCTACATTTATGACCTCGAGAAGACTTACACATGAATAAAATTTAAAGGAGCATCTGCTATGCATTTCTTCTCTTTTCCCAAACTGAAGCCTGATGGGGCCATAGACTCTGGCTGGGATGCAATATTGTAGAAGCCTAAGTTGATGGTCACTTGTCAAAGGGAATGATACAAAACATAGCAACCCGGTGAAATTTAAAAAAGGAAAAACACTTGGTTAACATTCACTTCTAAGACTTTGTCATAAGGAACCAATCAGAGATGGATACAAGAATTTACAAGCAAGCATGTTCATATCAGCATTGTAATATCAATAAATTGGTAACAGCCCAAATGTCCAAGAATAGAACATAAATTAAATAACTTCTGGTATAGCTATATGATTGAAAAAGAATTGCAACCAAATGCTAACATAAAGACATGTCCTTAACTGTAGTTATTGCCATGATAAAATACTTATGATATAATCTTAAGTAAGAAGAAAGCCATAAAGCAGAATGTAGAAAGTAATGGCAGTTTGGTAATGAAAAAAAAGTATATATATATATATGAATCATTGGGGGGATATAGCAAAATATTAGTAATGGTGGTCTCTAAGAGGTGTGATTGCTGGAGATATTAAATTTTTTCTGTATTTAAAATATCTTATTTACATTATTCATTATTAATATAATTTTATAATTAAAATCTTCAAAATTAAAACATGAAACATAAAGAAAAAAATAGCTGGGCAGAAGGTGAGTTTATAGGCACAAAACAGAAAGGATGAAGAGAAGAAAGACCTTTAAAAAGGGAGCACAATTCAAAGAGGCAGAAGTTGGAGCAACTTTCAGCTGAAAACAGGGTATCAGCAGCCTCAACTCTGGTCAGAGAGGGGAACACCTGCTCATATTATTATGCCAGAATAT